>NC_000005.10:111018897-111321928 GCF_000001405.40 Homo sapiens
TGAGACATTTCAAGTCAGTGAACATATGATGGGTTATTTAACATATTTAAGATATACTAACAAGTATATTTAACAATATATTAATGATTTAGGAAAAGTAGTATATTACTATTCCAAATCAAAATATATTTTAGAAAAATTGAACATACAGGCATTTAAAAATATTAAGAATCATAAAAGCACTAGAATAAAACATAGATTGATATTTCTTAAGTGGAATAGTAAAGACAGAAATCATAAAGTTTAAAAGACTTGTAATCAAAACTACAACTTATAAAGGGACAAACTGAGTAAAATATTTGTAGAAAAATGACAATGAAAGAGTTGCTATCCTTATGTGTGAAAAATGTTTATGAAATTAAGAAACAATCCTCAGGTAAGATGAAGCTGCGAGATAATTTTCACATACCCACATCCCCCAACACACACACGAAAACTTTCTGCTCCAAACATGTCAATAATTGATCAAATATTTTTCAATATAATAAAAAAGACATAGCTTTAATTTTTTTAAAAGGTAAAATGTCATTGTAGTTCAAAGACAGAACCAAATACCAAAGGAGCAAGTGGGGCTAAAGTCTTCTGGACTCTGGGTCTGGACACAGGAGAGGAGATGGCTGAAGTGACATTCCCGTGAGAAAATGAAAACTCAAAGTGACCCACAGAGACCAGGGACCAGCATTAAGTTCATTGCTTGGCAACTGGACAGAGATTAGGTTTTCTTTGTATACAAAGATAGACTTTTTAATAAGTTGTTGCCTTTATGCAAGGATATTGCTTTCATAAAGGTTTTCAATGAGGAAAATAAAAGAAAGCAGAGATGACCACCTTCCAGCTAGAAGTTGAACAAACCTAGTCATAATCTAAAATGGGACAGGAGCTTTAAACCTTGGATGTGACCTGGTTTAGGAGTGAAAGCTTCATGGAGCTGGAAGGAGTCAACTCACAAATAACCTCAATATTATATCGAGAGAGGTAAATATTCAAGTATGAGTGAAAAATGAAAGAAAAATGTTCCAATCAAGATAAGTCTGCATATTGCACTTTTGTTACACATGAAGAAAATCCATAAATACAGCCAAGAAAATAAACTAGATTAATTTATCCTGATAAAAAGGAAATAAAGCAATCCAAAAATGACTTTAAAGTAAGTGTTCTGTGGTATTTAGGGATAAAATAAAACTAAAGGGAAAAGGAAGAGAATATGACAAATAAACTAATACGAAATATAAATGGATATAAATATAGCTATTAATTGAAATAGAGTATACTGAAATAAACTCTGAATAGAAGTCAAAGAGAAATTAATCAAAATGGAACACAGTAATAATGAATTTACCAAGAAAAGATCACAGTGAGACAAAGAAATTAAAAGTTATGAAAAAGCACTTAAAATATCCTAATGAAAAACATTTTAATAAAAATTCCAACAGAAGAGAACAGAGGAAATGACAGGTTTATAACATTCAAAAATATAATGCTAAGACTATTTTATAAGAATGTGAATATTCACACTAAAAATGCATACTAAAAATCATAAAGACTATCAGATTACAAAAAAAAGCTTTGTCACAAAGGGATGACTTCGACTCAAAGCAGACATGTCACTAGCAACAAAATATAGAAGGAAATTACTCATAGATTCAAAGTGGTAAGTTAAAATAACTGTCAACCTAAAGTTCTTTACCTGAAGAAGTTATTATTTTCAGTCAATGAAAAATAAATATACTTTTAGGCTTCCCATGTAAGAAACTCTATTACCCACAAAACTTTGCTGAAAGAATGATTAACAAGGGTCCCCATTAGAATGTTCATTATAACATTGTGTGTAGAAGTAAATATTATAATGAACTGAAGTATCTATGGACAGAAAAATAAATCTTACAAATATGGTATTGAACATTACATAGCAGTGAAAATGAATGAACTAAAACTTCATAAAATCATGGTTTTCTTACTGAGATCTTAGAACAATTGCTCTAAAGTTAAAGATGGATTCTTTCAGAACTACAGGTAAATATTTCTCTGGGTTGAGTGACCATATCAACAAACGTCAATAACAATGTAAGTACCGCGCATTAACTGATAGCGTGACTGGAGTTCCAAAAACATCAATGACAATAATGAAAACAAATTAGTAAGATTCTAAGAGATTTATTGAGGATATGGCACATTGAAAATTATTTTCAGCCATGGTTAAATTTATTTTTATAAAAAATTGGTGTTCTATTTTTGATATGTGGGCATATGAATACTAAGACTTGTCATTTGGGATGCTATCTGGGAAATACAAGTAAACATAATTCTTAAGCTTATAAGTTATTTGATTATAAATTAAAAGTAAGCTTTTTTATTTCACTTACATTTAATCATGTAAAAATGATACATGAAATGAAAGTTTATTACATATTCAGAACTATGATAGAAGCATATGAACATTCTGAAAGGCCAGTAAAGCTGCCTTTAATATTTAGCTTTGAGCTTTTTTTTTAACCTAGGTAAAAAGAAGTCAGTCATATAATTCTCACTATCAAAAAGGAAGAAAAATACCAGTGCCTCACCAGAGCAAAATTTTTCTGGTACTGAATTCTAAGGAAAGTTTTCTTCATGGTGCTCAATATAGGTAAAATTAAAAATGAGAATAATGTTAACAATGAAATGTGTGTAGAAAATATAATAGAGAGTTTTCAATATTATTTCCTGTACTCATCTTAAAAAATGAAAGAAAGAAAGGAAAGAAGGGAGATAGGAAGGGGACGAGAGAGGGAGGAAGGGAGGGAATGAAGGGAGAGGAATAAAGGAAAAAAAAGGAATATAATTGTGCATTTTAACATAACTACAAGAGGAAAAAGTCATACTCTTAAGGGATAGATCAGTGAAAGCAATTTTGCAAAACACTAGGCTCCCACTGCCCAAATATTTCCTGGTAGTCAGATTTAATTGAAGTATATAATTTAAAATCCATAGAGAAATAGAATGAGTAATCTTAATTCATATACCATAAATATCACTTCTTTTTTATATGAGCTGAAGAGTAGACAGTACAAAGCTATGACTATTATTCAGGGTCAGGTATGTGAATATTTTTGTTGCTACTTAAAGTCAATTTTGTATGCTGCAGAAAGTACAAGAACATGTAATAAAATAAAAGGAATTACAAAAACTGAGGAGACTATGGAGACTTTCTGCTGATGCAGATCTCAAGCTTCTTCCAATTGTGCTTATATGTTTGGGAAAATATTTCAATGGAATATAACAATAAGACAAAAAACAAATTTTCTCCTTATTCTTTTGATAGAGGCAATAATGAAGCTCAGGGGGCTATGTAAAAATGCACAAAGTGTGTCACATCTTTATCACTGTCTTGATTGCCAGGATACTCGATAATTACAACTAAAATGACATTCAGAACTGCCGTAAGAGTACCTCCAATTTCCCCTCGTGAGTTTTGTCCTCAGTTGAGTTTTCTGCTTTAACTACAAAATTCCGTCAGGGCTGCTTGTTTTGCATGCCCGAGTCTGACTGTAATAATCAGGTATAGCACCCCAATCCCACTGCTGATACATCATAATGTAAGAAGGTGATCTTCGACCTTTTGAATGAAAGCCAAGAACATTTTATTACACATGCTTAAATACAATGAACTATACAGACTCTGAGATGAGTTCTGATAATCCATTCCTAGTTTACTCTCATGAAAAAATACCTGGAACACTTTACAGTGTGGTTAAGGAAATACTCTCCATTCTACAGCTCCTATTTCAAATTAAATGATATCTTATCCCATGTCATTCCCAGCTGATAGTCTTTTCCCAGCTGTGCGAGCCCCTTTTTGCTCAATATTAAGTTCTTACTGAGTCAAGTTTGAGAACTGCTGTCATAGATTGTGTAGGAATACACTAGGAAGGATCTCCTACACAACCTATGACAGCAGTTCTCAAACTTGAGCAGACGTCAGAATCAAAGATTCATTAAAACACACACTACTGGGCATCACTCCTTTAGTTTTTTATTCTGTAGATCTGAGGTGAAGCCTAAGAACTTACATTGTCTACAAATCTTTCGATGATATTGATACTACTGGTCCAGGGACTACACTTGGAGTTCACAAAATGTGGACTGCCTACTCTATCAATTAACACAAATGGCTGCGTTTTGATACACCTCTTGGCTCCCACTAATCTCAGAACTTTGGGTGCATGTTCTCAATATAGCTACATTATTTCCTGTAAGATCAATGTTTCCTGTATTTGGGGGACAGAGAATTTAAAATTTTAAATTCTTAATTGCCAAGACAGAAACTTGCTGCTTGAAATTCAAGACGAGAACTCCTCCTCAGCTATTCAGTACCATGGAACTTAAAATATTCAGCGATATCACCAAAAAGCTGTCCAAAAGCTGTCTGTCTCCCTTGAAAGCTCAGAGTTAGGATCAATCTCTTCATACCCAACACAAAGTGGTTTGCATTGAATTTAAGAACAGAGGAAGAGAAATCTTCATTTGCCCACTAATTTATTCATTCAAGAAATGATTTCTATTATGTGAAAGCACTGAGCTTTGGCAATAATGAAGAGATGAACAGGACATAAATGTCGCCTGCCTGTGTGGAGCAGACAGTGTAAGTGTAATAAACGTACTGTCAGAAGAAATAAAAACAGCTATGGGAACACACAGCAAATAATTCTGACCTGCTTAGAAATGCCCTTCCTCTGGAATGATGTTTCAGTTGATACCTCAAGGAAGAGTAGAAGAAAGCTGCTCAAAAGTGGGCAGAGGAAACAGCACACGGGTGGGCCCAGAGTCAAAAGTGCTCAGTTGTGCTTTCTAAAGATGAAAGATGTCACTGTAGTGGAGGATGGGAAGAAAAAATAAACAGATAAGAAGTAGAAATAAAAGAAGTTCAGAGCAGCTAAAGAGAGAAGGAGGGAGAACAGCATAAATTCAAGCTGAAGAAATCATCAAGAAACAAGTGGGGGGCCTTGTCATCCCTGTCACTTTATCCTTGGGAATACCCTTGGGAATCTGGACTTTATCAGGAAGATGAGGAGACACAGAAATATGCAGAGTACACAAAATAGGATCTTTGTTTTATAAAACTTTTCTGGCCACTGTGTGGAGAATAGGAAAGCACCACAGAGTTAACGGAAGAGAGGTGTCGTGTGAGTGGCCTTGCCTGCAGCTCAAGCAGCTATGAATGCATCATTATCCTGGACAAAGTTGTTTTGAGTCCACTTAGTACATGTCTGCTGTGGACCTGAGGCAGGAGGTCCTCATCTTTATTCTAACTAGACGTAAGCCAAGTTCACTATTTCGGCCCTGAGTTTCTCATCATTGAAGTGGAAATAATGATATCTGCCATATTAGATGACAAATAAAATTCCCAGAGATAGGTTATCTGAAAGAGCTAAATATCTCATCAAAGCCTATTCAATTAGTTCAAGTGTTTAATGAGATTTGGCTATTTTATTACTAATAAAGAATCATATGGAAAATTTTGTCTCGGGGCAGGTCAACTTTGCTCATGATAGCAATCTTATTATTGGTTATAATAACAAATTCAAATTAAAACATTTCATAACCCACATTAAAGAAATATTTCCAAAATCACACAGCCCATGCCATAGATTTTCAACTCCAGTGAACGAAAATATCCCCTTCCTTTCTCTTCTGCCCCATCTCCCTCCTACCTCCTTTTTCCCCAGTTCTAAATTAGTAATTCAAAAATATGATTATCTAAAATATTCTCCACAAAGAGTGGCTTAAAAACAAAACAGCAGTAACTGCACTATAGCCTCTTTTTCTTTCCTTCACAGTTTTGAACCATATACAAAAATAAACTCCAAAATATTTAAAGAGCAGAAAGCCAGATTCATTAGGGTAGAGTTTTAGCATAACTTTCACACTGAGGAGGTCCTTGTTTCTCTTTAAATTAAATGCTTGTTAAATTAAGCAAAGTATCCATCATACTAGGAATACTGGCTAATAGAAGCTCCCCAGTCCTGACAAGAAAAAAGAATAGAGAAATTTTTGTTGTACATAATATTGAAGATTTTTAAAAATTTGCATTCTAGAGAGTTTGTGGTTCATATTGTATGAGGCAAATTGCTCTAGAAAAGTATTATTATCTCAGTAAGCCAAGTCATGGAGGTATTAACCACCATAGAGTAGGTGGAGAACTATATTACAGTAATATAATAACAATAAACACAGCCATTATTGAGTGTATACCATGTGCCACACACTGTACCTGATATTTTCTCATTTATCTCTTATAGCAATATATGGTGAATGTATTATTATTTCCATTTGTGTGCAAGGAAACAAACTTCAGAGATAAATCAAAATTCTCAACATTGCACAGTTACTGAACAGTACAGCCAGAAGTTAAACCTAAAGACGACTTCAGAGCCCACACTCTTAACCCAGAGTGATCGCCATGCTGCCTTTCTGATTTCTAAGTCATCCCATTAGAGCCAGTAAACCTTAGAGCCAAATTTGAAATCACTGCTGATCACTCAACAAATAGTTTTATCTAATAAACTTACCACCTCTATCTAGACTCAAAAGTGCCTAGCATGAGAACAGAGAACGAGAAGACTTACAGTCCAGGACAGATGACCCTCACTTTTGAGGCCACTAAGTGACATCTGAAACATAACAAGTGTCCATCTCTGTTGTTATGGTCTAAATGTTTGTGTCTTTCCAAAATTTATATGGTGGAATCCTAACTCCCAAGACAGTGGTATTAGAAGCTGGGACCATTTGAGAGGCCTATCCCCTATGAATGGGATTAGTGCTCTTACAAAATAAGGCCAAGGGGACTGGGTGTAGTGGCTAACGCCTGTAATCCCAGCATTTTGGGAGGCCAAGGCAGGTGGATCATGAGGTCAGGAGATCGAGATCATCCTGGCTAACACGGTGAAACCCCATCTCTACTAAAAATTAAAAAAAAAAAAAATAGCCGGGCATGGTGGCGGGTCCCTGTAGTCCCAGCTACTTGGGAGGCTGAGGCAGGAGAATGGCATGAACCTGGGAGGCAGAGGTTACAGTGAGCCAAGATCACACCACTGCACTCCAGCCTGGGCGACAGAGCAAGACTCCATCTAATAAATAAATAAATACATACATACATACATACATACATACATACATACATACATAAGGCCAAGGGAGCTTGCTCACCCCTTCTACCATGAGGACACAGTGAGAAGGTGCCATTTATGGGGAAGTGGATCCTCACCAGACACATAATTTGCCTAAGACTTGATCTTGGACTTGCCAGCTTCCAGAAGCATCAGAAATAAATTTTGGCTTTTTGTAAGCTACCCAGCTAAGGTATCTGTTATAGAAACTCAAATGGACTCAGACAGCTGCCACAGCACCTATTTTTCCTCCTTTTATTTTGTAGTTTCTGACCATGGTCACATCTCTTCTTTTCTTCTTGTTTTTCACACCCTCCCAACATACCCTTTAATTCTACCATTGCCAACCACTGTGTTAGACATTCTAGAGAAAAACAAAATCAGAATACAGAGTTTGTTAATCCTATTCTAGAGGTTGCATACTCAAGCAATTTGACACTGATTTAGACTTCTGTAATTTAAATTTGTGCTCATTCAGAAAGGGCTTGACCTGATGACCACTTTGGCAATCATAGGATCTGCTAAACATGTGAAGAGCAAAAATATGATAATTGATAGTGTCCAGCCTGCAGAAGAGGATTGTTTTCAAGGCTTAAAACACCCATTGTTAGCAAGTTTTTTATTTGCTGAATTATTTATCATCTCATGTTTTTTATTATATCATATGTTTAAAATTAGTCTTATAAGAATCTAACTTTACAAATTCAGATTGGCATTTATTATTCACTGCTCCAACATTTGTCCCCTTTTGGTTATTACAATTTATGCTGCTTCTACCTTACACTGCCACAGTAGGTCATGACTAATTTTGGAGAGATGGGTGGGTAAAAATGATTCTGGGGTCAAATAAGTTTAGAAACTCTAATTCAAACACAAATTAAAGAGGACCTTTTTATTGTAAAATTAATCAGGCTCTTAAAATATCAGTGTGTGCCATCTTTCTCCAAAAAGGATATATTTTACTAGTTTTGCAAACTTCATCAGCCACAAGGGAAAAAAATTAAATAGTACCTTGAGAGATTGATATTTCACAGAATACACTTATGAAATGCTGCCTAGGCCAGGCATGGTGGCTCACGCTTGTAATCCCAGCACTTTAGGAGGCTGAGGCTGGTGGATCACGAAGTCATGAGTTCGAGACCAGCCTGGCCAACACAGTGAAACCCCATCTCTACTAAAAAATACAAAAATTAGCTGGGCATGGTGGCGGGTGCCTGTAATCCCAGCTATGTGGGAGGCTGAGGCAGGAGAATTGCTTGAACCCTGGAGGCACAAGTGGCAGTGAACCGAGATCATGCTACTGCACTCCAGCCTGGGTGACAGAGCTAGACTCCATCTCAAAAAAAGAAAAGAAATGCTGCCTAGAGAATTATCATTGGTGACGAAAAACATAATAATCATTCTGAGTCCCCAAAATTCTCTCAGGATCTCCCACCAGAGATTCTTGAGAACATATGTAAATGCCAATGATATTCATTGTCCTATGTTCTCTGCAGATTTTTGTCCATTTTCTTTTGCTTATAACAGAATACCTGAAACTGAGTCATTTATAAAGAAAATAATGTATTTATTACAGTTATGAAGGCCGGTAGGACAAGGTAGAGAGTCTTCATCTGGTGAAGGCCTTCTTGCTGGTGGGGAACTCTGCTAAGTCCCAAGGCAGTGAAGGTCATGACATGATAAGGGGGCTGAGCCTGCCAGCTCAGATCTCTCTTTATGTTCTTTTAAAACTGCCAGTTCCATTCCCATGATAACCTACTGATCCATTAACCCATGAATGAAGTAATCCATTCATGAGGGCAGAGCTCTCATAACCCAACAACCCCTTAAAGGCCCCACCTTTCAATACTGCAACATTTGGGATTATGTTTTCAACACATGAAATTAGGACCACATTCAAACCATAGCAACCTCTTAGGGAAAGCTCGGGAGTTTTTTTTAACATCAAGAGGCAGGAAGGTAGTAGAGACCTTAAGTAGTCCTGTAGTTTTTATTTTAGGACTGAATGTTACCTTAGACCCTAAGGATCAGACAAGGCAAAAGATTCTAAGGGAATAATAGGGATTAAGGAGTAAAGAACATACTTGTGAGGAGGCAGTGGTGAAAAGAGGAGGGGAGAAGTGTATTTGATGCTATGTACCATTCACGCTTATTTATTTATGTATTTTGAATAGGTTTATACTTACAAATAGTACCAGATTCAAAATATACAAAGAAGTACATAATGAAAAGTTAGTCTCTTTCTTCCCCATTTCCTCCAGCTACCCTGTTTCCTGTTCCCCTTACAAGAGTTATCAACTATTACTACTTTGTTGTGTTTCCCTCCAGAGATACTCTATGTTTTAAGCAAGAGACAGACAGACAGAAAGATTAGAGACAGAAAGACAGACAGACAGATAGATAGATAGATAGATAAAGATAGATACATAGGTACGTAGATAGGTAGGTAGATAAATAAAGTTGCTGAGTTAACTTAGATAGATAGATAGATAGATAGATAGATAGATAGATAGATAGATAGATAATAGATTATTCTGGTCTACTCAAGATGGTTCCAAGTGATGGCTGTTGTCACAGATTAATTATTAATAGCACTCTCTTTGATTCTGAAAAACACCCTGTTTGGACATATTTATGTATAAATAAGCATACAATTTAGTCACACAAAAGGCAGCTACTGTGTACACTGTTCAGAAAGTTGCTTTGTTGCTTTTCTTCATTTAACTGTGTGTTTTGACAATGTACCCAAAAAAGAAAATATTGAGCTGCCTCTTTTGTTTTTGTAGCTGTGTAAAATAATCTTACCCACTGCACAGGTGTAACATAACTTTTTAACCAGTCTTCCTTTAAGGGATTTACATTATTTCTAATCTTTGATTCTTATAATGGTAAAATTCATTTATTTGTGTATAGGTCATTTTACACAAATACGAGTATATATGTAAGGTAAGTACCTAGGAATAAAACTGATGAGTTAACTTTGATAAATATTGTGAAATTACCTTCCGTAGAGGTTGTAAACAATGACACACCAAATTAGCCATATGTGAGAGTGACTTTCATCTGTACTCACTAATACAATGTTAGCAAATGTTTTTTCTTTGCCTACTTGTTGAAAATGGTGTATTAGTAGTTTTAGGTTGCATTTCTCTTAGTATGAGTGAAGTTATACATCTTTTCAGATATTTTGAGAGACATTTTCAATAATATTTCCTTTGAACTGTTTGCATCCTTTACAAATTTTCTTACTGATTTGTAAGAGCTTATTTTTTAAAGAAATCTTCATTTGGTGATGAGTTTGAAAACATTTGCCTTAGTTTGTTCCTTGCTTTTGATTCTGCTTATGGTATTTTTTTGTATTTGTATTTGTATATATTAGAATTATTTTATTCTATGGCTTCTGGAGTTTGCATCATATTTAGAAAGGTCTACACCACTCTAATATTATAAAACGTTAACTCCTATTTTTGTGGTGCTTTTATGTTCCAATAATTTTAATCTAATATATAACATTTTACATGTACTAAATATTACAGAAAAACTGAGTGCTTAAAAATTTAAATATATGAGCTATCAAAGAAAACTTGGGGAACAAAAGTAATAAAAGCAGACTAGCCCTATGAGATACTGTAATACATTACAACTAGGAACTGGCATGGGCCAGACCAATCACACAGAATAAAAATATCTAGAAGAGGGGTGGAGCCAAGATGACAGAATAGGAACAGCTCCAGTCTACAGCTCCCAGTGTGAGCAATGCAGAAGACGGGAGATTTCTGCATTTCCAACTGAGGTACCGTTCATCTCACTGGGGAGTGCCGGACAGTGGGTGCAGGACAGTGGGTGCAGTGCACTGTGTGTGAGCCGAAGCAGGGCGAGGCATCGCCTCACCCGGGAAGCGCAAGGGGTCAGGGAATTCCCTTTCCTAGACAAAGAAAGGAGTGACAGATGGCACCTGAAAAATTGGGTCACTCCCACCCTAATACTGCGCTTTTCCAATGGGCTTAACAAATGGCACACCAGGAGATTATATCCTGCACATGGCTCAGAGGGTCCTACGCCCAAGAAGCCTCACTCATTGCTAGCACAGCAGTCTGAGATCAAACTGTGAGGTGGCAGTGAGGCTAGGGGAGGGGCACCCACCATGCCAAGACTTGAGTAGGTAAACAAAGCTGCTGGGAAGCTCGAACTGGGTGGAGCCCACCAGAGCTCAAGGAGGCCTGCCTGCCTCTGTAGGCTCCACCTCTGGGGGCAGGGCACAGACAAACAAAAGGCAGCAGTAACCTCTGCAGACTTAAATGTCCCTGTCTGACAGCTTTGAAGAGAGTAGTGGTTCTCCCAGCACCCAGCTTGAGATCTGAGAACAGGCAGACTGCCTCCTCAAGTGGGTCCCTGACCCCCGAGTAGCCTAACTGGAAGGGACCCCCCAGTAGGGGCGGTCTGACACCTCACACGGCCGGGTACACCTCTGAGACAAAACTTCCAGAGGAATGATCAGGCAGCAGCATTTGCAGTTCACCAATATCTGCTGTTCTGCAGCCTCCACTGCTGATACCCAGGCAAACAGGGTGTGGAGTGGACCTCCAGCAAACTCCAACAGACCTGCAGCTGAGGGTCCTGACTGTTAGAAGGAAAACTGACAAACAGAAAGGACATGCACACCAAAATAATATCTGTACGTCACCATCATCAAAGACCAAAGGTAGATAAAACCACAAAGATGGGGAAAAAACAGAGCAGAAAAACCGGAAACTCTAAAAATCAGAGCACCTCTCCTCCTCCAAAGCAACGCAGCTCCTCACCAGCAACGGAACAAAGCTGGATGGAGAATGACTTTGACGAGTTGAGAGAAGAAGGCTTCAGAACATCAAACTACTCCGAGCTAAAGGAGGAAGTTCGAACCCATGGTAAAAAAGTTAAAAACTTTGAAAAAAAATTAGATGAATGGCTAACCAGAATAAGCAATGCAGAGAAGTCCTTAAATGACCTGATGGAGCTGAAAACCACGGCACGAGAACTATGTGACGAATGCACAAGCCTCAGTAGCCGATGCAATCAACTGGAAGAAAGGGTATCAGCAATGGAAGACGAAGTGAATGAAATGAAGTGAGAAGAGAAGTTTAGAGAAAAAAGAATAAAAAGAAATGAACAAAGCCTCCAAGAAATATGGGACTATGTGAAAAGACCAAATCTACCTCTGATTAGTGTATCTGAAAGTGATGGGGAGAATGGAACCAAGTTGGAAAACACTCTGCAGGATATTATCCAGGAGAACTTCCCCAATCTAGCAAGGCAGGCCAACATTCAAATTCAGGAAATACAGACAACGACAGAAAGATACTCCTCAAGAAGAGCAACTCCAAGACACATAATTGTCAGATTCACCAAAATTGAAATGAAGGAAAATATGTTAAGGGCAGCCAGAGAGAAAGGTCGGGTTACCCTCAAAGGGAAGCCCATCAGACTAATAGCTGATCTCGGCAGAAACTCTACAAGCCAGAAGAGAGTAGGGGCCAATATTCAACATTTTTAAAGGAAAGAATTTTCAACCCAGAGTTTCTTATCCAGCCAAACTAAGCTTCATAAGTGAAGGAGAAATAAAATACTTTACACACAAGCAAATGCTGAGAGATTTTGTCACCACAAGGCCAGCTCTAAAAGAACTCCTGAAGGAAGCACTAAACATGGAAAGGAACAACCAGTACCAGCCACTGCAAAACATGTCAAATTGTAAAGACCATCAAGGCTAGGAAGAAACTGCATCAACTAATGAGCAAAATAACCAGCTAACATCATAATGACAGGATCAAATTCACATATAACAATATTAACCTTAAATGGAAATGGGCTAAATGCTACAATTAAAAGACACAGACTGGCAAATTGGATAAAGAGTCAAGATCCATCACTGCGCTGTATTCAGGAAACCCATCTCACGTGCAGAGACAAACATAGGCTCAAAATAAAGTGATGGAGGAAGATCCGCCAAGCAAATGGAAAACAAAAAAAGGCAGGGGTTGCAATCCTAGTCTCTGATAAAACACACTTTAAACCAACAAAGATCAAAAGAGACAAGGCCATTACGTAATGGTAAAGGTATCAATTCAACAAGAAGAGCGAACTATCCTAAATATATATGTACCTAATACAGGAGCACCCAGATTCATAAAGCAAGTCCTGAGTGACCTACAAAGAGACTTAGACTCCCACGCATTAATAACGGGAGACTTTAACACCCCACTGTCAACATTAGACAGATCAAAGAGACAGAAAGCTAACAAGGATATCCAGGAATTGAACTCAGCTCTGCACCAAGCAGACCTAATAGACATCTACAGAATTCTCCACCTCAAATCAAAAAAATATACATTCTTTTCAGCACCACACCTATTCCAAAATTGACCACATGGTTGGAAGTAAAGCACTCCTCAGCAAATGTAAAAGAACAGAAATTATAACAAACTGTCTCTCATATCACAGTGCAATCAAACTAGAAACTCACTCAAAACTGCTCAACTACATGGAAACTGAACAACCTGCTCCTGAATGACTACTGGGTACATAACGAAATGAAGGCAGAAATAAGGATGTTCTTTGAAACCAATGAGAACAAAGACACAACATACCAGAATCTCTGGGACACATTCAAAGCAGTGTGTAGAGGGAAATTTATAGCACCAAATGCCCACAAGAGAAAGCAGGAAAGATCTAAAATTGACACCCTAACATCATAATTAAAAGAACTAGAGAAGCAAGAGCAAATACATTCAAAAGCTAGCAGAAGGCAAGAAATAATTAAGATCAGAGCAGAACTGAAGGAAATAGAGACACAAAAAACCCTTCAAAAAATCAATGAATCCAGGAGCTGGTTTTATTTGAAAAGATCAACAAAGTTGATAGACTGATTGCAAGACTAATAAAGAAGAAAAGAGAGAAGAATCAAATAGACGCAATAAAGAATGACAAAGGGGATATCACCACCAATCCCACAGAAATACAAACTACCATCAGAGAACACTACAAACACCTCTATGCAAATAAACTAGAAAATCTAGAAGAAATGGATAAATTCCTCGACACATACACCCTCCCAAGACTACACCAGGAAGAAGTTGAATCTCTGAATAGACCAATAAAAGGCTCTGAAATTGAGGCAATAATTAATAGCTTGCCAAACAAAAAAAGTCCAGGACCGGATGGATTCACAGCCGAATTCTACTAGACGTACAAGAAGGAGCTGGTACCATTCCTTCTGAAACTATTCCAATGAATAGAAAAAGAGGTAATCCTCCCTAACTCATTTTATGAGGCCAGCATCATCCTGATACCAAAGCCTGGCAGAGACACAATAAAAAAAGAGGATTTCAGACCAATATCCTCAATGAACATTGATGCAAAAATCCTCAATAAAATACTGGCAAACCAAATCCAGCAGCACATCAAAAAGCTTATCCACCATGATCAAGTGGGCTTCATCCCTGGAATGCAAGGCTGCTTCAACATATGCGAATCAATAAATGTAATCCAGCATATAAACAGAACCAAAGACAAAAACCACATGATTATCTCAATAGATGCAGAAAAGGCCTTTGACAAAATTAAACAACAAACACTTCATGCTAAAAACTCTCAATAAATTAGGTATTGATGGGATGTATCTCAAAATAATAAGAGCTATCTATGACAAACCCACAGCCAATATCATACTGAATGGGCAAAAACTGGAAGCATTCCCTTTGAAAACTGGCACAAGACAGGGATGCCCTCTCTCACCACTCCTATTCAACATAGTGTTGGAAGTTCTGGCCAGGGCATTCAGGCAGGAGAAGGAAATAAAGGGCATTCAATTAGGAAAAGAAGAAGTCAAATTGTCCCTGTTTGCAGATGACATGACTATATCTAGAAAACCCCATCGTCTCAGCCCCAAATCTCATTAAGCTGATAAGCAACTTCAGCAAAGTCTCAGGATACAAAATCAATGTGCAAATATCACAAGCATTCGTATACACCAATAACAGACAAACAGAGAGCCAAATCATGAGTGAACTCCCATTCACAATGGCTTCAAAGAGAATAAAATACCTAGGAATCCAACTTAGAAGGGATGTGAAGGACCTCTTCAAGGAGAACTACAAACCACTGCTCAATGAAATAAAAGAGGATACAAACAAATGCAAAAACATTCCATGCTCATGGGTAGGAAGAATCAATATCGTGAAAATGGCCATACTGCCCAAGGTAATTTATAGATTCAATGCCATCCCCATCAAGCTACCAATGACTTTCTTCACAGAATTGGAAAAAACTACTTTAAAGCTCATATGGAACCAAAAAGGAGCCCGCATTGCCAAGTCAATCCTAAGCCAAAAGAACAAAGCTGGAGGCATCACGCTACCTGACTTCAAACTATACCACAAGGGTACAGTAACCAAAACAGCATGGTACTGGTACCAACACAGAGATATCGACCAATGGAACAGAACAGAGCCCTCAGAAATAATGCCGCATATCTACAAGTATCTGATCTTTGACAGACCTGAGAAAAACAAGCAATGGGGAAAGGATTCCCTATTTAATAAATGGTGCTGGGAAAACTGGCTAGCCACATGTGGAAAGCTGAAACTGGATCCCTTCCTTACACCTTATACAAAAATTAATTCAAGATGGATTAAAGACTTAAATGTTAGACCTAAAACCATAAAAACGCTAGAAGAAAACCTAGGCAATACCATTCAGGACATAGGCATGAGCAAGTACTTCATATCTAAAACACCAAAAGCAATGGCAACAAAAGCCAAAATTGACAAATGGGTCTAATTAAACTAAAGAGCTTCTGCACAGCAAAAGAAACTACCAACAGAGTGAACAGGCAACCTACAAAATGGGAGAAAATTTTCACAACCTACTCATCTGACAAAGGGCTAATATCCAGAATCTACAGTGAACTGAAACAAATTTACAAGAAAAAAACAATGCCATCAAAAAGTGGGCTAAGGATATGAACAGCCACTTCTCAAAAGAAGACATTTATGCAGCCAAAAAACACATGAAAAAATGCTCACCATCACTGGCCATCAGAGAAATGCAAATCAAAACCACACTGAGATACCATCTCACACCAGTTAGAATGGCGATCATTAAAAAGTCAGGAAACAACAGGTGCTGGAGTGGATGTGGAGAAATAGGAACACTTTTACACTGTTGGAGGGACTGTAAACTAGTTCAACCATTGCGGAAGACAGTATGGTGATTCCTCAGGGATCTAGAACTAGAAATACCATTTGACCCAGCCATCCCATTACTGGTTATATACCCAAAGGATTGTAAATCATGCTGCTATAAAGAGACATGCACACACATGTTTATTGCAGCACTATTCACAATAGCAAAGACTTGGAACCAACCTAAATGTCTAACAATGATAGACTGGATTAAGAAAATGTGGCACACATACACCATGGAATACTATGCAGCCATAAAAAATGATGAGTTCATGTCCTTTGTAGGGACATGGGTGAAGCTGGAAACCATCATTCTCAGCAAACTATCTCAAGGACAAAAAACCAAACACCGCATGTTCTCACTCATAGGTGGGAATTGAACAATGAGAACACATGGACACAGAAGGTGAACATCACACACCAAGGACTGTTGTGGGGTGGGGGTAGGGGGGAGGGATAGCATTAGGAGATATACCTAATGCTAAATGAGGAGTTAATGGGTGCAGCACACCAACATGGCACATGTACACATATGTAACAAATCTGCACGTTGTGCACATGTACCGTAAAACTTAAAATATAATAATAATAAAATTTAAAAAAAAATCTAGAAACAAATTTAGAGCCTAGAAAATTTTATGATTTTTTAAAATGTTCTACGTAAAATCTAGAAAACAATAAAATTATTTAATATATAGTGGAGCTGGCATTTCAAATTAGTGGTAGTAAACTGGATATTTAATTAAGTGTGTAAGGTCATCTGGGTAAACATGGGAAAAATAAGCTGATACCAACCCAAAAAAATTTTAACTGAAACTACAAAAGTGGTAGAAAAAATAATAGGTGTTTGTGTACGTATGTGTGCATATACACACACACCATCTTAGCTAGACAGGCTTTTAGCTTTTTGAAATCATGGAGCGAAAGATTATTAAATTTGACCTTTTTAGCAGTTTTATTGAGGTATAATTTATGTACAAATAACTGCACAGGTCCAATGTGCACAATGTGATGGGTTTGGGCTTAATGCAAACACCGTGATACCATTACCACAATCAGAGTAACAGACATATCCAACACTTTCCAAAGTTCCCTTTTTGTATTTGTTGCCTGTTTGTTTAGTTTTGTTTATTTATGATTAAAACACTTAACATAAGATCTGACTTCTTAATAAATTTTGAATTGCACATTAACTATTGTTAACTATAGGCACTATGTTTTACCGCAGATCTCTAGAACTTATTCAGCTAGTTTAATTGAAACTTTATAACAATTTAACAAGTCCCCATTTTCCCCACTCCCCCAGTCTGGGGAAACCACTATTGTATTCTCTGCTTCTATGAGTTTGACAATTTTAGATGCCTTATGTAAGTGGAATCATGCAACATTTCTTTTTCTGTAACCGGCTTATTTCACTTAGCATAATGTCCTCTAGGTTCATCCATGTTGGCACAAATGGCAGGGTTTCCTACTTTTTTAAGGCTGTAAAATATTTCATTGTATGTGTATATTGTACCATATTTTCTTTATTCATCTGTCTATGGACATGTCCATTGTTTCCATATATTGACTATGGTGAAAAATGTTGCAATGAACATAGGAGTGAAGATATCTCTTTATGATCCAGATTTTAATTCTTTTGTATATCTATCCAGAAATAAGATTGCTATATCCTAAGGTAAATTTATTTTTAATTTTTTGAGGAACCTCCATGCTGTTTTCCATAGCTGCTGGACCATTTTATATTCACACCAACAGTATTTAAGGGTTCTAATTTCTCCACACCCTTACCAACATCTGTAGCCTTTGCTTTTTTATAGTAACCATCCTAGCAGGTGAGATGATATCTCATTGTAGTTTTGACTTGCATTTGTCTTCTTATTAATGATTTTGACCATCTTTTAATATACCTGTTGACCATTTGTATGTATTCCTTAGAGAAATGTCTGTTCAAGTCTTTTGCTCATTTTAAAATTTGCTTCTCTGCTACTGAATTGAAGGAGTCCTTTACATTTTTTGGATATTAACTCTTTATCAGATACACTGTTAGCAAATATTTTCCTCCATTCTGTAGGGTGCCTTTTCACTCTGTTCATTATGTCCTTTGCTGTGCAGAAACTACTGGTGGGAATGTAAAATGGTGCAGCCACTATGGTAAACTATATGGAAACTCTTCAGAAAATAAAAACCAGAATTACCATATGATCTACAATTTCCACTTCTGGTATATATCAAAAAGAATTGAAAGCATGTTCTCAAGGATATATTTTTACAGCCATATTCATAACAGCATTATTCATAATAGTCAAAACGTGGAAGCCATCCAAGTGTTCACTGACAGACAAATGGCTAAAAAAAATATGATATATCCATACAAATAGAATATTATTCAGCCTTAAAAAGGAAAGGAATTCTGTGCATGCTACAAAATAGATGAACCTTGAGGACATTATGATTGGTGAAACCAGTCACAAAGCATAAATACTGTATGATTCCACTTCTTTAAATCATCTAGAGTAGTCAAATTCATAGAAACAGAAAGTGGAATAGTGGTTACCAGAGGCTGCAGTTTGTTTGTTTTATTTACGGGAGATGAGGACTTTTTGTTTAATGAGTATGGAGTTTTAGTTTTATAAAATAAAATATCCTGGAGATTGGTTGCACAACAGCGTGAGTATACTTAAAGCTACTGAACTGCATACTTAAAAATGGTTAAGATCGCAAATGTTATGTGTATTTTCCTACAGTTAAACACAAAAAAATAAAAAATGAAATAGCAGAATTCTACTAGATATCTATCATGTTGGAAAAAACAAAAGTCTTGGTGATAGTGTAGGGAAGTGCATACTCCTGTATACTCTTGATGTGAGTATAAATTGTACTCTTCTGAAAAAAAGAAAACTTTAAATATATATTAAAATTTTAAACATATATGACTTTTTAGAATTTTTTTCCTAGATATGTTTAGCACTTCTGCTTTTAGAATTGTTCCCTAGATTTGTATAATAATTCCAGTTCTCAATGATAAATGTAGAAGGCATTCATTTCAGTAGTTAGAATTAAAGTTTCTAATGAAAGATTAGAAACTGTACATACTCATCAGCACAAGATTGGTTA
The DNA here is from genome assembly GCF_000001405.40 of Homo sapiens. Classification (NCBI taxonomy): domain Eukaryota; kingdom Metazoa; phylum Chordata; class Mammalia; order Primates; family Hominidae; genus Homo; species Homo sapiens. The sequence continues at coordinate 111,038,378 of NC_000005.10, forward strand.
CATAAATATGGTACACTTAGGCAATTGAATATCATACAACTTTAAAAATAAGGAGTATGGCTGGGCAGGATGGCTCATGCCTAAAATCTCAGTGCTTTAGAAGGTCAAAGCAGGAAGATCACTTGAGACTAGGAGTTCAAGACCAGCCTGGGCAACATAGCAACACCATCTCTACAAAAAATTTAAGAAATTATTTAGGCATGGTAGCACATGCCTGTACTCCTAGCTACTCAGGAGGCTGAGGCAAAAGGATCACTTGAGCCCAAGAGTTTGAGGGTACATTGAGTTATGATCACACAACTGCACTCCAGCCTGGGCAATAGAGTGAGTGAGACCCTGTCTCTAAAAAATAAAATACATTTTAAAAGGGGAAGTGCATTATGTTCTTTTGTGAACACATTGTCAAAACACACTGTTAAATGAAAAGAGCAAAGCTCTGAACAATGAACATAGTAGCTACCATTCATGCCAATAAACTATATGAATTTGTATAAGTAATATGCCCAACTAGGGTATTTTTTAGAGTAAAAGGGGAGGCATATTGATCGTTACTCTGTGACAATAGGCATCACTTGGAACTGAGCAAACCAAAATATTCTCTGTCTCTCTTTAGTTTGCTAAAACACAGAATATCTCTGCAGGGATATACAACAAACTAATAATAGTAGGTGACTCGCAATGGGAATAGGAAAATGGGTTATTAGAAGAAATGGGAGAGAAAGATTTACTTTTCACTTACACTTCTTTGTATTTGAATCTGATATCATCATATTGCTGGTTCAAGTCATACAAATGTTTGGTTTTCCAGTGCATACAAAATTCATGTTTACAAGCAATGGGGAAAGGATTCCCTATTTAATAAATGGTGCTGGCAAAACTGGCTAGCCATATGTAGAAAGCTGAAACTGGATCCCTTCCTTACACCTTATACAAAAATTAATTCAAGATGGATTAAAGACTTAAACGTTAGACCTAAAACCATAAAAACGCTAGAAGAAAACCTCGGCATTACCATTCAGGACATAGGCATGGGCAAGGACTTCATGCCTAAAACACCAAAAGCAATGGCAACAAAACCCAAAATAGACAAATGGGATCTAATTAAACTAAAGAGCTTCTGCACAGCAAAAGAAACTACCATCAGAGGGAACAGGCAACCTACAAAATGGGAGAAAATTTTTGCAACCTACTCATCTGACAAAGGGCTAATATCCAGAATCTACAATGAACTCAAACAAATTTACAAGAAAAAAACAAACAACCCCATCAAAAAGTGGGTGAAGGACATGAACAGACACTTCTCAAAAGAAGACATTTATGCAGCCAAAAAACACATGAAAAAATGCTCACCATCACTGGCCATCAGAGAAATGCAAATCAAAACCACACTGAGATACCATCTCACACCAGTTAGAATGGCAATCATTCAAAAGTCAGGAAACAACAGGTGCTGGAGAGGATGTGGAGAAATAGGAACACTTATACACTGTTGGTGGAACTGTAAACTAGTTCAACCATTCTGGAAGTCAGTGTGGCGATTCCTCAGGGATCTAGAATTAGAAATACCATTTGACCCAGCCATCCCATTACTGGTTATATACCCAAAGGACTATAAATCATGCTGCTATAAAGACACATGCACATGTATGTTTATTGCAGCACTATTCACAATAGCGAAGACTTGGAACCAACCCAAATGTCCAACAATGATAGACTGGATTAAGAAAATGTGGCACATATACACCATGGAATACTATGCAGCCATAAAAAATGATGAGTTAATGTCCTTTGTGGGACATGGATGAAATTGGAAATCATCATTCTCAGTAAACTATCGCAAGGACAAAAAACCAAACACCACATGTTCTCACTCATAGGTGGGAATTGAACAATGAGAACACATGGACACAGGAAGGGGAACATCACACTCTGGGGACTGTTGTGGGGTGGAGGGAGGGGGGAGGGATAGCATTAGGAGATATACCTAATGCTAAATGAGGAGTTAATGGGTGCAGCACACCAGCAGGGCACATGTATACGTACGTAACTAACCTGCACATTGTGCACATGTACCCTAAAACTTAAAGTATAATAATAATAAAATAAAAAAAAGAAAAGAAATATACATATATAGTAAAAAAAAAATTCATGTTTACACTATACTGTAGTCTAATAAGTATGTAATAGCATTTGTTTTACAATGTACATGTTAATTTAAAAAACACTTTATTGCTTAAAAAATGCTAAGAATCATCCAAACCTTCAGCAAATTGTAACTTTTTTGCTGGTGGAAGGTCTGGCTTTGATGTTGATGGCTGCTGACTGATTAGGGTGGTGGTTGCTGAAAGGTGGGGTGGCTGTAGCAATTTCTTAAAATAAGACAACAATGAAGTTTGCTGCCACAATCAACTCTTCCTTTCACAAAAGATTTCTCTTTAGCATGTGATGCTGTTTGATAACATTTTACCTACAGTACAACTTCTTTCAAAGTTTGAGTCAATCCTCTCACACCCTGCCATTACTTTATCAACTCAGTTTATGTACTATTCTAAATCTCTTGATATTTCAACAATGTTCACAGCATCTTCTTCAGAAGTAAATTCCATCTCAAGAAACCACTTTCTTTGCTTATCCATAAGAAGCAACTCCTGATTCGTTAAAATTTTAACGTGAGATTGCAGCAATTCAGTGACATCTTCAGGCTCCCCTTCTAATTATAGTTCTCTTGCTATTTCTTCCACATTTGCAGTTACTTCCTCCACAGAAGTCTTCAACCCCTCAAAGTCATCCATGAGGGTTCAAATCAACTTCTAAATTCTTACTAGTATGGATATTTTGACCTACTCCCATGAGTCACAAATGTTCTTAATGGCATCTAGAATCTTTTTCAGAGGGTTTTCAATTGACTTTGCCCAGATCCATCAGAGGAGTCACTATCTATGACAGCTATAGACTTATGAAATGCATTTATTAAATCACAAGGCTTGAAAGTTGAAATTACTTTTTGACCCATGGGCTGCAGAATGGATGTTGAGTTAACAGGCATGAAACAATTAATTACATTGTACATCTTCATTAGAGCTCTTGGGTGACAAGGTATATTGTCAGTGGGCAGTAATATTTTGAAAGCAATCTTTTTATCTAAGCAGTACATCTCAATAGTGGGCTTTAAATATTCAGTAAACCAGGCTGTAAACAGTTATGCTGTGATCCATCCTTTGTTGTTCCATTTATAGAGCTCAGGAAAAGTAGATTTACCATCAGTCTTAAGGGCCCTAGAATTTGCAGAATGATAAATGAACATTGGCTTCAACTTAACATCACATGCTTCATTAGACCCTAAGAAAAGAGTCAGTCTGTCCTTTGAAGCTTTGAAACCAGGCATTGACTTCTCCTCTGGAGCTATGAAAGTCCTAGATGGAATCTTCTTCCAATAGAGGGCTGTTTTGTTTCCATTGACAATCTGTTTAGTGTAGCCACCTTCATTAATTATCTTAGCTAGATCCCATTTGTCTATTTTTGTTTGGATTGCATTTTCTTTTTCCCTTCCTTCCTTTCACCCTTCCTTCCTTCCTTTCTCTTTCTTTCTTTCTTTTTCTTTCTTTCTTTCTTTCTTTTTTCTTTTTTGACAGAGTCTCTCTCTGTCACCCAGACTGGCATACAGTGGAGTGATCTCAGCTCATTGTGACCTTAACCTTCCGGGTTCAAGCAATTCTCCTGCCTCAGCCTCCCAAGTAGCTGGGACTACAGGTGCATGTCATGATGCCCGACTAATTTTGTGTTTTTAGTAGAGACTGGGTTTCACCATGTTGGCCAGGCTGATCTTGAACTCCTGACCTCAAGTGATCTGCCTGCCTCAGCCTCACAAAGTGCTGGGATTACAGGCATGAGCCACCGCACCCAGCCTGTATTTGCTGTTGAGGTCTTAGTCATGAATTCTTTGCCTAGACCAATGTCCGGAAGGGTTATTCCTAGATATTCTTCTAGAATTTTTATAGTTTCAGGTCTTATAGTTAATTCTTTAATTGATCTTGAGTTAATTTTTGTCCAGTTTTATTCTTCTGCATATGGCTATCCAATTTTTCCAGTACCATTCACTTTCTTATAACTCATATATTCACTGGAGCAGCACTTTTGATTTCCTTTAAAAACTTTACATTCACAATTTGGCTGTTTGGCATAAGGGGCCTATCTCAACTGTTGGCTTTAGACATGCCTTCCTCACTAAGTTTAATCATTTCTAGTTTTGAAATTAAAGTGAAAAATGTGCGACTCTTTCTTTCACTTGAACATTTAGAGGTCCACGTTGGGTTGTAATTGGCCTAATTCCAATATTGTTGTGTCTTAGAGAATAGGGAGGCTGGAGGAGAGAGAGAGAGAGATGGGGAAAGACCAGTCAGTGGAGCAGTCAGAACACAAACATTTATTGTTTTCCATGTTATATGGGTTCAGTGTGGTGGCCCAAAACAATTATGATAGTAACACCAAAAATCATTAACTATAGATCACCATAACAGATATAATAATAATGAAAAAATTTGAAATATTGCAAGAATTACCAAACTGTGATACAGAGACACAAAATGAGCACGTACTGTTGGAAAAATTGTGCAGACAGACTTGCTAGATGTAGGGTTGCCACAAATCTTCAATTTAAAAAAAAAACATAATATCTATGAAGTACAAGAAAGCAAAGTTCAGGTCTTTGCTTGAAACAAAGACATGAAACAAGGTATGTCTGTATAAGTCTATTCAAAAATAAACAAATGAAATGGCACATAAACATCAAATACACCTCTACTCCCCACCTCACCACTGCCTCCTCACAGTTATGTTCTCTCACCTTTTGATCCCAATAATTCCTAGGAAAATTTTGCTTTTCTTCTGAGATCCCCATCTTTAGAGACTGAAGCAACATTCAGTTCCTTAACTTATAGGACCATTTAATATCTCTAGCACCTTCCAAAATTTGCCCTAGGAGGTGAATTGATTTACAAAGAGGGTAGGATGATGGTTTTACTCTACTCCATCTTAACTTTTAACTCTATAATCTGAACATGTTATTAGGTTTTTGTGCATGATGAACAATATATTAGATAATACTACATGGAAATTCCTAGCAAAGCTCTGACACATGGTAGGCTCCCTGGAAATTTTTTTTGGAAGTGAATTAAAGGTTATATGTACATGTACATATATGCTGGTCTTTGGCAAGTGTTTTATAGAAAAACTTAGTTACTTGCTTTTGTTTTTTACGAAGTTGATATTTCCTGTTGTGACCACCACTGAATTTAGTCTCTCAGACTACCCAATAGAAGTGGGGGAAGGGTGTTGCTTACTATGTAAGATTGCTCTAAAATCAAGGCACTAATAAAATGTATTTGGTACCTCTATACAATGACTCACCGTGCAGCCCTTAAAAAGGTTTATATACATATCTGTAACGAAGAAAGATGTTCAAGATCTTAACATCTTGATGTTAAAAAAAAAAATTAAGTTGCTGAAAGCTATGTTTAGCTGAGTTCCATTTGTTTTCAATCTAGATCTTATCTCTGGGGCCAGTGGTCCCCAGTCGTTTTGGCACCAGGGACTGGTTTTGTGGAAGTCAATTTTTCCAAGGCAGGGGGGATAGTTTTGGGATGATTCAAGGGCATTACATTTGTTGTGCACTGTATTTCTATTATTATTGTTACATTGTAATATATAATGAAATAATTGTACAACTCACCATAATGTAGAATCAGTGGGAGCCCTGAGCTTGTTTTCCTGCAACTAGACTGTCCCATTAGGGGCTGATGGGAGACAGTGACAGGTCATCAAGCATTAGATTCTCATAAGGAGTGCACAACCTCAAATGCACAGTGCACAATAGGGTTTATGCTCCTACGAGAATCTGAGAATCTGATGCTGCCACTGATCTGATAGGAGGCAGAGCTCAGGCAGTAATGTGAGCCGTGGGAAGCAGCTGTAAATATATATGAAGCTTTGCTTACTCACTCACCACACACCTCCTGCTGTGCAGCTCAGTTCCTAACAGGCCATATACCAGTACAGATCCATGGCCTTTGGGTTGGGGACCCCTGCTATGGGGCACACACATACATAGATATTTTCTGAAAAGCACATACCAAAAAGACATCAGACGTCATTAACCTGTGGGGAATGGCACAAGAAATGTGAATTAGAGAATGTGAAAGGAAATTCGTTCTTTTTAGTTGTATCTTTGGGTCCTAATTTGTTACTGCGAAAGGAATGATTATTTTTCCACTTAAAAAAATGTTAAGTAAAATTATTTTTTTAATTAAAAACTACATTTTGGTTCACAGACTAGGAAAAAAAAGAGAATTTGCAAACCCTAGAGCTTATAAATGAAGAAGGGCCTTAAATCCTATCCCTCCAAATGATACTTAAATCACTTTCCTGCTAAGAAACTACAGCTTCTAGAGTAGTCTGTCCTATTGTTCTATGGTTCTGAATTTGAGAAATTTCATTCTTCTTATTAACCAACATCAGTTACTCTGTTTTTCCCATGTATTAGTTATAGTTCTACCCAGTAGATTTACTGTAAAAGTTTTTTAATTAAAAATGTAAAAAATTGGAAACTTTTTTGAATATTTGAAGGAAATGAGCATGTTCCTTAGAGTTTCTTCTTTATCAGCTACAGAATTTTAAATCAAAGGACGTTTTTACTTTTCAATTTCTTCAGCTCCTTCTCTGTCTCAACCTTTACTCTCCAAATACCCCTGAGAGAGGAGCTCAGGGACCTAAGTCAGAAGTATGTCTACATCACAATTATCAAGCTATTGCCATTGTCAGCCGGACTAAGGTCAATATTATTGGGTGAGTTTGTCTGCCTCTCTTCCCTCGGGATAATAAATCTTCTCCCTAGAAATTCTTCACCAGTTGGATTTATAGCGGCCAGCTTCATCAGGTCATAAGACATGGTGAGTCAGTAAATTTGACAAAATTTAGGCATAGGGTATGACAACATTTCATCTCATTCCCCCTGCCCAAGTTACTATCTTAAACAAAAATATTTTAGATGCTTCACTGAAGTTCAAATCATTATGTTTATCAAATTTTGTAAGTTTTGTAACCCTAATGATAGAAATGTAAAGATGCTTAAATCTTATAAATTTTAAATCCTACTGAATCTTGCTGACTTTTAAGGATCATGACTCCCTTCTGTAAGTTTTACAAACAAGCATTTTACAAAATAAATTCAACAAAATCAAATAAAACCAAAGAGTCAACTAAAATAAGAGCAGAAAAGAATTCACTGGATTTCGTGGTTAGGGATCAATATTTTCCTAGACCAAGAAATTTCACTGGGGGAGTATGGTGGTAGTCCTAAAAGTTGCTTACTCAAAGCTCAAGAGATACCAAGGAAAGATTCTTCTCTTGAGAAATTGATTCTGAAGGGAAGGAAACATAGTTTGATGGTTAGAGAAAATGTTTGTTTGTTGATTTGATGGGAAATATCAAATAATTATATATTGTAAATTATACGAGAGAAGCCAATAAGGGAAAAAGAGAACAGCAAGCAGAGAAAACAACTAAAGAAGGGCTTGTCTGGTATTACAAGTCAAGAAAACAGCCTTGAACAGAAGAAACCATTTTATTTCCAGGAGCCAGGATGCAGAATGGGAGTGAGAATGATGAGGCAGATGATTCATTTCTAGAAATAACTAATTTAATGCACGTCTAAATTTACTTTGGGCTTTAGGCCTCCTATTGATAATTCTATAGGTACCTTTATATATCTCCTTATACGGTCTTGTTTCCCTCTTCCACATATATTCTTATCAAGAAGAGTAAATTTTTTATTCTGAATAAAGCAGGAAGATAAGAATTTTAACACTGACCACTCCAAAGGCAATGAAGGCAAATGAAGTTAAGTATTAGAATATGGAATCATATAGACAAGTGGAGTCTAATATAATTGAAGCTTATCATAGAAAAACCTATTTCCTTAATATATACCATGTAGGTGTTCCTAACCTGGATTATACTGGGAAAGAAATCAGTTGTACTCACTCCATCTCATCCAAAACAATAAAAACAATATAGCAAGATCCACATTCTCAACTTACTGTCACTTGCTATCAAAACAAGAGGCAGCTGAGTCTGCAGAGTTTTGTGTCTCTGTATGCAGTACTTGAGCGGACCCATCTCACCGACTGTGGAGGCAACTCATGAATGCTGCTCACAAGTGTCACTCCAGAACTTCTGATCTAGGGGTAAAGCAAAGCAACACATTCCATTGAGTAGAAAATAGCAAAGGAGTTAGCTGAGATGCTTCATGAAATTCTTTAATAATGGAATAAGATCCTGGTCAGTGGTCTAGGATTTAGTAAGCAGCACCACCACTTATGGCTTGCTGAGCACCACACAGCAGACTCTAAATAGGGGCGTCCCTGGCAGTAGGCAAGTTTCTAGCCCCTTTAAGTAGAATATCAGAGATAGGTAGAACATCAGAACTCCAGGGCTGTTGGAAGACATTCAAACGGTTATGAAATTATGTCATGTAATAATCATCCATTTGTTCGAGGATACAAATTTCAGTCCTCAAATGAAATGGTAAAAGAAGCAGATCCAAGATGTTTATAGTGTGAGCCTTAGGGTTAAGAACTATGGGAAGTAGGAGAAGACAAAAATTCAGGCCTAAGACTAGAGAGAAGTAGGTCCATGACCTGAATGAAGATGTGTAGTCCCATGACTTGGCTTATTGTTCTCCATGTCTGACATGGTTTGACTTAATTCGAAGGCACTCCAAATGACAAGGATCACTTGAGGGTGCTGAGGAGCATCAAACTCCAGGCAGGGGAACTCTGAAACATTTGTTCTTAACCACATCTCAACAGATCTGCATTAAGGAGACTCTGCTTTTGACAGAACTCTAATTAGTTAACTATGTGTTAATTTAGGCCATAGAATACCTCACTGTGGATTATATGGGAGGTACACAGGAGAACCATACGCACCTCATGAATAAGTCCCTTTTAAGTCCCACAGAACTAAATTTTGGGGCTCTAATTAGCTCTCATTATTGACAACAACTACATGTTACAGAGTGAGCAGAAAGTGATCTTTACATTGGAGATAAGCCAAATTAGGAGAGAGTGGGAAACAGTGTGAATATTTCTTGGCTTCACCAATACTTCTTGTTTTCAACTTTTCACTCCATAAGCTTTTAACCAAGCAGTGAAGGAGGAATGTAACCGTGTATCACATGTCACCAAAACATCAGTAACAATAAGCCTGATTTAACTTTTGGAAATCACACAGAATTACAAAATTGAACACCCACTGAGCTCATCAGGAGCACTAATCCAGACAGGAAAACTGGAATTCCTGTTTTTCTCTTTTAGCCAACACCTAAATCTTGCTGCTGATGACTTCTTGCCAAGATTATGAAGCTGAACCTGCCCCATCTTTCTGGTGTTCATCCCTTTATCCTCAAAGTTGTTCAGTACTTTCTGTTGTTGTGCTGGTGTGCATCACACAGAATGTTTCGTCCACTGAGAAAGAGTCATCTGTGAAGCAGAAATTCACAATTCCACTAAACTGCAGGGTGGGCAGGGAATTGGTTATATCAGTACATTACTAGGGTCTCATCTATTGCTTCAACATACTTCACATTACCCTGATTATTTATTCAACCTGGTGCTTGCTATCTGAGACTGAATCCTCTCCGGGTCTTCTCAGAACTTTTGATTCTAGCTTCTGGGATTTCCCTGGTCCTGAATCATATTCTATCTAATTAAAAAAAATTCTTCCTATGAGTTCTCTATCACCATGGGAGAAGGCTTTTCCCTAGAGTTAACACAATGTGAATCAGAACTGGGTAAATCCCTCTGGATTAGAGTGAATTTTTATCTAAACATTTTTTGAGTATGTTATTTTTTTAAACCCCCCGAACATGGAAAAATGAAACTTTTGCCAACATTGTCAGGAATGGAGCTAAGTTTGGGTGGTGGCAGAGCAAACAGGTCAATGTGAGGGAGAGAAGAATTAAGAAGTTTCATAGGATTGCCCAACTGGACAAGACTTCATGACTTCACTTCACTCATTCAGCAAGGATCCCAGCATCTGAACTTCCTGAACATGTTGCAAAATTCCTTGTGTTGCCCTCACCTTTCTGAATGTATAAGAATCATTTATGGCCGGGCGCGGTGGCTCACGCCTGTAATCCCAACACTTTGGGAGGCCGAGGCGGGCGGATCACGAGGTCGGGAAATCGAGGTCATCCTGGCTAACACGATGAAACCCCGTCTCTACTAAAAATACAAAAAATTAGCCAGGCGTGGTGGCAGGCGCCTGTGGTCCCACCTATTTGGGAGGCTGAGGCAGGAGAATGGCGTGAACCTGGGAGGCTGAGCTTGCAGTGAGCCGAGATTGCACTCCAGCCTGGGGGACAGAGTGAGATTCCGTCTCAAAAAAAAAAAAAATCATTTATATTTGATAGAGTGCATTTCTTCCTCATTTTTCCATTTAAGGAATGATATACTGACTTTCCTCAACAAATAAGAGCTTCCGGGGCTTTCTGCTCTTAGACTTTTTTTTTTTTCCATTTTTTTTTATTATACTTTAAGTTTTAGGGTACATGTGCACATTGTGCAGGTTAGTTACATATGCATACATGTGCCATGCTGGTGCACTGCACCCACTAACTCGTCATCTAGCATTAGGTATATCTCCCAATGCTATCCCTCCCCCCTCCCCCCACCCCACCACAGTCCCCAGAGTGTGATATTCCCCTTCCTGTGTCCATGTGATCTCATTGTTCAATTCCCACCTATGAGTGAGAATATGCAGTGTTTGGTTTTTTGTTCTTGCGATAGTTTACTGAGAAAGATGATTTCCAGCTTCACCCATGTCCCTACAAAGGACATGAACTCATCATTTTTTATGGCTGCATAGTATTCCATGGTGTATATGTGCCACATTTTCTTAATCCAGTCTATCATTGTTGGCTCTTAGACTTTTTGAATGACCTACTAATGCTTATTAAGCTTTTAAAATGCAGGTTCTGATTCAGTGGTCCTGTGTGGGACCTGAAATTCTTCATTTCTAACAAATAGTTTTAATGCTGCTGATCCACATACCACATTTTGATTAGGAAGGCCTTAAACTAGTCTTAATGTTAAGAAGAAGACACAGCAAGCAGTGTCATTAAGACTACGTGCAAACATGTGTGTGAACATAGAGAATCAAAGGGTGGGATATATAGCCATATAATGAAAAGCTCTGTGGAATATACAGAAGCAGAATAGCATTTTGGTTAAAAGTATGAAGTCCGGAATCTGACAAACTTTATTTCAAGCTACCAGCTCCATCATTCACAATCTATATAACCTTAGAAAAGTAACTTAATATTGATAAGCTTCTGTTCTTTAAACAATTAAGGGTGGCAATAATAGGCTGAACCTATGATATTGACATTTTTATAAGTGGGAAATGTTCAACTGCGGGCTGTTTCATGCAGTTTGACCTAATACTACCACTTACTGGAGCAATTGTTAACATTAAAATGGATAGCACATGAGACGATCATAGTACATTGCCAGGCACAGAATTAAAACACAATAAATTCTAGTATGTATCCCTTTATTCTGAGTCATGTTTGTTTGTATATGTGTACTTCTAAATATGAAGATGTGAAGCAAGTGGCTATTTTTGTCCTTTACTATCTGAAGATTTCTTGGATTTTTTTTCCTTTTCTTTTCCTCCCCCTATTAATATAACATTGTAGCAAAATCACTAGCCCTGGATGGAGACTGCTTGAATTCCAATCCACCAGGTATCAGCTGTATAACTTTTGGAAAGTTACTTACTCTTCCTATGCCTCAATTTTCTCATCTGTAAAATGGGGAATTTAATAGTATTTACCTAACAGGATTGTTGTGATATTAAATGAGTCAATATGTATAAACTAATTACAGCAGAGCTTGGCACATAATAAATGTTATATAAGTGTTTAGGTGATGAATGGATGGATAAGAAAGATACATACTCTACTTCTGACAATCTGACTATTCTTCCTAAAATAACTTGTTGATAATTGATCAATTCTAATGAAATAATAGTTACTAAACAATAAAACAACTGGTTAACAATCAATAAAACCAGTAAGAGTTTAATGTTTTTCCCTTTTCTCTGGTTCTTTTTTTTGAGACCGAGTTTTGCTCTCGTTGCCCAGGCTGGAGTGCAGTGGCGCTATCTCGGCTCACTGCAACCTCTGCCTCCCAGATTCAAGTGATTCTCCTGCCTCAGCCTCCTGAGTAGATGGAATTACAGGCAACTGCCACCACATCCAGCAAAATTTTTGTATTTTTAGTAGAGATAGGGCTTCACCATGTTGGCCAAGCTGCTCTCAAACTCCCGACCTCAGATGATCCACCTGCCTCCATGGGTAGAGAAAAAAATCTATAGAAACAATCTGAAATCTGGAAGAGACCTTAGAGACAATCTAGTTAAATTTCTTCATTTTACAGTTAAGAAATATGATACATAAAAAAATAAAAATTTTTCAAATATGCACATAAGTGATTTGGGTTGGGGGGTCCTTGAACCATCTTGGAGCTTCTCATCTCTCCTTAGCTATCACTCACCAATTTCCTTTCCCAGCAAATTTCCAACCAGGTGCTATCAAGAGACAGAAATTACTGGTCTCAATTTTACTTTTTTCTCTACTTCTAATCACCCTCCATGAGAAGATTAACCAGTTATAACCTTTCAATATATATCTACTACAGTTGTATTTCAGTTGCCCATGCAATTTATACTCATTCACCCAAAGATGGTTCTGAGGTCCTACGGGACCACCTCAGGACCTTGGGACTGATGCAGGCAAATTTGAAGAACTTACTTTTTGCTGTAGCCTGCAACTGCACCAAAGAGACCATCTGCACAAGAGCCAGTGTTGAAATTGCCAGAGATAGTCTCAGTTGTTCAGTAGAAGCACAATTTAAAACATGAGTCAGAACTATTATCCCTTTTTAAATATTTTGTAAAATACATTGTAGCTCAAAGAAAAATAATAGAAAGCACAGTTGATAGAAAGTAAGAGATAAAGCTGAGGAAGAAAGTTTTACTTGGCTCCCTTTGGTATCTGAATTGACTGAGTTCTAAAACATAGCATCCACGATTCAAGTCCATAAGACTTGAACAAAACAGGTAACACTGGAATGAACAATTCTCCAACTAAAACACACCCCACAAAATTATATCAAAATATATCACAGTCCTATTTGTTTTAGAGTTAGAGGGTTTATCCTACACTTAAAGCCTGTTTTAGTAGAATGTCATTATGTTGAATAGAGCAGGGACAGAGGCTGGAATGGAAAAACACAGTAGCTTAAAGAGCAAAGATTTTATTTCTTTCTCATACAACAGAGCATAGCATGCCTATCTATAAAGTGCGCTAGGAAATGCAGTCTGTAGCTGGAGAATCACTTTCCAGTCACAATTCTATTAGTGTCAAAGCAAAAACAAAAACAAAAACAGGATTTGGAGGTCAGCCAGCAGTCTCTACTACATTCACAAATAGAGTTTAATGAAATGATACCTCAGTGAATCATAGTGAGGGTTCAAAAATCATTTGAAAGATAAGTACCTTTTAAGATTCATATCTTCTAAGTTTGTAAACTGGTTTATGTCAGAGTTCAGTATAATGACCTTGCATCCAGTAAAAATAATTGCTTCAATTCTAACATTCCACCACTATCAAAAGTTGTTTTTTTAATTTTAATTTAATTTAATTTTTATTTTACTTTAAGTTCCAAGATACATATACAGAATGTGCAGGTTTGTTACATAGGTATATGTGTGCCATGGTGGTTTGCTGCACTTATTAACCAGTCATCTAGGTTCCCTCCCTTGCCCCCCACCTCCCAATAGGCCTCTGTGTGTGTTGTTTCCCTCCCTATGTTAATGTGTTCTCATTGTTGAACTCTCACTTATGAGTAAGAACATTCGGTGTTTGGTTTTCTGTTCCTGTGTCAGTCTGCTGAGGATGATGGCTTCCACCTTCATCCATGTCCCTGCAAAGGACATGATCTAATTCCTTTTTATGGCTGCATAGTATTCCATGGTGTGTATGGACCACATTTTCTTTATCCAGTCTATCATTGATGGACATTTGGGTTGGTTCCATATCTTTGCTATTGTAAATAGTGCTGCAATAAACATACGTGTGCATGTGTCTTTCTAACAGAATGATTTATATTACTTTGGGTATGTACCGAGTAATAGGATTCCTGGGTCAAATAGTATTTCTGGTTCTAGATCCTTGAGGAATAGTCACACTGTCTTCCACAATGGTCAAACTAATTTACATTCCCACCAACAGTGTAAAAGCATTCCTATTTCTCCACAGCCTCACCAGCATCTACTGTTTCTTGAATTTTTAATAATCGACATTCTGACTGGCATGAGATGGTATCTCACTGTGGTTTTGATTTGCATTTCTCTAATGATCAGTGATGTTGAGCTTTTTTTCAGATGTTTGTTGCCTGCATAAATGTCTTCTTTTGAGAAGTGTCTGTTCATATCCTTTGCCCACTTTTTGATATGGTTGTTTGTTTTTTTCTTGTAAATTTGTTTAAGTTCCTTGTAGATTCTGGATATAAGACCTTTGTCAGATGGGTAGATTGCAAAAATTTTTCTCCCATTCTGTAGGTTGCCTGTTCACTCTGATGATAGTTTCTTTTGCTGTGCAGAAGCTTTTTAGTTTGATTAGATCCCATTTGTCAATTTTTGCTTTTGTTGCAATTGCTTTTGACATTCTCATCATGAAATCTTTGCCCATGCTTATGTCCTGAACGGAATTGCCTACGTTTTTTTCTAGGGTTTTTATGGTTTACATTTAAGTCTTTAATCCATCTTGAGGTAATTTTTGTATAAGGTGTAAGGAAGCTGTCTATTTTCAGTTTTCTGCATATGGCTAGCCAGTTTTCCCAGCACCATTTATTAAATAGGGAATCCTTTCCCCATTGTTTGTTTTTGTCAGCTTTGTCAAAGATCAGATGGCTGTAGATGTGTGGTCTTAGTTCTGAGGTTGCTGTTCTGTGCCATTGGTCTATATGTCTGTTTTGGTACCAGTACCATGCTGTCTGGGTTACTGTAGCCTTGGAGTATTATTTGAAGTCAGGTAGCATGGTGCGTCCAGCTTTGTTCCTTTTGCTTAGAATTGTCTTGGCCATATGGGCTCTTTTTTTAACCGAATGAAATTTAAAGTAGTTTCTCTAATCCTCTGCAGAATGTCAACAGTAGTTTGATGGGAACAGTATTGAATCTCTAAATTACTTTAGGTAGTATGGCCATTTTCAAAATATTGATTCTTCCTATCCATTGGAATAGAATGCTTTTCCATTTGTTAGTGTCCTCTCTTATTTTCTTGAGCAGTGGTTTGTAGTTCTCTTTGAAGAGGTCATTCACACCCCTGGTTAGCTGTATTCCTAGATATTTTATTCTCTTTGTAGCTATTGTGAATGAGAGTTCATTCATGATTTTGCTCTCTGCTTGTGTATTGTTGTTGTATAGGAATGCTTGTGATTTTTGCAAATTGATTTTGTATCCTGAGACTTTGCTGAAATTGCTTATCAGCTTAAGGAGTTTTGGGGCTGAGACAATGGGGTTTTCTAAATATAGAATCGTGTCCATCTGCAAACAGAGACAATTTGACTTCCTCTCTTCCTATTTTAATACGCTTTTTTCTTTCTCTTGTCTGATTGCCCTGGCCAGAACTTCCAGTACTATGTTGAATAGGAGTGGTGAGAGAGGACATCTTTGTCTTATGCTGGCTTTCAAAGGGAATGCTTCCAGCTTTTGGCCCTTCAGTATGATATTGGCTATGTATTTGTCATGAATAACTCTTATTATTTTAAGATACGTTCTATCAATACCTAGTTCATTGAGAGTTTTTAACATGGGGATGTCAAATATTATCAAAGTCATTTTCTGCGTCTATTGAGAGAATCATGTGGTTTTTGTCATTGGTTCTATTTGTGTGATGAATTATGTTTATTGATTGATGTATGTTGAACCAGCCTTGTATCCAGGGGATGAAGCCCACTTGATCATGGTGGATAAGCTTTCTAATGTGCTGCTGGATTCAGTTTGCCAGTATTTTATTGAGGATTTTCGCATTGATGTTCATCAGGGATATTGGCCTGAAGTTTTCTTTTTTGTGTGTGTCTCTGCCAGGTTTTGGTATCAGGATGGTGCTGGTCTCATAAAATGAATCAGGGAGGAGTCCCTCCCTTTTAATTATTTGAAATAGTTTCAGAAGGAATGGTACCAGTTACTCTTTTACCTCTGGTAGAATTTGGCTGTGACTCCGCCTGGTCCTGGGCTTTTTTTTGGTTGGAAGGCTGTTAATTACTGCCTCAATTTCAGACCTTGTTATTGGTTTATTCAGGGATACGACTTCTTCCTGGTTTAGTTTTGGGAGGGTGTATGTGTCCAGGAATTTATCCATTTCTTCTAGAATTTCTAGTTTATTTGCATAGAGGTGTTTACAGTATTCTCTGATGGTAGTTTGTATTTTTGTGGGGTTAGTGGTGATATACCCTATATCGTTTTTTCATTGTGTCTATTTGATTCTTCCCTATTTTCTTCTTTATTAGTGTAGATAGTGGTGTATCTATTTCATTAATGTTTTCAAAAACCAGCTTCTGGATTCATTGATTTTTCTGGAAGAGTTTTTCATGTCTCTATCTCCTTCAGTTCTGCTCTGACCTTAGTTATTTCTTGTCTTCTACTAGCTTTTGGGTTTGTTTGCTCTTGCTTTTCTAGTTCTTTTAATTGTGATGTTAGGGTGTTGATTTGCGACCTTTCTACCTTTCTGATGTGGGCATTTAGTGCTATAAATTTCCCTCTTAACACTGCCTTAGCTGTGTCCCAGAGATTCTGGTACATTGTCTCTTTGTTCTCATTGGTTTCAAAAACCTCTTCATGTCTGCCTTAATTTCATTATTTAAAGTGGCAGTCATTCAGGAGCAGGCTGTTCAATTTGCATGTAGTTGTGTGGTTTTGAGTGAGTTTCTTAATCCTGAGTTCTAATTTGATTGTACTGTGGTCTGAGAGACTGTTTGTTATGATTTCGGTTATTTTGCATTTGCTGAGGAGTATTTTACTTCCAATTGTATGGTCAATTTTAGAATAAGTGCCATGTGGCACTGAGAAGAATGTATATTCTGTTGATTTGTGGTGGAGAGTTCTGTAGATGTCTACTAGGTCCACTGGATCCAGAGCTGAGTTCAGGTCCTGAATATCCTGGTAAATTTTCTCTCTCGATGATCTGTCTAATATTGACAGTGGGGGTGTTAAAGTCTCCCACTATTATTGTGTGGGAGTCTAAGTCTCTTTGTAGGTCTCCAAGAACTTGTTTTATGAATCTGTGTGCTCCTGTATTGGATGCATATATATTTAGGATAGTTAGCTCTTCTTGTTGAATTGATCTCTTTACCATTATGTAATGCCGTTCTTTGTCTTTTTTGATCTTTGTTGGTTAAAAGTCGGTTTTGTCAGATACTAGGATTGCAACTCTTGCTTTTTTTTTTTGGCTTTCCATTTGCTTGGTAAATTGTTCTCTATCCCTTTATTTTGAGCCTATATGTGTCTTTGCACATCAGATGGGTCTCCCGAATCCTGAATACAGCACACCGATGGGTCTTGAGTCTTTATCCAATTTGCCAGTCTGTGTCTTTTAATTGAGACATTAGGCCATTTGCACTTAAGTTTAATATTGTTATGTGTGAATTTTATCCTGTCTTCATGATGCTATCTGGTTATTCTGCACACTAGTTGATGCAATGTCTCTTTTTTTCTTTTTTCTTTTCTTTTGAGACAGAGTCTCACTCTGTCACCCAGGCTGGAATGCAGTGGTGTGATCTCAGCTCACTGCAGCCTCTGTCTCCCAGGTTCAAGCGATTCTCCTGCCTCAGCCTCCTGAGTAGCTGGGACTACAGACACATGCAACCACACCCGACTAATTTTTCGTATTTTTAGTAGAGACGGGGTTTCACCATGTTAGCCAGGATGGTCTCAATCTCCCGACCTCGTGATCCTCCTGACCTCGTGATCCACCTGCCTTGGTCTCCCAAAGTGCTGGGATTACAGGCGTGAGCCATCATGCCAAGCCCAATGCAATTTCTTTATATGTCATTGGTCTTTATATTTTGGTGTGTTTTTGCAGTAGCTTGTACCAGTTTTTCCTTTCCATATTTAGTGCTTCCTTCAGGAGCTCTCACAAGGCAGGCCTGATGGTGATGAAATCCCTCAGCATTTTCTCCTCTGAAAGGATTTTATTTCTCCATTGCTTAGAAGCTTAGTTTGGCTAGATATGAAATTTTGGGTTTAAAATTATTTTCATTAAGAATGTTGAATATTGGTCCCCACTCTCTTCTGGCTTGTAGGGTTTCTGCTGAGAGATCTGCTATTAGTCTGATGTTTTTCCCTTTATAGGTGACCTGGCCTTTCTCTCTGGCTGCCCTTGAGATTTTTTCCTTCATTTCAGCCTTGGAGAACCTGATGATTATGTGTCTTGTGGTTGATCTTCACGTGGAGTATCTTAGTGATGTTTTCTATATTTCCTGAATTTGAACGTTGGCCTGTCTTGCTAGGTTGGGGACGTTCTCCTGAATAATATCCTGAATGTGTTTTCCAACTTGGTTCTATTCTCCCTGTCTCTTTCGGGTACTCCAATCAATCGTAGGTTTGCTCATTTTACTTAGTCCCATATTTCTCGGAGGTTTTGTTTGTTCCTTTTTATTCTTTTTCTCTAATCTTATCTGCATGCCTCACTTCAGCAAGATGGTCTTCAAACTCTGATATCCTTTCTTCTGCTTGATCGGTTCAGCTATTGATACTTGTATATGCTTCACAAAGTTCTCGTGCTGTGTTTTTCAGCTCCATCAGGTCAATTATGTTCCTTTCTAAACTGGTTATTCTAGTTAGCGGCTCCTGTAACCTTTTAACAAGGTTCTTAGCTTCTTTGCATTGGGTTAGAACATGCTCCTTTAGCTCAGCAGAGTCTGTTATTACCCACCTTCTGAAGTCCACTTCTCATCCTCCATTCAGTTCTGCACCTTTGCTGGAGAGGTGTTACAAACATTTGGAGAAGAGGCACTTTGGTTTTTTGGGTTTTCAGGGATTTTTTTGTTGTTGTTCATGCTTTCTCATTTTCATGAGTTTGTCTAGTTTTGATCTTTGAGGCTGCTGACCCTTGGGTGAGGTTTTTGTGGAGATTCTTTCTGTTGATGCTCTTGTTTTTGTTTTTCTTTCAATGGTCAGGTCCCTCTTCTGTAGGGCTGCTGCAGTTTGCTGGGAGTTCATTTCAAGCCCTATTCATCTGGTTCAGTCCTGCATCTGGAGATGTCACTCAAGGAGACTGGACAACAGCAAAGATGGGTGCTTGCTTCTTCATCTGTGATCTTTGACCTATATATAGTGTGGGTATGGTGGACAAAGGGGTAATTCACTTCTCAGGCAGGAGGAGAGAGGACCATGGAGATTTTGTCACGTTACTCAAATTGGCATGCAATTTAAAACATCAATTATTTATTTCTGAAATTTTCTATTTAATATGTTTGGACTTTGGGCAATTGAAATCACAGAAAGAAAAATGGGGGATAAGAGGAGACTATTGTAAATTGATTAAAATCACACAGCTAGTAACTGGCAGAGCTGGAATTAGAATGCAAGTTGTATAACTCTAAAGCCTGCTCTTTATGTGATACTATGCTAGTCTCCCTGAAGCCTTCACCTGAGTACTAATCAGTGCATGCATGTGAGGATACTACCAGATGCCAGGAAAAGAACCAGCCAAAAGGAGCAGTGGGGACAATCAGCAGTGTTAACATAGGACCAGGACTAATATGTGACCAAAGTGGAAGTGATTCATGAATCATCAGGTAAGGTACTCATAAAATTGTTGCCTTTGTCCTGGGAAAAATTTAGCCCTAGACTGCTCAGCTTCTGCCTAATAAAGCTTAAATTCAAGTCTCAAAAGAAGAAAATGGTCCTATCAACTTAATTACATACCCAAACAAATATTGATACAAAATAAAATATTTTGGTCCCAAGCTGTCCAGCCTCCCTAGCTCCAGCAGGGGAAAAATAAAATATTTTTTTATCAGTCACAAGACTATCAACACAAAAAAATAAAATATTTTGTATCAATCACAAGAATATCAATACAAAAATATCCAACTCCTAACAAGGTAAAATCCACAATATCTTACATCCAATACAAAAGTATCAGGAACGCAAGAAAGAAGAAAACTACCACCCATAATGAGGAGAAAAATCAATCCCTAGAAGTGAATTCAGAAATGAGAGCAATGGTGAAATTAGTAGAAAGGACATTGTAATAAATAGTCAATTTAACTGTATTCCATATGTTTACTAAGACAGAGAAAAGATTGAGCTTGTTAAATAGAAATATAGAAGATACAAAAACTATCCCAAATCATACTTATAGAAATAAAAAATGTAACATCTGAAATTTACAATATACTTGATGACATTAATAGTGTATTAGAATCTGCAGGAGAAAAACTGGTGAACTTGAGGATGTAGCATAGAAGAAAACCAAATTAAAACACAGAGAGAAATACTGAAAAAAAAAATGCATAGGGAATCAGTGAGCTGTGCTACAACTTCAAGCGGTCAAATTTATATGTAACTGCTGTTCCCAAAGAAGAGAGGACAGAAAAAATATTTGAAGAAATAATGGGCAAAAATTTTCCAAATCTCATGAAAGCTATAAACTCACAGATTCAAGTTCAATATAACCCAAGCACAGGAAACATGACAAAAATGACACAAAATCACATTGTTTAGAAAATTTAAAAGTGATGAGGAAAATAATCTTTTTTTTTTTTTTTTTTTTTTTTTGAGACAGAGTCTCACTCTGTCGCCCAGGCTGGAGTGCAGTGGCGCGATCTTGGCTCACAGCAAGCTCTGCCTCCCGGGTTCACGCCATTCTCCTGCCTCATCCTCCTGCAACTGGGACTCCTGCCTCAGCCTCCTGTAGCTGGGACTACAGGCGCCCGCCACCACACCCAGCTAATTTTTTGTATTTTTAGTAGAGACGGGGTTTCACCGTGTTAGTCAGGATGGTCTCGATCTCCTGACCTCATGATCCACCCGCCTCGGCCGCCCAAAGTGCAGAAAATAATCTTAAAAGCAGCCAGAGGAGGAAATAAAACATATGTTAACCCTGGGTCATAAGATGTCAGTAGATTCCTTTTTGGAAATAATACAAACCATTAAACAGTAGAACAAGATCTTTGAAGTATTGAAAGGAGCAACCTTCTATACCCAGCAAAATATATTTGAAAATTGAAGGCAAAGAAAAAGACTTTTTCAGACATACAATGACTAAAAGAATTCATTCCCAACATACCTGCACTACAAACAAATATTAAAGAAAGTCCCTCCAGCAAAAGAAAAATGATTACCAGATAAATATATAGATTTACACAAAGGAATTCAGGACATAAAATTCGTAACTACAGGGGTAAATATACAAGGTAAACTTTTCTAATTTAAAAAATCTCTTTAGAAGATAATTGACTATTCAAACAAAATAATAATGTATGTTTATAAAAGTTGTAGAAATAAAAAATATGACAGCAATTACACAGAGGCCAAGAAAAAAGAAAGAGATGTACTTGTTTGTAACATATTTAAGCTACACACAAAGTGATATAATATTACTTGAAGGTGGACTGTGACAATATAAAGATATGTGCTTACTATTAACTCTAAAGCAGCCACACAAAAACAGACCTAAAACTAATAAGCAAATAAAAGAATTAAGAGGAATTTTAAAAACTACTGAATTAATTTTTTAAATGGAAGAGAAAAAAAGGAAACAAAGATGGGAAAAAATCTAATAGCAAGATGATAGATTTAAACCCAATTTATCAACAATCATATTAAATATAAATGGTCTGAATACTTCAATTAAAAGTAAAAGGCTTTCAGATTGTATTTTTAAAAAGCTCCACAGAAAAGCATGGTAGCTCTCACCTGTAGTCCCAGCACTTTGGGAGGCCAAGGTGGGCAGATCACCAGAGGTCAAGAGTTCAAGACAAGCCTGGCCAACATGGCGAAACCCTGCCTCTACTAAAAAATACAAAAAGTAGCCGGGCATAGTGGCAGGTGCCTGTGATCCCAGCTACTCAGGATGCTGAGGCAGGGAGAATTGCTTGAACCTGGGAAGTGGAGGTTGCAGTGAGCCAAGATTAATTGCACCACTGCATTCCAGCCTGGGCGGCACAGTAAGACTCTGTCTCACAAAATAATAATATTAATAATAAAATAAAATTTTTAGAAAGCCCTACAAAACAGTAACTTTAAATGTAAGACATAAATAGGTTAAAGACAATGTGTGGATAAAGATATACCATGCTATCATTAATCAAAAGCAGACATGTGTTTATTAGCATTAGACAAACTAGATTTCAGAATAAATAAAATTATCAGGAAGAAATGTTAATACAAACTACGATAATTAAAATAGCTTCATATTGACCCAGGCATACCTATATAGCTATAGACATATATGATAAGGCACCTGTTGAAATCAATGGGGGAAAATAAATTATTCAAGAAAAATATTCAAATAAAAATTTGTTTTATAAAAGGTAAATGCCTGTCTTATATTTTAGCCCAGAGTTAATGGGAGATCAAAGATTTAAATGTAGTAATTAAAATAATGTTCACTACTGTGAACAAAAATGGTTTCCTTGTTGTAAATACAAATAGGTAAGGCCTTTCCAACTATGACACAAAAGAATCCATGGGAAAAGTACTTAAGAATTTAATTAGATTTTTTAAAAAATCTTCATAGCAGAAACCACTGTAAGCAAAGTCAAAAACAAATCACAAACATATAGGTAATATCTGCAATTCATTTGCTAACAAAGGGATAATTTTCCTAATTTAAAAAGATCTCCTTCAAATTAGTAAGGAAATTTCCAACAACCCTTTAGAACAGGGGTGTCCAATCTTTTGGCTTCCCTGGGCCACATTGGAGGAAGAAAAATTGTCTTGGGCCACATATAAAATACACTAACACTAATGATAGCTGATGAGATAAAACAAAAATTGCAAAAAAAAAATCTCATAATGTTTTGAGAAATTTTATGAATTTGTGTTGGGCTGCATTCAAAGCCATCCTGGGCAGCATGCAGCTTGCAGGCTGCAGGTTGAACAAGCTGGCTTTAGAACATCCAGCAAAGCATTTAAGCAGACAGTTCACATAAAAAGAAATACAAGTTGTCCTTATGCATATATAAACTAAAGATATTTACTATAAACTCTAAAGTAACTGCCACAAAAAAGTCAACTTGACTCATAACAAAATAAAGTCAAATTACAACAACACTGACACATAAGTTTTACTCATCAGTTTGGCAAAACCAGTAAGTTTGATAACATCTTATGTTGACAGGGAACTGACATTTTCATGATATTAGACAATTTTACTGGTATTTCTATAAATAGATATTATATAGTCAGATGATAGGTAGATAGATAATATCTATCCAAGTTAAAAATGAACATACCTTTTAACCTAGAAATTTTACTTGTAAGAATTTATCTTACAGATAATTCACACTTGGATAAAATGTACTAAATGATGAGTGAACAAGGTTATTCACTGAAGCATCATTTAGAATAGCAAAGATTAAAAATAATTTTATAAAAACAAGAAAGTTAAATTTTGATATATTTTAAACAAAGGAAACTATAAATCGCTAAAAATTCTTAAGAAGCTCTTGATAAAATAATATGGAGCAGTATCTAAGATACTATTTGAAGAAAAAAGAACTCAATAGTATGTAACAATGTTATCATTTTTGTGAAAATAGTAAGTAAATAGATATGTATAAAATTTTCTGGATATGTAAACCTATGTATGTATATGCATACATGTATACATATGTATATAATATCTCTGGAAGAATAAAAGATAGCATTTATATAAACTTTTTTAAACCATATTGTTTTCAAGCACATATTTGTAAAAATAAAATTACAGAGACATACATGGTACTGATAAACACCAAATTCAGAGTAGCAATTAACTTTGGAAAGGAGTAGTAATAATAGGATTATGCAATGATACACAGAGCCTTCAACTGTTCTGTAACTCTTTTGTAGGGTTGTCATTTTCATATAATTTCAAGCTTGAAAAATAGTTAAAAGACAAGAACAAATAACTTTCATCCATCCTTTACCTATGTTTTAATATATTTTCATCTCTCTCTCTTCCTTCTTTCTTTCCTCCCTCTCTCTCTCTCTCCGTCTCTATCCACACAGACAAAAAAAAATACTTTATCTCTAAATGATAACAATGATTCAATGACCAAAATCAGAAAATTAAACATTGATTTAATATGATTAGCTAATCCATGGTCCATTGCATCTGTAATGTTATATTTTCTATAAAAAAAAATGTGAAGCAGCCTGGCCATAATTGTTCACACCTGTAATCCCAACACTTTGGAGGGTCAAAGTGGGTGGATCACTTGAAGCCAGGAGCTCTAGACCAGCCTGGGCAATAAGTGAGACTCTACCACTACAAAATATTTTTTTAAAAAAATTAGCTTGCCATGGTAGTGTGTGCCTGTAATCCTAGCTACTCAGGAGGTTAGGCAGGAAGATCCCTTGAATCCAGGAGTTTGAGGTTGCAGTAAGCTATGATTGTACCACTGCACTCCAGCCTGTGTGAGAGAGTGAGACTCTGTTAAAAACAAATGTTAAAACTGTTGGAGTTTATTAAAGGGGATGTGGACGTTTTATAATGCTACAATTTTCTGTGTCTTTAAAATAGTTTCCATTGCCTAAAAAAATAAAGATAATTTAACCGTACATCAAATGATGTTATCTAGCTCATGTTTTAATCAGCCATCAATAAATATGTATTTTCTATCTGTGATGGAGACCATTTTCCTGGCCTCCAGGGTCTGGTCCCTAGGGTTCAGTTAAGGCAATTATTTCCCTCATCATGTCAGATAGATATGAATGTTATGGACTGAATGTTTATGTTCCACCAAAATTCAAATGTTGAAGCCCTAATCTCTTATGTGAACGTATTTGGAGGTGGGGACTTTGGGAAGTAATTAGGTCCTAAGAGTGAAGCCTTCATGATGAAATTAAGAAGAGACACCAGAGAGATGATCTCTCTCTCCATCATGTGAGGATAAAGCAAAACTAAGGCCATCTGCAAGCCAGGAAGAGAGCCTTCACCAGGACTAAGTGGAGTCTGCCTTGACCTTGGACTTCCAGCATTCAGAACTGTAAGAAATAAATATCTGTTGTTTAAGACACCCCATTTATGGTATTTTGCTATAGCAGCCTGAGCAGAATAAGTCACCTAGCCTCACTCTGCAACGGAAAAATAATGACTCATGAAGATTGTCACTCCAAACCCTTTGCAAAGGAAGATACAAATGCCCAAGGCTGCTCATTACATAATTGCTCAGAAACACTGTTTCTCAGGTGTACACGATGCTGCACACGTCCACTGAGACACCTAGTGGTAGGCAGTTCTGTCTATCTGAAGATAAAAAGCAAAACACTATGCTCAGTGTTTTGCATTTTAACTCATAAAATATAAAATTGGTTCTCTCCCCAAATGCTCAAAGACTTTTGTTTATTCTAACTCCTCTTTAAATCATGCCAATGAGGAATACAAACAAAACAGACTGTGTAAGCACATTGCCCTGGGTCAAAGTCAGCATGAAATGCTCTCATCTCCTAATCTTTGTACTAATTGACTATTCACTAACCTACTATATTGTTTTAATTATTAATTCTCATGGCTCTTTTAAAATCATTTATTTATAAAACAAAATATTATAGGACATTATCTGAATCTTCAGATTTATTCCACTGCAACTAGTAGTTGTTCAATAAATATTAAATATAATTGACTTACATTAAGATATAATGAGTGTAGGCAATGTGCTAGGTCCTAAACACAGATACAAATGCAGATATAAACATCATAATAGGAATTCAAATGCACGGATTGGAAATTATCAAGATCATTACAAAACGATTGTTCTCTATAAGAAATCCTTTCAAGAAGAGTAACCAACAAAAAAGCTCTAACTACAAAAATACAAAATTACATGGAAAAGGTAATGCAATTCATTGTATCAGAGAAGTTTGGGGGTTTGGGGGAAAGCAGGCATTCTTCGTTGAATTAAACAACAATGGAGCTATAAATTAGCACATCCTTTTAATAGGAATAACACCCACACTACAGTTTTATAAATCTCTTCTTTCCAACCAGTGAGAGTAGCCTATACTCTCTGAGGTAAGAAGTCATTGAGTTTCTTTCCAGGTTTTGTAAAATCGCAAAGTAGGAAATATTTATTAAATATCTTTGTTTTAAATGCTTCTCTTCTTTTCAAATGCATTTTTGGAATAACTGTTCTTTAAAGGGGATTTGAACCTTTAGAACTGTTAGGAGCACATGAGGAAAGACTTGGGAACTTAGGAGTATAATTAATATTCTTAGGAGGTACTCTATATGAGTTATGAGTTCATACTACAAATGTTGAGGAACAAGAGCTATAAGTCAGAACAAAATGGGAGGCGGAATTCTGTTTGACTGAGTGACTATATTGGAGAAATTGCAGGTTTCGGGCCACACCGTGGGACCCTTACATACTGTTGATAAACTTTTTTGGTAAAAGTCTTGTAAACACTACAAGAGAGTCAAAACCAAACCTAACATAAGGCTGAGTGGTATAATTTCCTAGAGCAGAGATCTGTAAACTTTTTCTGTGAAAGATGAAATAATAAATATTTTAGGCTTTGCAGGCCAGATGGTTTCTGTCACAACTGCTTAACTCTGTCCTTGCAGCACAAAAGCAGCCAAAGACAATACTGTAATAAAAGAAGGGTGGGTTTGGATGTATTTCAATAAAACATTATTTACAAAAGCAGATAGGTAAGCAGAATTTAGCCTACATATGCTGGGCGCGGTGGCTCACGCCTGTAATCCCAGCACTTTGGGAGGCTGAGGCAGGACAATCACTTGAGGCCAGGAGTTCAAGACCAGCCTGGCCAATATGGTGAAACCCCGTCTCTACTAAAATTACAAAAATTAACCCGGCATGGTGGCGTGGACCTGTAATCCCAGCTGCTCAGGAGGTTAAGGCACAAGAATCTCTTGAACCTGAAAGACAGAGGCTGCAGTGAACTGAGATTGTGCCACTGCACTCCAGCCTGGGCAACAGAAGCAAGATCTGTCTCAAAAAAACAAACAAACAAAATAATAGAATTTAGCCTACAGGCTGCAGTTTGCTAACCCCTTGCTCTAATCTCTGAAAATCTTTTCTAGGTGATATACCCACATGAAGACAGTCCTCAGGCCAAACTCATAGATCCCAATTCTTTGCTATCCATTTATCCTCTTCTGAACTTTCTAGAGTCTCCTTTTCTGTTTCTTCCTCCCTCCACCCCCACATGTGTCTGGAATTGTCAGGCAGCTTTTTCTCAGAAGCCCCGAATGGCTGTGTGGGAAGAAATTAGACCTCGATGAGACAAACAAAATGATTATTAGGGACTTGCTTTGTTTAAGAGAGGAAATACACTTGGGGTGATTGCTTAACCCAGAGATTATTACTGAGAAGAGTGGGACTCACAAAAGAGGAGACACCTGCAGGGCCTCAAACACTCCAGATGAGAAATAAGCTGAGGGCTACCCCTTGACTCACATAATGGTTACTTTGTAAAAGATCCTTTTATACATAAACAATGTGTCTAAACTATGAAGCAAATTACACAATAGAGTCCAGTAGGTGAATAGATTTCTTGCAAATCCTGGTTGGCAATATTACTAGGAGGAGAGGAAAACAAAGAAAATGGCAGAATTTTTTATAACTCATCTTTCACAGCTAGAAGCTTTTTTTCTAACAGAATTTAATGAAACATTAAGAGCCACGGTTTCCTGCGCAAGAGTTATAGAACTGGTATGATGCCACAAGGCAGACATAAAAGATTAGGAAAGGAATGTTACCTGATGGCTGCATGTGATGACATCCTACTGACTCCTGTGAATGACTGCATCAGTCAGGGACCCACAGGAAACAAGGAGCATGCTCAAACTGGGTAATTGTGGGAAAGTTTACTAAGGAGACTCTTTACAAAGGACATAAGCTGGAAAATCAAGACTAATCATATAATTTATTGTTGAAACTGTGCCACTTTTTTTTTCACAGTACTTTGAGTTGTTGTTTTAGGAATGGTGCCACTTTTGAGGGTGAAAGGAAGCTTTATTAATAAATTGTTTCAGGACAATGGGTATAAACTGGGTCTAGGACAGCCAAACCATAACTTTTGCAATAGTGGTGTATACCAGGCTAGCAAAAATAAGGAGCTGTTATCACCTCTACCCCTACAAGGACAAAGGGAGGAAACAGTTACCAGAACCTGGCAGGCAGCAAGATGAAAAGTTTAACAAACAGGAACTGTGGCCCTCTATAAAGGAAAGCATCCAATCTACAGTGAGCCAACAGCTGGAGAGTGGGTGAATTAAAATCCGAACTTCACTGTCTTACTACTTTCTGATCTCTTGCCAATATCTCACATTAGGTGAACTCAACCAGAAGCTGGAGGTCAGCGGAGCCTGTGGATGCAGTCCTTATGGGTCTGCTTCCAAGGCATAAAGCCACATAGGGAAGGACAGAGATTAGACCTAAAGGGGAAATTAGAAGATATCCGGCATAGTAAATATCCTTGCAAAGTATCCAGAACTGAAACTATCCTTTAGCTCTGACTTCTTCCAAAACTTTTTTTGAAGCATTCTAAGAAAGCTCAACTCCTATATTCTTCTTGAACAACCTTCTCCCTATTCATGTCCTGTTATGTTGTAGAAAAACAGTAAAGTAAGCAAGAACTTGTTTTACCCCCACCGGCTGGGAGTAAGACTGTTTCTTCACAGAGCAATGAACGTAAGCATGAGGTTTACATGAATATATTTAGTCTCCTCACTCTCCAATTCAAAAAGATCTGGGAACATTTCACAGCCATGGGCTGATTATGCAGGTATCATCAGCCTGGGAATATAATGAAATAAAAAAGTTGTTTTTCACATTTGTCATAGGAAACTCCTTCACCTACTTTCTGGTCCACAAATGTTCCCAAGAGATCTTAGAGGAACTATGGAGTCTGGTGAACCACATCAATGATTCAGACCAACAGCAAATCTGCATGAGCATAAACATAAAATGCAAAGGAAACAGGCAAAATAAATATCACTTTCAGAGGTGAACACTAGCCACTTCTCCTTACATAAATACCATGCTTGGCTATAAACAAGGTAGAATATGAAAAAAAGAAACAATGTCCACCTCTGAAAGTGTGACACTCTCTTTTATATGAGCATATGAAAACCAAGAAGTAGAATGATTTTATGACTTGTGTCCTGGAGGGTCCAGAGCAATACACTTTACTTTCAAGACCAAAGAACACCCTTCTGCTAGGGAAACTCCATTATTACACCCTTTCTAAATTATTACCAAGCTTAAGCTGTGTCATTGACTTTTCTTAATCCAAAGAGACAGATCTCCCCCATCTCATCAATAACCTCTCTGATATCCCTTCCATTTTTTAAAATCCCATAATTATATTATTGAATAAGGTAAAAAAAAATACCAATCTCCTTTTGGCAACTATTTTTCAAATCCAAACTGAGTTTTGCATGAGTTCTAGGCTACTTTAAATATTCAGGACAATTCAAGGAAGAGGAGGAAAGACATAAATTTAAAAAGAAGGAGGGAAAGAATAAGAGAATAAAAGAAGGAGTGGGAAACAATAACGAAATGAAAGAAACAGTGAGAAGCATTATTAAAACAAGAAATAAAAGTATTAAGAAAATTAATGAATGATTTATCTTTTTAGTGAGGGTAGGAGAAAAGAGCTATGTCATGGATCATTTTCTGGTCCTTCACATGGGTAAGAGTATTGCCTAAGCTTCCTGAGTAATCACAGAGTGTTACAAATGATGTCACTTCTATTTCCATATGGAAGACACACCATTCTTGACCTAACCTAGGATTTCCCAAACTACGTATGCAGATACTGTTCACTCCTTCAGCATTTGGACAAATGAAAAGAGAAGGAAAACAGGAAGCTTTTCAGCTCACCCTGAATTTTCACAGATGGCCCTGGTCTGAATTGTTGCCCCAGGTGAGACATAAGCAGATTCCAGGAAGACAGCAGCAAAGAGCTAGAAAAAGAAGTATTTATAGAGAGGTTCTTTCAATGGAAAAGAATTTGCTTCCTGACAATGATCTTCATAGAAGGTTAATATGCTTAAGCACATTGAGAATTCATTGAATATCTATTACATGTAGTACAGAAGACAGCCCTATTGTGGTTATGATGATGACCATAAGCTTAAGAAAAACTGGCTTTCATGATGAATTTGTGTGTGGTAGAGCTTGTCATAGTCTACCCCTTGTAGTGGCAGTTTAGAAGCTCAAAACTCACTTTTGAGATCAATTGTTATAATTCTCCAGTTTTTAGTAATGCTTTTCTATAGCCTTCCCTGCACCTGATTCTAACCGCCCTATTCCTTTGCTCCATTCTCTTGTCTCACCTTGACTGTTTTTTTACCTTTTGACACCAATGTATTTATTGCAAATCACTTCAAATGCTACTGGAAAGGTAAATAGTGAACAAATGAACTGCTATAAAACATTACCTACTTTTAAAGAACTCGCAATCTAATAGAGAGATAAGGTTGAAAAACATTATTGAAATGTTAAGTAATCTATAGAAGCCATAGAAAGAAGTCCAAAATAGATACGGCTTACAGGATAATGAGGTCACATCCTGGTAGGAGACCACTTTTGGAGACATCAAATAAGATGAACATGGCAAGACATGAAAATCTAACATCTCAGATTGGGAAGAAAACAGCTCAGAGCATGTTTAGAGCATATTACCTTCAGATACTGTTTGCTGGAAGCCTAGGAAAATGAAGGAAATAGGGCTGGAAAGACAGCTTGGAGCCAACGCAGGAGGGATAATTGTAATCTCAAAACAACCTTGAGTAGGTTGTTTTGCCATAACTTTTTGAGCAGACAAGTAATATAATCCAGGTGATCTAAGAGGTCACATAATTACAGATAAGGAAATTGGGGGCAAAAGGAACAAGTGTTTAGCAATGTTTTAACAGACAAAGAGACACCTGGGATGCCTTAGAAAGAGATACCCTGCCTACCTCATCTGAACAAAGACTCTACATAGATCATAGACACAAGGGGTTTTTAAAAGAGGAAACAAAAAAAGGGAGGCAGCCTGGTTATACCTCCAGAAGAATGCAAGTCGAAGCTCAGTGTAGGCTGCTTTCTGTTGTTCTTGCCCCCATCAGCAATCAAGAGATGAAGCCGAAGGTTCTAGTGGGCACTCACACTCTCTGGCCCTACAGCAAGCCACTAGAGGGGAAGGCATGTCAGGTGAGGGTGACAGAAGCAGCCACCATGCCCTTTCCTTTGTCTCTTGGAGCTATCCCAGCCCAGTGAAGAAATCTAAGTTTAGCTCCTGTCTGCCTATATAATAATGTCCAGCTGCCGACCAGAATAATCTCTGATGTCACAATAGATTAATCAGGTTTTGGCATCATCCCACAATACCCTGAGAAGTTGGTGATGGGGGAAGAGTGGACTTTTTTTTCAAAGAATGCTGTGGTGACTCGAGTACAACACATGAAGAATTCCAGAAAAGAGCCATTTTTGAAGTCAGCGGTGAATCAGAGGTTTTCTGACCCTCTCGAGTGCCTTCTATGAAGAAGAGTTCAACTCTGGCTCCAGTTTGTCCCCTACTCTTTTCCCGAATCCCTCGACATTCCTTGCTCTTTTCCCCAGGCACCGCATGGCCTGTGACATTTGCTGGGACTCACACACGGCGTCCAACCTCCTTTCTCCGAGCGATGACTCCTAGGAACTTCCCAAGGACCAGAGCGATGCAGGCTCCGACACGCGAGGGCGGGGGGCGGGGGTGAGGGGTGCGATGGACGGGGGAGCGGAAGGGAAAGAGAGAGAGAGGGGACCTGGGTGTAGAGAGGGCCCAGGGCCGCATGAGCCAAGCCAGGGAGGAGCAGGGGGTTCATCTCAGCAACCTGATCGGTGTCGGCCTTTCCCTCCCTTCAACCCTCCATTGGTGTTGCTGGAACTGGGAAGACTGCTAGACAGACATCCTCTAGGGCACTCTCCCTGACTCACTTTGCTGTGCTTTTAAGCGCTCTTTTCTGGATCAACAAGAGTTTGCTAGTAAAAATCTGAGCCCGCCATCTCGATGCTTCTCCTGTCTCTAAAACTGGTGCCCGGGCTGAGGCCCCAGGTGACAGACGTTTTCCAGTCTACGCTGCGCGGGGCTAAGCCTCTGCGAGGCAGAGCGCACTAAAGCGTGCGCCGCCTCCGGGAGAGCTGAGCTCAGGACAGCATCGTCTCCGTGCGGTCGCCGCTGGGCACCCAGCAGCGCGGTCTGGCTCCGCTTCTTGTGTCGCTGGCCTTAAGAGTGGGACTGTGAAGGTGGCTGGGCGCTGGAATTTGTGGTTTTAAAAGTTCTTGACACCTGCTAGAAAGTGCTAGAGGACTCTTCAGCCCCTAAGGTGCCCCTAGCCACCAAGAGTAGGCGTTTTTCCTGAAATTGATATGGGAAATTTGAAAAGTAGGGTTTTTGAGAACAAGCCACATCAGATCTTTCCCCACTTATTTCAACCTCTTATCGTTCCTGCCCCTAAGGTTCTGGTCACGGTTGCACATTTAATGCTTTCACATGGAAGTGCTGTCGAAGACTGAGACTGCACCCCACCCTCCAAAGCATCCCATAAGCAAGCACAGTTTCTTACTAGCCAAGGAGAAGGGAAAGCACTAGTTGAAAGTGGCCACAGGAAATGCTCAAAGATGTTCAGAATGCATGGGACATATGCAAGGACTCCAAATCCTTACAGTGGCTGCTGGTTTCAGAAGGTGTTTCTCCCAAATAGAAAGGATTGGTCACGGAAATGCCCTGTAGGAGAAAGACACTGGTATCCGTTTCTTAAAGGACATTCACACTTATGAAGTGTTTAGGGCAAAGCAAAAAGGAGGAAGGTGAGGGAAATTCCTGATGACTTTACTGATGTTAAAATTCCATAGATTTAGCTACTCCTTTTTTTTTTTCCTTTCACATCATCAATTCAGAATTCTATAAAGGAAGAGAATGACATGGTAGAAAATCATTGGCCTAGGAGAAAAGAGCCCGTAGGCGTTTAGGTGTTATATAGTGCAGCCAGAAAGCTCTGGAGCATCAGGGAGACTCCAACTTAAGGCAACAGCATGGGTGAATAAGGGCTTCCTGTGGACTGGCAATGAGAGGCAAAACCTGGTGCTTGAGCACTGGCCCCTAAGGCAGGCCTTACAGATCTCTTACACTCGTGGTGGGAAGAGTTTAGTGTGAAACTGGGGTGGAATTGGGTGTCCACGTATGTTCCCTTTTGCCTTACTATATGTTCTGTCAGTTTCTTTCAGGAAAATCTTCATCTTACAACTTGTAGGGCTGGTGTTAACTTACGACTTCACTAACTGTGACTTTGAGAAGATTAAAGCAGCCTATCTCAGTACTATTTCTAAAGACCTGATTACATATATGAGTGGGGTAAGTGAAGAAGCTTTTTTAAAACAAATGTATTTTCATCAGAGGAGTCGGCATACACACACTCTACAATTTAACTTTGTAGGAAAGAAAAATAATTTAGAAAAAATCATGGCCCCACATTTTGTCAAGGATTCTTACAAGTGATATTCAAATATCTAATCTAAAATGATTATCTAGAAATTGGCACATTCTAAGTGTGCAGATGCTGATGAGGAGCAGGTATTGATAGACAGCGCGTTATGCGTCAAAGGATGTCTATCCTTTGCTAAAGTGTTACTCTGACTATGCTGTAAAAAGCAGGAGGTAAGAGCTTAAGAAAGAGGAGTAAAAGAGATAATTCTCATGAGATAAACTCTAAGGATTGATGCTGTGCTCCAGGTCTCTCCAGTGTTTTAGATGTTTCAGGATGCTATTTATTACAGAATATGGTGTACTTGGAATTTTTTTTAACATACAGTAGTAATCATTTTCCTGATTAACCTAATTTCTAGACAGAGTTTGCATTCATGAATGGCCACAGTACAGATGCGGACATCCAAAGGATGGCATTATTACTCACAAGCATAGTGCTATGTGCAGTTATGGCTTGAGGGAAGGGAGGGGGGAGGTCGCCCTCTGAGACCTGAACCTTTTGGTGTGGTTTCAAGCACTAACCAGCACTATCTAATGGCTATTTCACTGCCTTGTCAATGACATAGGAAAAAGGTACCTGAGTGGAAACTGTTTTCAGGGCACCTTTAAAGCCTGGGAGCAAAGGGTGGAGGGATGATTTTCCTTGTGGACTTAAAAGTCTTTACCCTCTTTGTCCTATTTTTCTTTCTTCCAGACCAAAAGTACCGAGTTCAACAACACCGTCTCTTGTAGCAATCGGGTGAGTAGAGAGTTCAGTGCTGCTGGCTTTCTCCAGGGAGACGCCAGGCATTTTGGAGAGGGAGTATCCTGCTACGTGCAGAACTCCGAGAGGTGCCTGGGCTCCGGGACGCCGCCGCCGGGGGAAAGGGGACATCTGGGCTGTCAGAGCGGGGCTGCGCCTAGCTTGGGACAACACTTCTGTTCCAATTTAGGGAGAGGAAGTCTCTATCCGGAGGAAAGGCAAATTGGGAACTGGGACGAGGGAACGTTGTTAGGGGCACCACCTGCTGGGGTCCGGCGCCTCCGCGCTCGGGCTCGGAATTTTGGCAGCCTCCGCCCCCTGGAGACTTGGGAGGAGCGAGCGTGGGTGACAGTCTTTTCGCGACGAGTGCCCTCCGCCACCCTCGCCACGCCCCTGCTCCCCCGCGGTTGGTTCTTCCTTGCTCTACTCAACCCTGACCTCTTCTCTCTGACTCTCGACTTGTGTTCCCCGCTCCTCCCTGACCTTCCTCCCCTCCCCTTTCACTCAATTCTCACCAACTCTTTCTCTCTCTGGTGTTTTCTCCTTTTCTCGTAAACTTTGCCGCCTATGAGCAGCCACATTGCCTTACTGAAATCCAGAGCCTAACCTTCAATCCCACCGCCGGCTGCGCGTCGCTCGCCAAAGAAATGTTCGCCATGAAAACTAAGGCTGCCTTAGCTATCTGGTGCCCAGGCTATTCGGAAACTCAGGTAAGCCCGAAGCCTCAGACGTTTGCTGTACCTTGGGGCTAACCTCAAATTAAACTGGGGCTTTGGTGCAGAAGTCGTTCTCTTATTTTTATTTAGGTTTTATCTTTCGAAGAGCAAACGAGCCGGGTAAAAGTGGTAGGATGTCAGTTAGACCCACGTTGATACCCGGAATCAAACTCACCTATTTCTACGGTTCTGATACTGTTTTGGCTGAATTATGGTTCTAAACCTTAGGGCAATGTTTCAAGCTATGATGAGTGAGACTTCTATATCAGAATGTTTTGATTGCTGGAGCATAAGAGTATGGCTGCTAAAAATGCCAATTCCCAGGTACTCAACCCAGACCTTCAACATTAAAATCTCAGATTATGGGGCTCCTTAAGAGATTCTTGTCCAGTCCAAAGTTTGAGCAACACCTCTTGTTCTTATCACTTAATTATTGTGTGCTTATTTGCTAAATGTATAATTACATTATACATAAAATCTCTATCCTATGTTTGCTTAATTGCTTGTGTGGGCGCTATTGCTGTCTCTTTACACATTTTTGCACATGTAGTTATCTGCATTTGAATGCTCGTGTAGCATTAAATATGGAGATAGTGTAGTGGAAAGTTAGGCACAGGAACTCTGGAGACAACCTGCCTGACTTTGAATCCTGGCCCTATAACTTCTGTGAAGACTTAGTTAAATTACTTAGCCTCCGTGTACTGTAGCTTCATGGGTAAAGTAAGTATCATATCAGTTAGTCTTATACAGGTTGTTTCTGAGGATTAAATTAGTCAACACATGTAAATGCAGTTGGAACAGTGCCTGGTACACAACAGGCACTCAATATTTATTTCAGTCAGCAAGTAGAGGATTTATCTTCATGGTGACAAGTTTAAGGAACAGAGAGAGACAAGTGCAGATATGTTTGATTGCTCCTTATTAGCCTAGTGGACTTTATATGTCTACAGTCTAGGTAGATGGACACGACTGTCACTTTTTTTTTTTTTTTTTTTTTGAGACAGAATCTCGCTCTGTTACCCAGGCTGGAATGCAGTGGCACGATCTCAGCTCACTGCAACCTCCATCTCCTGGGTTCAAGCCTCAGCCTCCCGAGTAGCTGGAACTACAGGTGCCCGCCACCACGCCTGGCTAACTTTTGTATTTTTAGTAGAGACGGGGTTTCACCATATTGGCCAGGCTGGTCTCGAATTCCTGACCTTGTGATCTGCCTGCCTCGGCCTCCCAAAGTGCTGGAATTACAAGCATGAGCCACCATGCCCAGCCAAAACTGTCACTTTCTAGAGGTTGAGGATTGAAGCCATAGCGCTGATCTGGGTTGAGCTTGAATTAGAAACTCAATACCAGACAGCCATATGGGAAACCTATTTGGCTTCATGCCTTCTTATGAAGGAGACCCTGGCAAATCTGCAGATGGCTACAATAAAATTCATTTAAATAAGAGCACAAACAAAAAGCTAGATCAAGTTCTTGGACAGCATGTGAGAAAGGGAGAGTTTGGAGAAATTTATTTCAGTCCCTCCCAAGCCCAAATGGAGAGTCTAAGACTAATAATAATGATTTTGCAGGTTTTTTTAAGATTTGTGCTTAATAACCCTGTGACTTTATTAATTTGCATACCATGTGTCTAGGAGGCCCAGTGTACTACTCAAAGGTAATTCAGATAAAGGTATATACTGCAATCCTCTTTAAAATAAGCCCTCAGATGTCTGTGACACATCTAGACAATGGGGCAGGGGAGGGGGAAGGATGGGGAGCAGGAGCATGCATTTTGGGTCCAAAAAATAGACTAGGTTTATTGAATGATGTCTATAAACAGGTATAAGATAGCTCTTGCCCATGAGGAACTTGTGATCTTGTCAGGGAGGTCTTGAAATCAGCAATTTATTCATTTACTTAATCACTCAACAAATATTCAGTGTTTCCTATGATTAAGACACTGTATTCAGTGCTATGGGGAATACCTATGATGCAATATAAAGAAAAGCATGTTAAGTGAGAGCCAAGTTAAATGACACACACTCTTAAGTACTGGAAGAGTTTCCAAAAGCAAGGTCTGAGCAATTAGTGGAGGCTTTTTGAAGGAGGTGGTGCTTGGCCTTGAAGCAAAAGTAGGTGGGTACAGAAACAGGAAGGCATTCCCCTGGAAAAGGCACATGCTAGCACATAGTAAGCAGGTGCTTTGGAGACACACTGAAAGATGGATTTGCATAGAGAAGGCAATTAAACCTGCTCTCAACAGTTACTAAAGATAGTGAAAAGTAATTTTGACTATTGATTCTTATATTCTGCAGATAAATGCTACTCAGGCAATGAAGAAGAGGAGAAAAAGGAAAGTCACAACCAATAAATGTCTGGAACAAGTGTCACAATTACAAGGATTGTGGCGTCGCTTCAATCGACCTTTACTGAAACAACAGTAAACCATCTTTATTATGGTCATATTTCACAGCACCAAAATAAATCATCTTTATTAAGTAGATGAAACATTAACTCTAACTGTGACAAAGAAGACCACAAATAGTTATCTTTTAATTACAGAAGAGTTTCTTAACTTACTTTTGTAAGTTTTTATTGTGTAAGTTTATAATGCAGGGGAAGTACTACTCCTCAAATGTTGAGGGAAGCTTCCATAACATTGATGACTGGCTTCATGGCAGTAATTCTCGGCTGTAGTTGCATAAGCATTGCTCAAGAGGAAAATCCAAAAGTGCAGCAGGAGAACTCTTTTCCCTGAAAAAGGAAAAATATTGAACTCAATGATAGCACCTAAACTTACATTTAAAAGACAGACATTCCTTCTACATGTAATGACACTTCTTGTGTTAAACTAAAAATTTACAAGAGAAGAAAGTGAAAGCAAATGGGGTTTCACAAATAGTTGTAAATATAGTGAAGCAATTTGAAATAATTTTCAAGCAAAGTATTGTGAAAGTATTCTAAGCCAAGTTTTAAATATTATCTAACAGACAAGAGTGGTATATACAAGTAGATCCTGAGAAGTACCTTTGTTACAGCTACTATAAATATACATATAAATTATAGAATCTACTTTAATTTATTTTGTGAACACTTTTGAAAATGTACATGTTCCTTTGTAATTGACACTATATATTTCTTAATAAAATAATTCTCAAATTTGTTTCTTATGAATCATCTCTCAAATCTAGTTAGACAATTTGCACACATACTTTTCTAAGGGACATTATCTTCCTTCAGGTTTTTACCTCCACTCATCCTTAGAGCCCACTGACTGCTCCCCTTTATACCTGTTGGCCCTGCCTATAGGAGAGAATATTTGGAGATAGGCAGCTTCAGGATGCATTGCAATCATCCTTTTCTTAAATTATGTCACTAGTCTTTTATTTTTTCCCCTCTTGAACTTTCCTCACACCTGGAAGAAACAAAGTAGGAAAAAGTGAACAGGGGATGTCAAATCGATTCTTGAATTCCCGCTGCAAGCTAGAGCCGCAGGCACCCTCTCACTCAATTTCCACTCAGAACCCTATAAACACCAGTGGGAAGGGCAACCCACTGCACGTGGGAATGCACTGATTTTTCCTAGGAGTAGACATGTTCCTCTAATTACTCCCTGAGGGTTAGTTGGGGCTAAACCATGACAGAAGTGGGGAAGTTCAATGTCCTTAAATCCATCTTACTTGCCAACAGGTAAGAGGAAGCTTACATTACATGTCCAGTCCACATTTAAAGAGCACTTACTGTGGAACAAGCCTTCAGCCAAACAATGGGGATAGAAAAGTAGGTAAGACTCAGCCTTTGTCCAGAGAAGCTCAGGGTATAGCTGAATAGGCAGTTTCTTTTGTCCTGAGGAAAATCAGGACATGCCTGCTTTCTAAAAATCTTCCTCTGAAGACCTGACCCAAGCTCTTAAATGCTATTGTAAGAGAAATTTCTTTGTCTATTAACTCCATTTTAGTAGGGATTCACTGACTAGATTTTACTGAACTATGAAAATAAATACACATAATTTTTCACAAAATTTTGGGCCCAATTCCCCTAAAAGAATTGAGGATTAGGGAGAAAGGAGACAACTCAAAGTCATCCCATTAAGTGCAGTTTCTTTGAATCTTCTGCTTTATCTTTAAAAATTTGTATAATTTATATATTTTATTCTATGTGTTCCATAGATATCTTAATGTAAAATTAGTCATTTAAATTACACTGTCAATTAAAAGTAATGGGCAAGAGATTGCATCATACTAATTTAGTAAGAACGTTCCCAAATGTTGTAACAATGTGGATCATACATCTCTGGTTTTTTAAATGTATTGAGGCTTTCTTGGTGGACTAGTATAGTATACGGTCAGTTATGTCAATGTTTCATGGTCAATAAAAAGGAAGTTGCAAATTGTGATTTAAGCATATAAAGTTGGTTATATACATACTGAGACTACATTGTTAGTTATGCTATTTATATAATCTATATTCTCACTTTTGTCTCCTTCATTCAGAGAATAAGAGAGCTGTATGAAAGTCTACTGCCGGCCGGGCGCGGTGGCTCATGCCTATAATCCCAGCACTTTGGGAGGCCAAGGTGGGCAGATTTCAAGGTCAGGAGATCGAGACCATCCTGGCTAACACGGTGAAACCCCGTCTCTACTAAAAATACAAAAAAATTAGCCAGGCATGGTGGCGGGCACCTGTAGTCCCAGCTACTCGGGAAGCTGAGGCAGGAGAATGGCGTGAACCTGGGAGCCGGAGCTTGCGGTGAGCCGAGATTGCGCCACTGCACTCCAGCCTGGGCGACAGAGCCAGACTCCCTCTCAAAAAAACAGAAAAAACAAGAAAGTCTAGCTGATATAATTCTTTATTTCTTTGTATCCATAAAGTTTTGCTTTCCTGTTGCTGAAACCATTTTTATCCAATGCCTAAAAAATCAATGGAGCCATTTATTGATCATTATACCCTTACCATTACAACATTTCCACATCTTATTTGCCAAGTAATCTATGCTCTCTATTAAACTCTTTCTGGGTCTCTTTGCTTTTGATATTTCTTATACATAGCATGTCATTTTAGTGTGTGGAGGTGGGGAGCGAGAGGGAGTGGATGAATTCCAAACAAAGGCATGTTTACTTTTAGTGCTGTTGCTGCATTTTTAAGTTTTCTGTTTTCTTAGTTCCACATTATTTGTATAATTTTAACCTAAGAACAGATCTTTACATTTATTCCTTTTAACCATTTCTTATCGGTTTTTGTCCTATCCCCTCAGCATGTTGATATCTTGAGAGTTTGGCTCTTGGTTCTATTATTACATAACTCTCCCTCATAGGCTTTCTATTGCTTAATTCAGTTTTTGAAAAAGTGTTGACCAAGGCAGGACTAAGCCCTCCTTACCATCAAAGGAGGCAACTCTATAGGCTGGTAAAGTTATTTGTCAATGTTCTTTGTTAAAAAAGAAAAAAAAAGTTCCTTTAAGAATCAAATATCAATTTTTTCATTCTATCCATATCAAAATAAAGGTGAGGGGAAATTTATCAAATGCTTTACTGAAGTCAAAACATACTAAGCCCATATCAAACCTACAGATCAAATAAATTTATCTAAAAATGGGAATTTTAAAATATTTCAATTATATTCCTTTCTAAATCTTACAAGCCAACTCTCTGAGAATTATACCAGACAATAACATTAAACTGATCTGAGATTTTTTAGTATTCTCTCCTTTTTATTATTCAAAAGTACTAGGTTTTCTCAAATGTTTTTGTTCTAGCTGTAGCTCTGAGAATATCTCTTGGCTTTTGTCTGGCATTGCACTTTGTAAATACACCTATACTTTTTGATACCCAGTATTTACAGATTACCAAATAATATAGTTTCACTGATGATTATCATGCAAAAGTTATTTATATCTAAACACAAAGGATAATAGCTCATATACAAAGTTAATTGCAAATTGAATTTTTTGAGTCTCAGGTTCTACATTTCTAAAATAAGGATGATGCTTCCTGTATTTTAGGGTTATTATTAGAATTAAAGTACATTATAAAAATAATGTCCTTGGCAAATGGTAAGGAAAATACTTTAAATTTAGTTATTTGAATGCCTATTTGTAACCATTATAAAGATTTGGAATAAAGACTGTTACACAGCCTGTCAGTAACTTTATTTTTAGTTTTCTGTCTAGGACTGCTTTGTGGCAATAGAAAGAAGGTTGAAAAGTTTAAGCACACAGTTATTGACAGCCTAGCAATTTTGAACTCTACCAAGATAGCAGAGTTCATAAGACAGAGTACCTCAGGTAAGAGGTGCACAGAGAAAGAAGCTCAGAGACCTGTAGGTATATCTCTTGAATATTTAGCTGAGTACTTTTCAGCACATGGCTGAAAACTCACATGGCTATGAGAAAACTACCCAACACTGGGGAATGAGTCACTTGAAAGGTTAGAGGGAATAGTGTCCATTACTTACTGAAAGCCAGGAAAATTGCCTATTTTCATCCACTAGACTGGAATATCTCACAACTCATTAGGCATTGGGTAGGGCACTCAGGAGAGACTTACTTTAGTAATTAATAATAATTAGCCCAAGGCTAATTGCTGCAATAATCCCGCATTAGAAATCTTAAAAGTAAGACTTGAAAGAATCAAACTGTTTCCAAGTAACTTAGCTGAATCCTACAATAAACTTCAAGAATATCTGTAGAAATAAAAAATACCTAGGACCCAAAAAGGAAAATTCACAATATTTTGTATACAACTAAAGATTATCAGACATGAAAAAAGTGAGAAAATATAACACATGATAAGGGGGAAAAGTGAAACTGATTCAGAGCTAACATCGAAGTTAGAATTAGCAGACAAGGACATTAAAATGGTTATTGTAAAATGGTTATTGTAACTATATTCAATATGTTCAAAAAGTTAAATATAGACACAGAATACATAAAGAAAATCCCAGTCCAACTTCTAGATATGAAATCTGTAATGTGTGAAATGAAATGCACAGTGAATGGTAATCATGAGAGATTAGATGTTGCAAAAAATAAGATGAGTAAACTTGAAGACATACCAAGGGAAACTATCCAAAATAAAACACAGAAGGAAAACAATAACTTAAAAATGAAAAGACCATCAGAGAGCTGTGAAACAACTGCAAGTGCCTAATATACATGTAATAAGTCTCTTTAAGTAAAGAGGTACGGAAAAAAATATAGGAAGAAACAATGGTAAATTTCCAAACTTTAAAAAATTCTAAACCCACAGTTCCAAGAAGCTCATTGAAGCACAAGAAACAGATAAAACTACACTAATGCTCATCATAATCGAATTGCTCAAAACCAGAAAATCTTAAAAGCAGC
The DNA here is from genome assembly GCF_000001405.40 of Homo sapiens. Taxonomy (NCBI): domain Eukaryota; kingdom Metazoa; phylum Chordata; class Mammalia; order Primates; family Hominidae; genus Homo; species Homo sapiens. Next base: position 111,080,973 of record NC_000005.10, read on the forward strand.
CAATGGTATTGTAAAGACCTTCAGCATGTTCTTCTTAGGATTTCCTCTCCAGAGCACTTCAACCCTTTCTCCTGTACTTCGTATATAGTATTTCATGAACAATGTCATGATATAAGTAGAAAAAAATTTTACATTGGTTGGCCTTAATTATTGATTTCTACCTGTTAGCTTCTGTTTAAGTAGGAGGGTGGGAAGATTCTTTTCCATTCTCCACTATTCTTGAAGTAAAGACAAGGATTGTCATAAATGAAACCAACACTTACTGAGTAGTTTTATCAGTTATTTTTCTTATACTACCTTATGAAATATTTGCAACAATCCTGTGAGCTATGTGCTATCCCCATTTTACAGATGCAAGAAAAGGCTCAGTGAGTGAACTATCCAGTGTAGCACAACTAGTATGTGTAGCATCTGGCTGATTCTGAAGTGCACACTTTCTATTACTTGAGATTAAAGTTTGAGATTTTAAAATAAAAAATGCCTTCCACTAAGTGGAAATTATCCTCATTACCTAACTAATAGATATTGTAGTTGTCTCCTCAACATGGATTCTACCACTTCTTAATTTTGCATCTATTTCCTCATCCACCAGAGGGCTTTAGGGATTGATCCCAGCTCCTGGGATGGATCTGGATTAGTCTAACCTAGTATGGGTGTCCCAATATCCTTGCTTGGAGTTAATAGAGGTAACCAGGCTAATATTGATAAGCATATTGGTAAGCAAGTACCTTGACTCTGGTCTTATTCAGGATAAACATATAGCCACCTTTGGTGATGAACAATAAGCATAAGGTTTTTGAGGGGAAACCCTGAAAAAACGTTTCCTTACTTTAAAAAAAAAAAAAAGGCAGTAGAGTGATAGTCTTCCCCTCTCATGAGATACAAACAAAGAAGCATGCAGTGGCAATTACAATTAGCAATTATCCTAAGACCAGGATTGAGATGAAGCCATGAATGGCAGAGAAACAAGAAGGGAAGAGCCTGAAGCTTTAAATATATAATTACACAAGTAGATTAATCAACCTTACCCTCACCCTCCTTTTGATTTCCAATTCCGTGAGCTACTTAAGTAAAGGTTTTGTTTTGGTTTTTCTGTGTGGGTGGTTATTCTTACTGATTAATGCTACAACTTACCTGAATGCCAAGACAAGGCAAATTAATCTTGATTTAATTTGAAGTGGGAAGAAGAGATGAGCAAGATGAAGACAGGCCCCAGTATCTTAGGGAACAAGCCAAAAATTATGACCTGGGATGGTAAGGATGCAGGAAAAGTAAACATGTAAAGAGGATGCCATTCTTTGGCATATTTCACATTGTTTCCTGCTGTGGCTTGAACATGTGTCCTATCCAAAATTCAATTTAAAGCTTAAATCCCCATTGTATTTGGGGAAGTGATTAAATCCTGAGGGCTCCACCGTCATAAATGGATTAGTTCCTTATAAAAAGGCTGGAGGAAACTAGCCTAGTCTCTTCTGTTCTTCCCATCTTCTACCATGTGAGAACACACTGTTCATCCCCCTTTGCCCTTTCTGTCATTTCTGCTATGTGATGACACCTAGACAGTGCTATATATGAGGAACAGACCTTCACCAGACACTAAACCTACTGGCACTGGCACCTAGATCTTGGACTGCCCAGCCTCCAGAACTGTGAGAAATCATTTCTGTTGTTTACAAATTCCCCAGTCTCAGGTATTTTGTTATAGTGGCACAAATGGGCTAAGAAACTTTCTATAAACAACTCTCATGTCAATAGATCATTGCCTTGGCAATTAAAGCTGAGATGCCACTTTTCAAGATGGTGCTCATAAATGCAGTATTTGTATGCCCCTATACTCTTCCCTCTTCTACTCTCCCTTCTGCTAGCTATTCTTGTGTGGAAGAGAGTGGCAGGGCATTCCAAATTGTATTGAGGATGAACTTAGATTGTGTTTGGAGCAGATATCTTAGATATAAAATTTATGGGATGATTCAGGGTATATATCAAATGGATGTGGAGTTTGAGGAAGATTTGGTAATATCTTTTTTTTTTTTTTTTGAGACGGAGTCTCGCTCTGTCACCCAGGCTGGAGGGCAGTGGCTCGATCTTGGCTCACTGCAAGCTCTGCCTCCCAGGTTCATGCCATTCTCCTGCTTCAGCCTCCCAAGTAGCTGGGACTACAGGTGCCCGCCACCACCCCCGGCTAATTTTTTGTATTTTTAGTAGAGACAGGGTTTCACCGTGTTAGCCAGGATGGTCTCGATCTCCTGACCTCGTGATCCGCCCGCCTCGGCCTCCCAAAGTGCTGGGATTACAGGCGTGAGCCACTGCGCCCAGCCAGTAATATCTTAAGAGTGTAGCCCATACTTTATCTTGGTACTATATCTACCACATAATAGTTCTCAATAGATACGCTGAGTAAAAGAATGAAGGAATTAAAATGAATTAAACGTTAAATACGTGTTTCCCAAGAATAAACTGTTTTAAAGTCCATCATGAGTCAGAAACTGAATTGGCAGCAGCAACTATCAGATAAACTATCTGATTGCTGGCACCTGCTCTGTGCAGAAGGGAAAAGGAAACTATCAATCAATGTCATTGCAACCTATCATTATTCTTCACAGCTTCCTTTTTTTGAGATGGAGTCTCGCTCTGTCGCCCAGACTGCAGTGCAGTGGTGTGATCTTGGCTCACTGCAACCTCCGCCTACCGGGTTCAAGTGGTTCTCCTGCTTCAGCCTCCCTAGTAGCTGGGACTACAGGCACATGCCACCACACCTGGCTAATTGTTTTTTGTATTTTTAGTAGAGATGGGGTTTCACCATGTTAGCCAGGATGGTCTCAATCTCCTGACCTCATGATCTGCCCGCCTTGGCCTCCCAAAGTGCTGGGATTACAGGCATGAGTTACCTTGCCTGGCCCACAGTTTCTTTTTAAACAACCCTACGCCTTCTTTTCCCCAAAAAATGCAAAATGAAAAAAAATTAAACTTGCATTTATTCAATCATCAAACATCCACTGAGCCTTTATTCTGTGTCATCCTTGGACACACAACTAAGAACATGAATAATTTGGAAACCTTAACATCATATTGGAGGATATTTGTCCTTTGTGAACCTGTGGCCCAGTCCTCACCTTCTGTAACACAGCTTTAATACTTCTATAAAGTATAACAAACTATGTTTTTTTATTTTTACATGCTAATTTTCACACATTTCTCCAAAATTCACATAGACTTTCGCTAGGTTGTAATCAGAAGGCAAAAAAACACCAAGTCTCACTGGCTTGCAACAACAGTTAATTCTCACTCACATTACAAACGGGCAACCTCAAGTCAGCTGCAGGCTTTGTCTACAGACCTCATTTCAGGACCCAGGCTGAAAAAGCAGCTCCAGTTTGAGACATGCCTTTCTCTTTTGGCAACAGAAAAGAGCAAGAGAGTTGGTAGAAACAGACAATGACTCTTCAAGCATCTGCTGAGACTTGCTGAACATCATGTTTGCTCATATGCACTGGCCAAAGTAAGTCAAACGCTTCCTATTCCTGCTCCACCATGAAGGATTTGCTACAAGTCTTGGGCAAAGGACAGAGATACACAACTTCTTACAGGAGGGAGTTTAAATATTGGAGACGCCAGGGTACACAACTCATTACTTTGGGAGGGAATAGACTAACATAAAGGGAGAACATTCCACATTTTTAGCACTTTTGTATTTAAACGTAGCTTTTAAAAAAAAACAAATGTTTATTAAGCACCCCTTTTGTTCCAGACACTTTTCTGGGTGCTTGTTATGTACTAATGAACAAAACAGAAAAAAAAAATTCTCTACCTTTATGGAGCTTACCCACTAAACTATTAAAATAAAATAAGCCTAATAAAGAAGTTAATAGTACAGTGAGATGCTCTTTTCCCCTCTTTTTTTTAATATTTTATTTTTTATTATTATACTTTAAGTTTTAGGGTACATGTGCACATTGTGCAGGTTAGTTACATACGTATACATGTGCCATGCTGGTGCGCTGCACCCACTAACTCGTCATCTAGCATTAGGTATATCTCCCAATGCTATCCCTCCCCCCTCCCCCCAATCCACAACAGTCCCCAGAGTGTGATGTTCCCCTTCCTGTGTCCATGTGATCTCATTGTTCAATTCCCACCTAGGAGTGAGAATATGCGGTGTTTGGTTTTTTGTTCTTGAGATAGTTTACTGAGAATGATGATTTCCAATTTCATCCATGTCCCTAAAAAGGACATGAACTCATCATTTTTTATGGTTGCATAGTATTCCATGGTGTATATGTGCCACATTTTCTTAATGCAGTCTATCATTGTTGGACATTTGGGTTGGTTCCAAGTCTTTGCTATTGTGAATAATGCCGCAATAAACATACGTGTGCATGTGTCTTTATAGCAGCATGATTTATAATCCTTTGGGTATATAACCAGTAATGGGATGGCTGGGTCAAATGGTATTTCTAGTTCTAGATCCCTGAGGAATCACCATACTGTCTTCCGCAATGGTTGAACTAGTTTACAGTCCCTCCAACAGTGTAAAAGTGTTCCTATTTCTCCACATCCTCTCCAGCACCTGTTGTTTCCTGACTTTTTAATGATTGCCATTCTAACTGGTGGGAGATGGTATCTCATTGTGGTTTTGATTTGCATTTCTCTGATGGCCAGTGATGGTGAGCATTTTTTCATGTGTTTTTTGGCTGCATAAATGTCTTCTTTTGAGAAGTGTCTGTTCATGTCCTTTGCCCACTTTTTGATGGGGTTGTTTGTTTTTTTCTTGTAAATTTGTTTGAGTTCATTGTAGATTCTGGATATTAGCCCTTTGTCAGATGAGTAGGTTGCAAAAATTTTCTCCCATTTTGTAGGTTGCCTGTTCACTCTGATGGTAGTTTCTTTTGCTGTGCAGAAGCTCTTTAGTTTCATTAGATCCCATTTGTCAATTTTGGGTTTTGTTGCCATTGCTTTTGGTGTTTTAGACATGAAGTCCTTGCCCATGCCTATGTCCTGAATGGTAATGCCTAGGTTTTCTTCTAGGGTTTTTATGGTTTTAGGTCTAACGTTTAAGTCTTTAATCCATCTTGAATTGATTTTTGTATAAGGTGTAAGGAAGGGATCCAGTTTCAGCTTTCTACATATGGCTAGCCAGTTTTCCCAGCACCATTTATTAAATAAGGAATCCTTTCCCCATTGCTTGTTTTTCTCAGGTTTGTCAAAGATCAGATAGTTGTAGATATGCGGCATTATTTCTGAGGGCTCTGTTCTGTTCCATTGATCTATATCTCTGTTTTGGTACCAGTACCATGCTATTTTGGTTACTGTAGCCTTGTAGTATAGTTTGAAGTCAGGTAGTGTGGTGCCTCCAGCTTTGTTCTTTTGGCTTAGGATTGACTTGACGATGCGGGCTCTTTTTTGGTTCCATATGAACTTTAAAGTAGTTTTTTCCAATTCTGTGAAGAAAGTCATTGGTAGCTTGATGGGGATGGCACTGAACCTGTAAATTACCTTGGGCAGTATGGCCATTTTCACGATATTGATTCTTCCTACCCATGAGCATGGAATGTTCTTCCATTTGTTTGTATCCTCTTTTATTTCCTTCAGCAGTGGTTTGTAGTTCTCCTTGAAGAGGTCCTTCACATCCCTTGTAAGTTGGATTCCTAGGTATTTTATTCTCTTTGAAGCCATTGTGAATGGGAGTTCACTCATGATTTGGCTCTCTGTTTGTCTGTTGTTGGTGTACAGGAATGCTTGTGATTTTTGCACATTGATATTGTATCCTGAGACTTTGCTGAAGTTGCTTATCAGCTTAAGGAGATTTTGGGCTGAGACGATGGGGTTTTCTAGATATACAATCATGTCGTCTGCAAACAGAGACAATTTGACTTCCTCTTTTCCTAATTGAATACCCTTTATTTCCTTCTCCTGCCTAATTGCCCTGGCCAGAACTTCCAACACTATGTTGAATGGGAGTGGTGAGAGAGGGCATCCCTGTCTTGTGCCAGTTTTCAAAGGGAATGCTTCCAGTTTGTGCCCATTCAGTATGATATTGGCTGTGGGTTTGTCATAGATAGCTCTTATTATTTTGAAATACCTCCCATCAATACCTAATTTATTGAGAGTTTTTAGCATGAAGTGTTGTTTAATTTTGTCAAAGGCCTTTTCTGCATCTATTGAGATAATCATGTGGTTTTTGTCTTTGGCTCCGTTTATATGCTGGATTACATTTATTGATTTGCTTATATGGAACCAGCCTTGCATCCCAGGGATGAAGCCCACTTGATCATGGTGGATAAGCTTTTTGATGTGCTGCTGGATTCGTTTTGCCAGTATTTTATTGAGGATTTTTGCATCAATGTTCATCAAGGATATTGGTCTAAAATTCTCTTTCTTGGTTATGTCTCTGCCCGGCTTTGGTTTCAGAATGATGCTGGCCTCATAAAATGAGTTAGGGAGGATTCCCTCTTTTTCTATTGATTGGAATAGTTTCAGAAGGAATGATACCAGTTCCTCCTTGTACCTCTGGTAGAATTTGGCTGTGAATCCATCTGGTCCTGGACTCTTTTTGGTTGGTAAGCTATTGATTATTGCCACAATTTCAGATCCTGTTATTGGTCTATTCAGAGATTCAACTTCTTCCTGGTTTGGTCTTGGGAGAGTGTATGTGTCAAGGAATTTATCCATTTCTTCTAGATTTTCTAGTTTATTTGTGTAGAGGTGTTTGTAGTATTCTCTGATGGTAGTTTGTATTTCTGTGGGATCGGTGGTGATAACCCCTTTATCATTTTTTATTGCCTCTATTTGATTCTTCTCTCTTTTTTTCTTTATTAGTCTTGCGAGTGGTCTATCAATTTTGTTGATCCTTTCAAAAAACCAGCTCCTGGATTCATTAATTTTTTGAAGGGTTTTTTGTGTCTCTCTTTCCTTCAGTTCTGCTCTGATTTTAGTTATTTCTTGCCTTCTGCTAGCTTTTGAATGTGTTTGCTCTTGCTTTTCTAGTTCTTTTAATTGTGATGTTAGGGTGTCAATTTTAGCTCTTTCCTGCTTTCTCTTGTGGGCATTTAGTGCTATAAATTTCCCTCTACACACTGCTTTGAATGCCTCCCAGAGATTCTGGTATGTTGTGTCTTTGTTCTCGTTGGTTTCAAAGAACATCTTTATTTCTGCCTTCATTTCGTTAGGTACCCAGTAGTCATTCAGGAGCAGGTTGTTCAGTTTCCATGTAGTTGAGCGGTTTTGAGTGAGATTCTTAATCCTGAGTTCTAGTTTGATTGCACTGTGGTCTGAGAGATAGTTTGTTATAATTTCTGTTCTTTTACATTTGCTGAGGAGAGCTTTACTTCCAAGTATGTGGTCAATTTTGGAATAGGTGTGGTGTGGTGCTGAAAAAAAAATGTATATTCTGTTGATTTGGGGTGGAGAGTTCTGTAGATGTCTATTAGGTCCGCTTGGTGCAGAGCTGAGTTCAATTCCTGGGTATCCTTGTTGACTTTCTGTCTTGTTGATCTGTCTAATGTTGACAGTGGGGTGTTAAAGTCTCCCATTATTATTGTGTGGGAGTCTAAGTCTCTTTGTAGGTCACTCAGGACTTGCTTTATGAATCTGGGTGCTCCTGTATTGGGTGCATATATATTTAGGATAGTTAGCTCTTCTTGTTGAATTGATCCCTTTACCATTATGTAATGGCCTTCTTTGTCTCTTTTGATCTTTGTTCGTTTAAAGTCTGTTTTATCAGAGACTAGGATTGCAACCCCTGCCTTTTTTTGTTTTCCATTTGCTTGGTAGATCTTCCTCCATCCTTTTATGTTGAGCCTATGTGTGTCTCTGCACATGAGATGGGTTTCCTGAATACAGCACACTGATGGGTCTTGACTCTTTATCCAATTTGCCAGTCTGTGTCTTTTAATTGGAGCATTTAGTCCATTTACATTTAAAGTTAATATTGTTATGTGTGAATTTCATCCTGTCATTATGATGTTAGCTGGTTATTTTGCTCGTTAGTTGATGCAGTTTCTTCCTAGTCTCGATGGTCTTTACATTTTGGCATGATTTTGCAGTGGCTGGTACCGGTTGTTCCTTTCCATGTTTAGCGCTTCCTTCAGGAGCTCTTTTAGGGCAGGCCTGGTGGTGACAAAATCTCTGAGCATTTGCTTGTCTGTAAAGTATTTTATTTCTCCTTCACTTATGAAGCTTAGTTTGGCTGGATATGAAATTCTGGGTTGAAAATTCTTTCCTTTAAGAATGTTGAATATTGGCCCCCACTCTTCTGGCTTGCAGGGTTTCTGCCGAGAGATCCGCTGTTAGTCTGATGGGCCTCCCTTTGAGGGTAACCCGACCTTTCTCTCTGGCTGCCCTTAACATTTCTTCCTTCATTTCAACTTTGGTGAATCTGACAATTATGTGTCTTGGAGTTTCTCTTCTCGAGGAGTATCTTTGTGGCATTCTCTGTATTTCCTGAATCTGAACGTTGGCCTGCCTTGCTAGATTGGGGAAGTTCTCCTGGATAATATCCTGCACAGTGTTTTCCAACTTGGTTCCATTCTCCCCATCACTTTCAGGTACACCAATCAGACGTAGATTTGGTCTTTTCAGATAGTCCCATATTTCTTGGAGGCTTTGCTCGTTTCTTTTTATTCTTTTTTCTCTAAACTTCCCTTCTCACTTCATTTCATTCATTTCATCTTCCATTGCTGATACCCTTTCTTCCTGTTGATGGCATCGGCTCCTGAGGCTTCTGCATTCTTCACGTAGTTCTCAAGCCTTGGTTTTCAGCTCCATCAGCTCCTTTAAGCACTTCTCTGTATTGGTTATTCTAGTTATACATTCTTCTAAATTTTTTTCAAAGTTTTCAACTTCTTTGCCTTTGGTTTGAATGTCCTCCCGTAGCTCATAGTAATTTGATCGTCTGAAGCCTTCTTCTCTCAGCTCATCAAAGTCATTCTCCGTCCAGCTTTGTTCAGTTGCTGGTGAGAAGCTGCGTTCCTTTGGAGGAAGAGAGGCACTCTGCTTTTTAGAGTTTCCAGTTTTTCTGTTCTGTTTTTTCCCCATCTTTGTGGTTTTATCTACTTTTGGTCTTTGATGATGGTGATGTACAGATGGGTTTTTGGTGTGGATGTCCTTTCTGTTTGTTAGTTTTCCTTCTAACAGACAGGACCCTCAGCTGCAGGTCTGTTGGAGTACCCTGCAGTGTGAGGTGTCAGTGTGCCCTGCTGGGGGTGCCTCCCAGTTAGGCTGCTCAGGGGTCAGGGGTCAGGGACCCACTTGAGGAGGCAGTCTGCCCGTTCTCAGATCTCCAGCTGCGTACTAGGAGAACCACTGCTCTCTTCAAAACTGTCAGACAGGGACATTTAAGTCTGCAGAGGTTACTGCTGTCTTTTTGTTTGTCTGTGCCCTGCTGCCATAGGTGGAGCCTACAGAGGCAGGCAGGCCTCCTTGAGCTGTGGTGGACTCCACCCAGTTCCAGCTTCCAGCTGCTTTGTTTACCTAAGCAAGCCTGGGCAATGGTGGGCGCCCCTCCCCCAGCCTTGCTGCCGCCTTGCAGTTTGATCTCAGACTGCTGTGCTAGCAATCAGCAAGACTCCGTGGGCGTAGGACCCTCCGAGCCAGGTGCGGGATATAATCTCGTGGTGTGCCGTTTTTTAAGCCCGTCGGAAAAGCGCAGTATTGGGGTGGGAGTGACCCAATTTTCCAGATGCCGTCCATCACCCCTTTCTTTGATTAGGAAAGGGAACTCCCTGACCCCTTGTGCTTCCCAAGTGAGGCAATGCCTCGCCCTGCTTCGGCTCGCGCACGGTGCGCGCACCCACTAACCTGCGCCTACTGTCTGGCACTCCCTACTGAGATGAACCCGGTACCTCAGATGGAAATGCAGAAATCACCCGTCTTCTGCGTCGCTCACGCTGGGAGCTGTAGACCGGAGCTGTTCCTATTCGGCCATCTTGGCTCCTCCCCTCTCCCCTCTTTTTTAATTTAAAGAACATTTACAAATAATTAGCAACTTGTTCACTTTTAAGTCATACCAAAAACATGGCTGAAAATGTGCACTGCTATTGAGAAATCCGGGGTACAAATGAAAATACAAGTAAGTACAACATGTCAAGGACTAAATAACAAGCTCTCATTCTGTTAGCATCTGCCCCTTAATGATCTTAACATCCAAAGTGTTTGAGGCTTTGTGCCAAGAACTATAAAATAAATCAAGATTTTTTTTGTTCAAGAATGTATGAGTCAGGTATTCAAATTAGCTAACAAGTGACTTTTGTTTCATAATAATTACATTTTAGAACTGGAAGGAACCCGAGAGAGTACACTGATCTGTGTAGAGACAGACCCTCTTTATCTCTTTCAAGTACATTTACATTAGTAAATATACCCTTTTTATCCCTCTCAAGTACTAGTATAGTTACGTTAGTCACTCGACCCAAACCTTAATAGGCTGCCAAAACGTTTTCATAAACGAAATGAAATGGAAATAAAACAGTAAGAGAAGAGGTTATTCCATATGTTGAACTTTGGTCCTGGGCTCTAAGCTCACCACTGTTTTAGTTAATGTTCACATGCTCAGAGATTGTTCCCCAAACCTACATCTTGGTAAGGCAGCTGGCTCCTGAGGAGTGAGGCGTCTTGACACCCACTTCACTGGAATCAGTCTCCTTCAGCATCCTAAGGCACTCAGCTCTAATGAACTGCCCGGACTCCCGTTTGCATTATGATAAGCTCCTCTTTAGAACCTCTACTGTCTGCTTTTGACAGCCGACCTCAAGGAATACTGACTTAATCCAGGAATCCCAATAACATTTAATATTTATCTTCCTTTTCTGGGAGGAATCTACACTTATCCAAGTTGCCCAAGTGAGCAGTTCCCTCCCCACAAGTAATTAGTTCTACTCCCCAGAGGGTCTGTGAGTGAATCCCTCTGTCAGTTTTGAAATGTCCCATTATAGTTTTCATCTGTAAATATGTCAATATGTATCCAAAAGATGAGGATCTTTAAAAACGTAATCATAATGCTACTATCATATGTAAAAATGAAACATAATTCCTTAATATCATCAGATATCCAGTGTTTAAATTTTTCCAGTCTCATGTTTTTGTACATTTTTAAATAATCACATGTTTAAATCGTTTCCATCTCCAAGGCGTCGACCTCCCCTCCATTCTCCTGGGCGTCGCGCTTCCCTCTTTGTTTCCCGCCCTTGCGGTTCTGTCGGAACCTAACGAGCTTCCTTCCACCGCAAAAGAGCTGGAGAACAATGCTAGGCAACGTGCTGGAGACCTTGGCCCTCGGAACCCAAGTCACGCCTCCCATGTGAGCTCTGGAGGGAGAACTTTATGTGTTGCACTGAGGGCAGTCTCCGGAAACGCGATTCGCAGCGGGCGCCGGAAGCGGTGTTGTGTCTGCAGCTCTGGCAGAGGACTGTTCCACTAGACACGCTGAAGGGACTGGGTACGTGTTTTCCTTCAGGACCAGAGCTGAGAGGAGCTGGGATCGCGGCGGCAATGGAACGGGCCTCAGAAAGGCGCACGGCCAGCGCGCTTTTTGCGGGGTTCCGGGCCTTGGGACTTTTCAGCAACGACATTCCACACGTGGTGCGGTTCAGCGCGCTCAAGCGCCGGTTCTATGTAACAACCTGCGTGGGCAAGAGTTTCCACACCTATGACGTGAGTGACTTCTTTTGTTAGCTTCCCAGGAAAACCACCCTCCTTGGCCTCTAACTCTGTCCTGGAGCAGTCCGGTTCTCCCTTCCCATTTACCACGGGCTTCCCTTCTTTAACCCCTCCCTGTCCTATTAATATTTCGCCATCCGGTCACGTCCACGTGCTGATTTGGCACTTGCAGTCCTCCTGGGGCGTGTTTCAGAGGCAGCCTGGCCAAGGGGAAACTGCTAGAGAACATCTCAGTTGTATGGCAGTAATATTTGTTCAGTGAATATTTATTGACCTTCCCTTGAAGGTGGAAACATAATTAAGACAAACCTCTACCTCTTGCATTCTTAATGAGAGAGAAAAACATGCACGCTATTACGTTATTGGTGACACGAGCTGAGTTAGAAATTCACTCTAGGTAGAATACATTGGGAGAACCGGAGATGGTGAGATTAATTACCGTTAGGGAAAATATCTAATAGCAATCAGTTATTTTCAACTAACGCAAAGTGTCTGGCACTGTCACTCTAAGCCTTGCAGCCGTTTCTTTGCAACATAGGTGTCATTATACCGTAGCACCTTTATATAATCTATTAAAGTAAATTTCAGATAAATCACTTGTTAGTGATGATTTTTTCTCCTATAACAGTTCATCGATCATTGTAATAGTGTCTCTTGTTTACTTGTTTCTTTTGTCTTCTCCGAAAGAATGTAACCTCTGTGAGAACAGAAACCTTGATGAGGAGGATGATAATAGTCAGTGTTAATTAAGTACTTTCTTTTCTGGAAAACAGGTAGAGTTGTCTCTCTTGGAGGATTGTGAATATCAAATGGCTTATTAGCAAAAAGAGCTGGGAGGTAGGAACTAGTTGAGTTAGTGGAAAAGGAAAGTGAGGGCAGAGCTGAGGTGAAGAGCAATTGGGTTTCTCAGAGTCTGAGCTGGTAATGGAGACAGGGTGGGTTAGAACCATATTAATCATGTGAAAGTATTTAGTGTTACCATTCTCTGCACTTGTTCCTTGCTTGCTAACTTTTGCTTTTGCTGGTTAATGTTTTCTTCCTTGAAATGTAATTTTTCTGAGTTTATTACTGAAATAACTCTTGAAATCTTGTCTTTGGTACAGTGTCTTTCCTGACACTGCATTACACACAGACACAGGTGTTTTTCCCTATATTCTACTTCCAAAGAAACCCTGTGGTGAGGAGAGTAACATATTTGTACATTTTATAAAGTTAACAATTTACTTACTGTGTGTTGACATTTAGTCATAATAAAGATGGCTTTTAAGTTCTCCTCTAGTTCTAACACTGATGATACATTCGTAACATCATGGCATGTAAATGTTCTTTACCCAGACTGTACACTGCTCAGATTAACCAATGCATTGGGCTGTGACCTCTAAAACTGAAAATACTTGGGAGTAAAAAGAAAAAAAAAAGGAGCTAATGAACCTAAGTCACTAATTGGGTCTACAAGTGCTCTATCCCATGACTATGGCTATATATGCTGTCCCCAGTCAGACTTCCTACAGTCCTACAGATTAGTTTCTTCTACAGGGGAAACTAGACAAGTTGTGAATAGGTGGTGGTAGTGATGGTAGTAGCTATCATGTATTGAGCAGTTACTATATGACTGGCCCCATTCTGTTTTACACAAATTTACTCATTGAATCCTCATAACAATCCCATAAAGTAAATAAATACCTGTTTTACAGATGAAGAATTTGAGGCACAGGGAGCTTATTTTTCCAGGGTCATACAGCTGGATCAGTAGCCATGATTGGGGTCAGCAAATTACAGTCTGTAAGCCAGTCTAGCCCACTGTTTGTTTTTGTATGACCCAGGAGTTACGAATGATTTTGACATGTTTAAATGTTTGTGGGGGCAGGCTGGGGGTAGGGAGAAGGATATTTCATGACATGAAAACTATGTGAAAATCAAATTTCAGTATCTATAGATAAAAGTTTAATATACCCATGCACATTATTTATCTATTACGTATGGCTGTTTTCATGCTACGGTGGCAGAAGTGAGTAGTTGGCAACAGAGACCACATGCATTGCCTGCAAAGCCTAAAATATTTAATATTTGGCCCATTATAGAAAACATTTGCCTACCCCTTCCATCACCACTCCTGGTGAAATACAGTTGAAAATATAAACTTTCCTAATAAAGAAAATTAGTGTCAGTAAGTGTCTTTCTTATGAAGGACAGCATAGCAAATATACGTATGAGGTTATATCTTAATCTTCAGGTGTTAGGTTATTATGATTATGTTTGTTAATGAAAATTTAACCTTTTTTCTTTTTTAAACAGGTTCAGAAACTTAGTCTGGTTGCAGTAAGTAAGTATGGACTTTATTCTGAATTTATGCACATCTAAACTTTTTTTTTATTTTGACATAAATGTGAGACTTACAGAGCATATAAGGAAGCCAAGGTAACATGTATGTCTTATAAACTTACATTATCAGCAACAAAAAAGGGTGCCAGGATAAATCATGTTTTGCTTTTAGTTGTTATGTATCTTTATTTTCTTTAATCTGGAACTGTTCTTTAGACTTTCTTTGTGCTTCATGACATTGACACATTGACATTTTTGAAGAGTACAGGCTCATTTAGAATGTCCTTCAGTTTGAGTTTTTTTGACATTTCTTCAGGATTAGATTTAGGTTGTACCCCTTGGGAGGAATCACAGTGAATTGTATCAGAAGGCACATGCTGTTAGTTGGTTCTGTTCCTGGTAGTGATTGGTTAGGAGGCTCTATTTTTAAGTTAGTGTTTTGTCATTTGTAACGAATAAGTATCTTTTGGTAGTATGCACTGGGACTATGTAAATATCTTAGTACTCTTCAAAGTTATTACCTGCTGCTTTTATATTTTATGATGATACTTGCCTGAATCAGTTATTAGTATGATGGTTGCCAAATGCATGTTGATTATCCTTAATCCAAAAATTTGAAACCCAAAATGCTCCTAAGTCTGAAACTTTTTGAGAGCCAACATGACGTTAACAGGGAAATATTCATTGGAACATTTCCGATTTCAGATTTTCAGATTAGGAACATTCACCTGGTTATACATATAGTCCAAAATCCAAAAAAATCCGGAATCTGAAACACTTCTGGTCTCAAACATTTCAGATAAAGCATAGTCAGCCTATAGTGATTTTCTTTTGCCATCATTCCTTCTACTGTAAGGAGAAGTTTTCCCTTTTCTCACATTTTGGTATTTCTTTCCAATGGAAGGGTTTTTTTTTAAACTATCTAATAGAATAAAACATTTCTCAGGGCAGAGAGGTACTTGTTTTACCATCAAATATGGTTCTTGTGAGAGAAACAGAAGACCTACAAGGACTGTAATGTGTATGTGTATTAAACTTATATTTTAATAATAGATTAGAAGGCAGAAGAAAGGCATTGGAACTTAAGTTGAATACAAAAGTGAATGATAAACTTATAAAACAGGGTTATGCAAACAAATACTAATATGGAATTTGCAGCATGAAAAGTACAACAATCCTGTGTCTACTAACCCTCCTGCCCCAAAAGAGGAAATGAAAAGGTCAGTGTGACCAGGATACTGAGAGAAGAATCATATGTCACGTGAGAAATGCTAAAGATTGATAGGCATATTTCCCTTGGAGAAGACTGTAGAAACAATATTGTCTTTAAATGTTTTAGGAATAGGCATATAGAATACCATATGTAATATTTTTGGGTTGGTCCAAAGGGTAGAGTTAGAGATTTAGATTTTGAGTTACTTTTAAAATTTTTCTGGAGTTATTAGTGAACTTGATGTTCCAGAAGATACTCACATGGGTTAGGCATGTGGCTCACGCCTGTAATCCCAGCACTTTGGAAGGCCGAGGTGGGCAGATCACCTGAGGTCAGGAGTTCAAGACCAGCCTGTCTAACATGGCAAAACCCTGTCTCTTCTAAAAATACAAAAATTAGCCGGGTGTGGTGGTGCACTCCTATAATCCCAGCTACTTGGGAGGCTGAGGCAGGAGAATCAGTTAAACCTGGGAGGCGGATGTTGCAGTGTGCCAAGATTGCATCACTGCACTCCAGCCTGAGTGACACAGCAAGACTCCGTCTCTCAAAAAAAAGAAAAAAAAAAAGATGTTCACGTGAAGACTGGATGACTATCTGTCAGAGCTTTGTGTTTCAAATGACAGTTTTTTCCAAATAACCTCAAAAAGCTTGTTTTCATTTCTCTAGGATTATGTTTTTATTTCTGCAAATCCTAGACATTCTCTTAGGGAAGGACAAGGTGATTTCCTATCCTTAGTTTGATAGTTACTATTAGATATCTAAAATATTTTAGTTAAAATTTTATACACTGATTCTCAACTTTGATCTTTATTTATATATTTTTTTAAATTATAGCCATGAAAAATGTTATATGTATACTTGAGGTTTCTCTTTAACATCTTAAAAATCCCTGTTTCTTTCATTTTGTATTTTCTGCTAGGTAATTCTGTTCCACAGGATATCTGCTGTATGGCAGCTGATGGCAGATTAGTCTTTGCTGCTTATGGAAATGTTTTCTCTGCATTTGCCCGTAATAAAGAGGTTGGTATCGCTAAACTACTTGTTTGTCAGTCAGTATTTGTTTGTCATGATAGTGGAGGGAACTTTAATTTTGTCATTCTTTACCCAGCACACTCTGGAACTATACAGTATTCTTTTTTTTCTAATGTATATTCAGTTTTCTGGAGGAAGATAAATTTTCAGAAAAGGCTTACTTAAAACTGGTGCTTTACTTCAGTTTCTTTGCCAGAGATGAATATCAAAATTACTTGGAGACCTTCTTCAAAATTTTTTATGCCGTTAGTTCCCATCTCAGGAGTTTTCTATTTTGTATATTTGTTGAGATAGGACATAATGTGTATTATTAAGTGTAGTTTTAAAATACTTTCCTAGAAAATTCATATTTGCACCACCACTTTATGTGGATTGGTTATTTATTATGTATAACTTAGCTTATAACTCTTTTTCTAAAAATCAGATGCCTGTTCGCTGTTTAGAGAAAGCTAGATTCTATGTTTTCTCCACTGCTAAGGAAAGATCTTTTCTGGTCTAAATCTACCAGTTGGTTTCTGAATTTGTCCTGGAACAACTAGCTTGAGAAGTGACCTGGCCTTAATGGTCTAGAATGAAAGGAAATGTAGGAATGGGGGTACAAAGATAGCCAAATGATAGTATCACTGTACTTGTCAGGGACTTGGAGTGAGGTGGTTCCCACAGTCTTTCATCATCACTTCCTGTGGCAGAGGAAGGTAACTTATCTGTAGAGTTCTTTAATGGAAGGTGTTCAGATTTTTAGAATTGGAAAAAATGTTCATTTTTGTATTGTTGTTTATAGTTTTCCCAGGGAGATATATGTGATTTACATGAGGAGACTTTATCCTATATGTATAACCTATATGTGGTTCAGATGTGGAGACTTTAATAAAGGACCTTTATGCACAGGTGTGGTCAGGGTTAGGGGAACAAAATAGGGGTGGGGAGGCGTCAGACACTGTCAACTGTAGGAAGTTGTTACCACCCCTAAGGCCAAAGGGCCAAGGAGAGGAAACAGTGTTACTGGAATCTAGTGAGAACTGAAACCATGGAGAAGGGGCTATACTTATGGAGGGATCAGCTACTGTAAGGATCTCTGTCAAAGCAGAAGGGTATGGGGAAGAAGACCCTATATCCCCCTTTCCCATCTCATCTGAAAGCCAGTTGGTGATGGAGTCTTTAGAGATCAGCCTTCTGGAATATACCATCTCGCTAGGATATATGTAGTTGCACTGATTGAATTGGGTGAGGGAACTAGGTGTGTGTGCATGCCTCCTCTCTAACCCAAGATGGAAGGCAGAGCCTCAGAGGTCTCATTTCTTTGTTCTTAATGGACAGTTTACTTCCTTATTGTTGAACTGGCTGAGGGAGCAGATGAACATGCCTGGTCCCTTAATATTTATGTGTTCATCCTAACCTTGAATAATCAAAAGTTGGGGTACATTTCTTAACAGAAGCATCTCAGGATTAGCATGTTTTTGGGATAATATGAATAATATGACATGATGACTGAGTAATAATATGAAATTCTTTTAAACTTCGATGTTTTAGATAGTACATACCTTTAAGGGTCATAAGGCAGAAATCCATTTCTTGCAACCCTTTGGAGACCACATTATCTCTGTTGATACTGATGGCATTCTTATTATTTGGCACATATATTCAGAAGGTAAGAGTTAACTCATTTATTTGCTTTATCTTAGGGTAGTATGTGTTTAATTAAAATTTAAAATCTATGTAAACATCTATGCCAGAGATTTTGCCTGTAAATAGTAAGAAATTAAAAAAATCAAAAATCTTTAACGTGTAAGAAAAAAAGTTCTAAGTAAGAAAGAGATAAACAACTTTAGCAAGTTAACTACTTATAAACTGTTTAATGTGCTTACCTCAACTAATGTATTTTCCATTGCAGTTCTCCAACTTTAATGATTTGTTGTATTGTTTTCCCTGTGGAGTGAATATTGATGTATTTTCATACCTGAGTAATTCTTGGTTTGTATTTTCACCTTTTAGTAAAGGAGACTGTAATAGTAAACTTGATCTTGTAATCTGAAGGAAAATATACATCCATTTCCTAGGGATATGAGTCAGTTTCTTTCAACTGTGATAGCTTAGACAGTGGCTATGTTTATGGGATTATGTATCTTTAAACATGAAGAATTTATCCCTAGGATATCTACACCTTTCCTCAATAAAATACTGGGTTCATCATGAATTGAATCTTTTAAGTTCTTTAATCTGGTTACATTTTTAGCTTATATTGCCTCTTGGTTTTTTTTTGTTTTTTTTTTTGTTTTTTTTTTTTTTTTTTTTTCAGTAAATATCCTGAAGATTGCATTTCTGGGAATTATTCCAGGTTCTTGTTTCAGATTAGTAACCCTTTTCTTGTTTTGTTTTTGCTCAAGTAGAGGGAGGGAACAGAATTCCAAAAGTATTCCCTGTGCAGATAGAAGTTAAAAGGGCTTTTATTAGGTTACAGGATCTGGTTCTTACATTCCAGCAGACTCTCTTGAACCAGTATATTCAGGGAGCCATTTGTAGTGACTGACGAATAAAGGCAAGGATCTCTTAAAATAGCATTCAAAGTAAAGTTTATATAATTTTCACCTATACCTGTACATCCTAAACTGTGGTACCCATACCCTGGGATTGTACAGTAGTGTGCCAGATAGTATGTGAACCTAAAGATTAAGTGAAATGTACCTTCTTTGATACACAAATTTACTGGAAAATAGAGTGGAACATTGTTTTAATCATGGAGGAACTGTAAAGTGAAAAGCAGAATTCAAACATAGAAATTTTGAATGTAACCAAAGATTTCAGAGAATTTTTTTATCTTGGAGCAAGTGACCACTGGTGATGCCACCCCCCACTCCACAGGGTTATACGTTTTTTTTTTCTCCTTTATTAGAGATTATTTTGTGGAAATGTGTGAGAAGTACTCTTATTTCACTGAGGTGTGTCTTTTATTTTTGGCATTTTTTGAGTGGCCCATCAAACTTTCCAGATAATTGGCTCTTCGTTCCCTGAAAGAGCTAAGTATAAGCACTTCACTTGGAATATTCACTCCTGTCTGTTGATCAAATTACAGAAACATGAATGCTAATCCTTAGGATCTTTTTTTTTTAACTTTATTATCCTTTTCTGTAAAGTAATTCAAAAGTGAATGAAACTTTTAATAGTATTTTTATTAGAAGTTACAGAAAATTTTTGACAGTCTAAATTAAATTACATTTACAAGTTGCCTCTCATTTATTTTATTTCTCAAGGAATGTTTATAGATTAGTATCTAAGTCTGTGGTTTATTTTAACATATAAATCTTTGATGTGATAGACTTACTTTAAGTGATAAATATATGGTTACATAAAACATTTTAAACTATTTTATAAAAAATATTTATAACTTTCACTTTTGTAGAAGAATACCTGCAGTTGACTTTTGATAAATCAGTATTTAAAATTTCTGCAATTTTGCATCCAAGTACCTACTTGAATAAAATACTTCTGGGCAGTGAACAAGGAAGCCTGCAGTTGTGGAATGTAAAATCCAAGTAAGTATTTTAGTTAGAAAATAATATAGCTGTCACCTTATCCTCATCTACTACTTCCTAATGTATACTTAAGTCTCATTTCTCCCTGCCCTTGTATATTTATTTGGAGGGTTGTCTATAAATAACAGTTGGTCCCCTGTATCAGAGGAGTCAATTAACCTGGGATCAAAAATATTCAAGGAAAAATAAATAAATAATAATACAACAATAAAACATCACATTTTAAAGTAGTACAGTATAACAGCTATTTACATAGTATTTACATTATATTAGGTCTTATAAGTAAGCTAGAGATTATTTAAAGTATATGCATAAATGTGTGAAAGTTATATGCAAATACCACACCATTTTATGTAAGGGACTTGAGCATCTGTGAATTTTGGTATCAGCAGAGAAGTTGGGGAAGTCCTGGAACCAATCCCCCACAGGTAGTGAGATATAACTATATGTTTGCTTTTGGAGTTGTTGCTGGTGGCATCACATATGTGAAAGGTGGCATGTGATCCTGACACATGTTAGACAGCTTCATAAATGCTCACTGAAAAGTATGTACTAATGACCTAATAACTGTAAAGAATTGCTATAGAGAAGGCTCTAATAAAGGTCTATGAGATCCATCAGAAAATAATAATAATGAGATTATTACTAGGGAGCTTCTGATTTTCCATACATGAAGATTTTCTATACATGAAGAAGGTAAAAGATGGAAAGGCAAATCAATAATTTAGTGCTAGCATTTAGAAATGATTTTTAGGGTTAAAAGTACTTCCATAATCTCCCATAGATATGGCAAATATCTAATATTGATGTAGCTAGAGGGCTGGATACATGATTTTGAATACTTCTATCCATTATGTAAACATTTATCAGTAGAAAAAGGTGGCAGCTCACACTTCTTTGTATAGCATTTTAAAAAGCAAACAAAAATATTTGACCATCCAAATTGTTTTTTTCCAAAGTCCTTTTAAATTCAAAAGGGAAAATAAGATTATTAAAGGTTTGATGTTTTAAATCAGTGTTTCATTACAATTTAACAAATACCATTGACTGCCTACTTTGTGCTAGGTTCAGCAATAGTGACTGAAATACTGTCTTTGCCCATTTACAGAATTTAATACATGATTTAATATTTTAATGATAATTATAATGATTTCAGATACCTCTGTTTGCTCCATGGATGTGTTATTTATCATTCATGACTTGCTTCTGAAATTGAGAGCAGCATTACTGTTGTCATATAACAGTCATATAACATGCAAATAATATTTTTATTAAAATATAAGTTATTCCCTTTCATGATGTTTCTATAAAGATACTGCAGTCCTAAATTTTTTTTACTGTAGCCTGTAATATAACATGATTTTTACACACGTATTTTTTTTTCCACTTAGGACATTTAATTTCTTAATGAGGTGGCATAGCATAGTAGTTAGTTTGAGACCTAGAATTTGTCTGGACAATATTACTAACCTTGTGACATTAGCTTAATCATCAGAATAGTGTGTGGAAGAGTAAGAACTTAATAAATATCACCTATTATTATTTCACTTTTTAATGTGTAGCTGATATTGTTTTCCTCCAAAAAAAAAAAAATACAGCTTTCAACTATTTTTCTTCTTGTAGTAAACTTCTATATACATTTCCAGGATGGAAAGTTGGAGTGACAGCTCTTCAGCAGGTTAGTATTTTTCTGTTAAGTCAAAGAGGAACAAAGTTAATAGGAAAATCCTTCAGTTTCAGGAATCAATCATAATTTTAGACGTAAAGACGAAACAATATATAGCTTAGTTTACCTTTAAAATTGTTAGCCTGAGGAAATAGTGTTTTGGAAATGTAAGTTAAAACAAGTAATAATGCCTTTGCCAATAACACTTATTGGAGTCCTTTGTGCTTATAGTTTGACTTAAATCTGTGGTTGCTATGGATCCTTGTTTCTAATCATTTTGCAAGTATATGTAGTCCATTGTCTTGTGTAGACTGGAAATGAGTGTTCAGCAATGCAAGCGGTATTGTAAGTCATGTAGAGAAATTTGTCAAGATGTTGAGATTTATGGTTTGAAGTAATTGGAGCCAAAATCCTAATGTTTGATTCGATGATGGACTATTTAAGAAATAACTGCTTTTTTTTAATGAATCTGCAAAATATGTATAAATAAATGAATGCATGTCTACAGCGAATCTTGTGTTTATATTGGCCACATATGTAGCCACTATACCCTTATCTTTTTCAGTATCCATTGTCTATACTTGCCCAATTTATATGTATTCCTTATCTTCTCTTGCTGTCATCAGCCTAGCTCCACTTTTGCCTATCCAGAAGACTCCATAAGTATCAGAGGATTAGGACCCTTGAGGACAAGGGATTATATCTGTTTTAGTATCTCCAATTTCTACACAGGGTCTCATGCATAGTAGACACTTGATGACAAATTAATAAAACGTGTAGCCTGATTCCATTCTATAATGATATTGGACATTGATCTTTGCTAAAATAGAGAAATTCATAATAGAGCCTGTATGTAAGACTTGTATTATAGACCATTATAACCATAGAATATTAGAACTGGAACAGACTAATTGTAAAACTTTTTTTGCCTTTTCACATGTTTTGTAGGTTTTTCCTACTTTCTTGGATAAGCAATTCTTCACTTCCTTTGTAATTGGTTACATGTTGCCACACATAGCGCAAGCCTTTATGTTTTCTAGTTGTCTCCTTTTTCTGTTTCCATCCAGTCCAGTGATCTGTAGTGATTTTATACATAGCTTTCTTTTTCTGTTGTGGTTGTTTTCTTTCCAAAATCTTACCAGCTAGGTTTTGGGAATGAGGATGGGATGTTGACTGGCAGAATTGAAGCTGGGAAGTAATTTGGAAAAATCATTACTGAATACTTCTATGCTGAATAAAAAAGTATGCTTGAATGGTAATACTTGCTGAGTTTTTCTGCCATCTTTTAGAAGATACTTCATTATTTCTTTTGATAACACCTAATAATGATGCGTATCATCAGGATTATTAAAGCTATTTTGCTTAAGAAAGTAAAAGTTTGAATAATTTAATTTTTAGGCACCAGCCGTGGATGTTGTTGCTATTGGTCTTATGTCAGGTCAAGTTATCATTCACAACATTAAATTTAATGAAACATTAATGAAGTTTCGTCAAGACTGGGGACCCATTACTTCAATTTCATTTCGCACAGGTAACTTTTAACATACTTATTGATAGGAGTTAAGAACACTTAAAATTCATTACTTTAAAAGTCAATTTTTTTTGTCTTCTGGTAGCTTAATCTAATAGAAGTGAATGAATACTGGAGTAAAAGGCAAAGAAATATGAATAGATTATTGGTATATAGTTTTTTTCTAACTTTATGGATTAAAAGGGAAGAGAGAAGAATTCTTGTTTATTTTGGGGGATCTAGAAGTATTTTTCTTAATGTATTTTATTTTAATAACAGATGGTCATCCAGTAATGGCAGCTGGAAGCCCATGTGGCCATATTGGACTCTGGGATCTAGAAGACAAAAAATTAATCAACCAAATGAGAAATGCACACTCTACAGCAATTGCCGGACTGACATTTCTCCATAGAGAGCCACTTCTTGTCACAAATGGCGCTGACAATGCTCTTAGGGTATTATGATTATTGTTAACATCTTCCTGGCTCATCTAACTTACCCTTTGGGTTATTACAAGCTTGTTTTAATGTATCAGCTTTCAACCTAGAAGATGAAAGGAATATGGAATGAGATATTGGTATAGATGAAACAAAAAGCACAGCAGGTGACATGATTGCAGTGAAGCGGGAAAGAATTACAGTTTATTTCTCCCCCAATACCCACTCCCTCCCTTGTAGCTCCAGAGTCAGTGGCTTAGCAAGCACTACTCAATACCAGTTGATTTATGTAGGGGGTGATTTGACTGCTTGCAGATCAGATGGAACATTGTAGAAGAACTGACGTTTTTATTTCTTGGCAGATATGGATATTTGATGGTCCTACAGGTGAAGGCCGACTTTTGAGATTCAGAATGGGTCATAGTGCTCCTCTTACCAATATCAGATATTATGGACAGAATGGACAGCAGATTCTAAGTGCAAGTGAGCTTCTGCTTCATACTATTAGTTTATTTCAGCAAGTATTGAGATGTGGGTGCCCAGTATGAGGTTTGATATTTACACATACTTAGATTCACATATCTCTTTGAGTGACTTAGAAGTCTGGGTAAAACTAAGAGTCCTTTTTGTCTACTTGAGAAGCACTATAGATGTTATTATCTATGCTTAATGTGTCCTTCTATTTACTAATCCTCAGAGACAGAATGGTTAGATTCTAAAAATTCTGTTAGTCTGCTGAAAATTATTAGTACCTCATTTTCATTTTATCCTTTGTTCTTACTAAATGGCATTCTATAAAAAGTTGAATATTTTAATGAAGTAGTTGCAATCTGGTTTTCCCTTTAAAGTGTCCCAAACTGTAACTTCAAGATTTTCAAATTGAATTTTATAAAATTTGTGATTCACATAGTCCCTTGTTTTAATGAAGCTTGATTAGGGATTTTCTGTGTATATCAACAGGTCAAGATGGAACTCTTCAGTCATTTTCCACGGTACATGAAAAATTCAATAAGAGCTTGGGACATGGTAGGTCCTCTACAAGACAAAATAAGCTGGTCACGAAAGAAACATTTCAACATTCTATGAAACAACTGGAGGAAGTTTCATCAATGCATTTTATTTTTTCTTGGATGAACTAGATAAACATGTATGGAAGAGGTAGTAAGATTCCTAGCATCAAAGTTGCTATAGAAGTGATTGAGGTTCTGCTATAAGGTTATTGAAAAAAGTTAGACATCTTGGGTGGTAAAAACATACTGCTGCCACCCAAAAGATGTTCATGGCCTCACTTGAGCTATCTGTAGAGTGCACAGTTTTTAAAATGGAAGGTAGCTTAGAGAAAGCATCAAAGTAAGTGGCATCCAATATTTTTGCTTTAAAGCAATCATTTATTCTCTTTCCCTTTTCATGGTTTCCAGCCTTTGAAAGATTTTGTTTATTAAACAACAAAATCTTACTTGGTTTTATGATTACTAATTTTTAAGTTACTATCTTATACTGTTCATGCATGTATATAAATTTTAAGATTATTTTTAACAATATCTAAAATAACTTTTCTTAGAATTAAAAAATAACAGTGGTAATAACATCTTTGTTTTGTTTCTGACTTAAATGGGAATATCTTGTACTTTATAGTTACAAGACTGATAGCTTTTCTTTTATATACACTTTTTATTAAGAAGGATTCATAGCTATGTATGTTCCCCTTTCCCCCATCCTTAGGATTAATAAATAAAAAGAGAGTTAAACGTAAAGGACTTCAGAATACCATGTCAGTGAGACTTCCACCCATCACAAAGTTTGCAGCAGGTAAGTAACTTCAAACTGTGTTTTGAGAAGTTCTCCTTTGTCATTTATTTCCTACTGTATGCTGTTTTATTTTCTGTTTTAATAAATGCTTTTACAAATATTAATAAGCATTCAGAAGGTAACCCCAGGTGCATGCTGGTCTTGTGTGAAGACTAAAAATGAGTTATTTTAAATGTGAACTTCTTATCTATTAACATCAGGCTTTGCTCTTCTGTATAACAGGTATTAATAATATTTGATTTTATAGCCTTTTTATTCTGTCATATGCCTGGTATAATGAAAGTCACTAATGTAAAAAGAACTGGAACAGCAGAGTATGAGAACATAGAGCTCTGACTAATTAAGATCTAAGAATACTGAGGTCTTAGTATACTATGTCATTTGACCTGTGCCACTTTCAAAGAAGTGATTTTAAGAAAAATATAGATAATGGGTTTGTTGCGTGAAATCTATCATGGGAAATTACTGTAGAGGCACCATTTCTATTTGAAAGTTGTTATTATGACCACCTTTCTGTTTTCTCAGAGCTTGAGTCATGTTTCTAAAAACATTTGAATCACATCACACATCTGCTTAAAATTTTTTAGTGGCTTCTTAACACCTTTAGAGTGGAATCTCATCTCCTTAACATGACTTTCAAGACCCTTTGTAGTGTGGTCCTGATTGCCTTGCCCTACTCCTATCCCTCCCAAGAAGATACTACACTTACTTGCTGTCCTCCGTTTTGTTCATTTTTTTCTTGTGCATGTTATCCCCCCCAGGTAATTTCTACTTGTTCTACTACTCCATCCAGAGAGCCATTTACTTTCCCCAAATCTCCTGAGTGGTCTTATAAGACACTGTCATACTTTATTGTAATTTCTTCTGATTAGAATCTCTTGTTAGGTATGTTAATTAGCTTGATTTAGCCGTTCCACAATGTATACATATCACAACGTTATGTTCTATGCCATAAACACATAAATACACACATTTTTTATTTGTCAATTAAAAAATAATCTCTTGTTAGATTGGAAACATATTGCTATCAGATATTACCTGTTTGTTTTACCATTGTATCCCTAGTGTCTGAAATATTGGATGCCTAATAAGTAATAAATGAATAACAGAATGAAAAGTAATTTGATTTATGATTTTCATTACGTTTTAGAGGAAGCTCGTGAAAGTGACTGGGATGGTATCATTGCTTGCCATCAAGGTAAGCTATCTTGCTCAACCTGGAATTATCAGAAATCTACAATAGGCGCTTACTTTCTCAAGCCAAAAGAGTTGAAGAAAGATGACATAACTGCAACAGTAAGTGAGCTTGTTTATAAGAGTATCTTCTCTTTAAAACTTTCCTATGGAAATCTTGTTATACTCAAGGTTTCTCATCATAATATTGACTGAAAAAACGTAGTTTAACATTTTAAAGCATTGCATAACCCAAAGCCACAAAAATTTGCTCCTGTGACTTCTAAGAGTTTTCTAGTTTTAGCTCTTATATTTAGATTTATTCTCTCTGAATTGACTTTTGTGTATGGTATGATAAAGGGGTCCAAATTCATTTTTTTACATGTGGATATCCAGTTGTCCCAGCACTATTTGTTCAAAAGACTATTCTTTCTCCATTGAAAGATCTTGTTTCCTCTGCTGAAAGTCATTTGACCATGTATGTAAGAGTTTATTTCTGGACTCTGAATTCTCTTCCATTGATCTGTATGTCTGTTCTTATACCAGTACCACACTGTCTTGATTTTGATAGCTTTGTGGTAAGTTTTGAAATCAGGAAGTGTGACTTCTCCAGGTTTTTTGTTCTTTTTTCAAGATTGTTTTGGCTCTTCTGGTCCCTTGCATTTCCGTATGGATTTTAGAATGAGCTTATCAATTTCTGCAAAAAAAAGCAGCTATGATTTTGATAGGGATTTCATTTTGATTTTATAGATCAGTTTGAGTGTTGTCTCTGATCTATGAACATGGGGTGTTTTTCCATTTGTTTAGATCTTCCTTAATTTTTCAACAATATTCTGTAGTTGTTTGTATATAAGTCTTACACTTCTTTGGGTACATTTTTCCTAGTATTCTTTCTAATGTTACTGAAGTAGAGTTTTTTTGTTTTGTTTTGTTTTTGTTTTGTTTTGTTTTGTTTTTTTATTTTGGATTGTTCATTGAGAGTGTATCAAAATGCAGTTGATTTTTGCATTATTGATCTCATATCTTGCAACCTTGCTGAACTTATTAGTTCTAATAGTTTTTAATAGATGCCTCTGCTTTTGAAAATGCTTATTAAAAGTGTAACTCAACATTTGACCCTATTTTATACAAATTGCATTGTAAGTTTGTATATTCTATTCTCTGTAGTATGAAAATCCAGTCTTAAGCTTTTATATAATTTTCTAAACCGTAAAGATTCTATCTTACGCTCCCGTAGGGACATTTACCTACATAGTTTTGAATAATGGTTGTAATAGTAGTGGTAATTATAATCACAGGTAACATTTTCTGTGTGATTACTTTGTTCCAGGCTTTCTGTCTGGCATGGATTATTTCATATTTTCCTTACAACAGTCCTACAGCATGGTACATTGGTTAGCTGCTTTTTATGGACAGTAAAACAGGCTTTATGAGCAACATGCCTAAGATCAATGAAGCGAGTAAGGGGCAGAGCTGGGATTTGAACCTAAGACAATTCATTCTAGAATCTATATTCTTATAGCCCATAGGGATCACTTATAGAACATTTAGTATGTATGTATACTATGATATTTAGCTGGAGTTGAGTCATTTTTCTGACAGTCTCAGCTATCTGGAGCAAAGCTAGTAACCAATAAGTAATAAGCAAAAATACGTATAGAGAGCCTGTGCACTAAAGTACAATTTGTTACTCAAAGATAACATTCACGGTTTATTTATTTTTGCTTTGTTTGGCTTAGATAATACATTAGAATGAATAAATTAGAAGAAGAGAATGCCAGGAGCAGGCCGACTAAAAACAATAACTCCCCTAAAAAAATGTAAAGCAGGACAATGTAGGGCCTGTATTACTTGCAGGTTATAGCATACAAGCTCCTTTAGTTTCTTGATTGTATAACTATACAACATAGCATAAACATTTATGAATTTTTCAAAATAGGTCAGCTTAATGTTTGTGTTTCATTTAGGAAGATAAAATGCTTTTTAACCATAGTAATTTCCCATCTAAAATACTTTTTTTAAAAGAAATCTTTATCTAGAAAAATGTATGTATGTAAAACATATTTATGTGATGCAATGTAAATATGTCGTGACAAAGTGGTATGTCAAACTTTATGTTGCTTTGCTTAGTTAAATAAACCTTCATTAAATACTTTCTACTTAGTTTGTATAAGTCATCTGTTTAGATGTAAATTGAATTATCTCTTGGTGGATGACATCTGACTGACACACATTGGCAATCAGTTATTTCTCCAGCAGTGACCAAATATGTAGCCAGTCTCATGTTTTCAGTATAGAAAAAATATATTGACATAATATTGATATTTTAAGTATTAAAATGAGATTATATTATAGAACCTGCTTATAAACCAAATGTTTTCTCTGTAGTGTCTTATATATTTCCTTCCTAATATGTCATAATTAAAATATTTTGGGCTTTTGCTTGGCCATTCTAACTAATGGTATGTTTTTGGTTTTATGTCAGCTGTGGAAGCAGTTACAAAAGGCAAGACAAAAAGAAATTAGGCGATGGAATGTTTTAACTTTGGCTTTGTTAATAAATTAAAAATTGAAGGCTAGTCCCATATATAGTTCTCTTGACTTTGTACATTTAAATTGAGTTAACCTTAGTTATGTTTTGTTTTCTTAGATAGTAATTCTTCATACTTTTTAAAGAATGGAGATAGAATCTAGCATATATTCTTATACACCCAAATATAATTACTTTATGTTAAAAAAACTAATGAAGCAATTCATTTATTGTTCTTTTGTTAAATAAAAAGGAACAAGTAGATAAAAAAATGCTTTGGAAAGCATAAAGTGCAATAAAAATGTTAGTTATTTTGTCATTTGTGGGTTTTTTTTCTTAAAGGCAGTGGATATAACTTCTTGTGGAAACTTTGCTGTAATTGGCCTCTCATCAGGAACTGTAGATGTATATAACATGCAGTCTGGCATACATCGAGGAAGTTTTGGCAAGGATCAAGGTAGAGAATTTTTTTCCTTGTTTTTTATTAATGTAGATAGATACAAAACTAGTAGTGAAAGCTGGTATGTATAATCTTTAAGTGCTGGGCATTTTGCTAAAGTTGAAGATGGGTTATAATCAACCCTATATGGCAGATACTGCAATTGTATCATAAGGACCATGTTGAAAGAGAAAAGTCATGGGTACTTAAAGAGTTACGTGGATATTATACAGATTAATTTTTTTTCTTCTCTCCTTTAAGCAGAAAATCTTAACAAACTTTTCAAACCTATGTTGTATCGATCTGATTTCTGTTTTTTTACTCGAACAGTATTAATAATTAAGAATCTTCTTACACCCCTAAAATCCAGATTAATTTCAAGATTTTAAAGGATATTTAAGTGGCACCTTACATATTTGAATGAAGGAATCACTGTGTGTATTGTTCAGAGAGAAACACTGCCAATTCTGATTTTTTTTTTCTTTTGACATCTACCTTACAGCTCACAAGGGATCTGTTAGAGGTGTCGCAGTGGATGGATTAAACCAGTTGACAGTTACAACTGGTAGTGAAGGATTACTCAAATTCTGGAACTTTAAAAACAAAATTTTAATCCATTCTGTGAGCCTCAGTTCATCTCCAAATATCATGTTGCTACATAGGGACAGGTAAACTTTTAATGATAATGGATTTTCTCTTTGATTCTTTTGGTAAAAGTCATAAAGTCACAATTTACCAAGTGGGAAAAATCAGACTCTTTAATAAAGAACAACATTTGGCTTAATTTCCCCCAAAGTGTACTTGATTTAACAAAATTCAAGTGGAGGTGAGATTTTAGTTCAAGGGTTTTTTGTTTATTAAAACTGGTGCATT
The DNA here is from genome assembly GCF_000001405.40 of Homo sapiens. Lineage (NCBI taxonomy): Eukaryota > Metazoa > Chordata > Mammalia > Primates > Hominidae > Homo > Homo sapiens. The sequence goes on from NC_000005.10 coordinate 111,111,159, forward strand.
TATCTTGCTAGTGGCATTCTGGGACTCGCCTTGGATGACTTCTCCATTAGTGTTCTGGACATAGAAACTAGGAAGATTGTCAGAGAGTTTTCTGGACACCAAGGCCAAATAAATGACATGGTAAAACAAACTCTAACTAATAAAACTTGACTCATTTCTACTTTTGTTTGGGTGTGTTATCCTTTAATAGCCTTAAAATCATTATATGAGGTGGTTATCAATTTTAATTTGCAGGCTATTTTTCAAAGATTTTAAAGGAAAATTTTGAATTAAAAGTTTAATATTTTTCAGGGAGTTGATGCGATCAAATTAAAGTATAAGTTTTAGAACTCATCTTTTTTTTCATTAACTCTAAACAAGGCCAAAGTATACTTTAGAGAATGAATGATCCATTGGTATATATGTCATTCTTAACTTAATATTAAAATAGGCTGGGAGAACTCATTTCTGATTTACTATGTATGGAATGAATTAATAGTAGAAGACCATTTCCCTGGAATATCTGGTATCTGGTTTATTTTAGTTTAGTGCTATTTCTAGAGTTTACATATCTTAACTCTGAAAGGGTTTAATTAATAAAAATGTGCTTAAGTTTACTATTATGTTCTTATAATGGGATATATGATATGGAAAGAAGTAAACTAGTTTAAATAGCATATTTCATTAAAAAGAACTTTTAAAATAAATTTGTCACTTGAGGACCATATTAAGTGTATATTATCATCTTTCATCAATTGCAGATACCTTGATTTGCTTGAAAATAGAAAAAGTAAAATAAAAATAAAATCTTAATACTTAGTGACGAACCCAACAGCTGCATTTACTAGTTCTCACACCAAAAATCAGAATTTACTCCTTTCCTTCAAAATTGAAGAAAAAAAACATGGTCAGGACATTGTGTTCTGCAGATAGGAGGCTGGCAAAATTATACATCAGCAGAATTTGTTTTGACAGCATCTGTAGAAATGAGGGTGGGATTGGGTTAATTGTGCTGAAATGGCACTTTTGAAAACATCTGTCAGTGTCAAGTTGCTCTTCCTATTTCTTTTTCAAACCTTACTTTCAACTTGTATATCTCGAGTTTCCCTGCTCAGTAATAAGTTATTCCGGTTAGTCAAATCTGTGAGCATTTATAACATGACTTTACCTCTCAGAATCATTCTTTCCCATCCTTTACTATCTGTACCACCCTTCTGTAAATTGATCTATCTATAACTTGAGATTTGAGTTCCCATTGTATTACTGCAGCCTGAGGAACAAATCAACATTTACGTATCCCAGTATCATCTACTAATTTAAACTGATGGATGAACAGTCTACTACAACTGTAAACTTTAAAGTTTTTCCTTTTGGGTCATCTTTCACCTGTGATCTGGTTTGTGCCTCACAACCCTTAGGTACTACAGGCAGAGAGATCTATTATTTATCCATTTTCATAGCTAGAAAAAATAATGGGTGGCATAAGTAGTTTATTTAAATTTATTTTGAAAATCTGATTATTATAGTTTGTTTAGAAATAAAGCATTATTAAAAGAGAAAAGATTTTTAACTTAAGCTTCAAGAAAAGTAAGCCCTTATCACACACATAAACATTGTCTATAAATAAATAGAAGATTGTGATTTGAAAATTAATGCAGTACACTTTTTTAACTTTTAATAATTCATTTAAAAGTCTAATCTTTATCCAGATTCCAAATCAGTGGTATTTAGGAAGTGGTATTTTCTTTTATATAAAATAAGGCAGCCTGAATGTTAGTCAAATTAATTTTTTTATGAAGCCTGCATTATCTTTTCATTTATTACATTCTTTAAGGTGTTAACTATATATACATACACACATACATACAAATATATTCATATATATTTATATATAAATAATATATATATATATATATTTTTTTTTTTTAATTTAAAGGCTTTTAGTCCTGATGGTCGTTGGTTAATAAGTGCTGCGATGGATTGCTCTATTAGGACTTGGGACCTTCCTTCTGGGTGGTAAGTTTATATTTCTAATTCCCTAACCTCTATAAGATTTCTAAGTTATTTTTTTCACATGTGACTTTTACCGATAGTTAATGGGTTATATGCTTTTTCAATGTGACTATATTTGGAGATTTTTCTGACATGACTATATTGTATCCTTGGAGTGTTTTTGATAACTAAACAGCAGGTAGTAGTGTCATGAAACATAATAGAAAAATGAAATCTCTCTTAGGTTTTCTCATCCTGCAAAATTGAGATACAGAAGCGAGATGCCTAAACCTTAAGAAAGCTCATTTGACCTTTTTGATACTCCAAAATAAAGCTCAGACTTAAGGATGGCAAACTTTTGAGTTTTTTTAGTTCATGCTGAATTTAGTTAAAAGGTCAAACCCCCTAACTTTTCCTTTTTGTATGTCTCTTCTGCTTCTCTGACATAATTCTTAAAAGAAGGCATTTTAGATAGTCTTAGTGCATTTTCTGTTGCTTATAACAGAATATTGAAACTTGGTTATTTCTAAAGAAAAGGAGTTTATTTCTTACACTTTGGGGGATTGAGAAGCCCCAGGTCAAAGGGCCATATCTGGTGAGAGCCTTCTTGCTGGTGGAGACTCTGAAGAGTCCCAAGGTGGTATGGAGAATCACAGAGTAAGGGGACTGAGCGTGATAATGTAATAGCTTGAGTCTGTCTTTCTCTTCTTATAAAGCCACCAGTTTCCCTTTCATGATAATCCCTTAATCCATGAATGGGTTAATCCATTAATGAGGACAGAGTCCTCATGATCCAATCACCTCTTAAAGGCACTCCCTCTCAATACCATCACATTGGGGATTAAGTTTAAACATGAGTTTTGGAGGGGACATTCTAACTATATCTTAAAGTGGTGAAAATGTGTGTCTTCGGATTTGGTTAAAACGTAACAAATGTTCAGAAATCTGTTTCATGGGTTGAAATTTGCTGCTAATCCAGGGCTTTAAAGAGAAAGTGGTATGAACAGAGGAGACATACAGAATGTGTCGGCTTTGTTGTTAAAAATTAAGTAGGTATAGATACCATTTAAAATCATCTCATTTAACATAGGATTGCTTAGATGAGTATGAAGAAAGGAAGAATTGTGGGAATAGCAAAACATCTAATTTAACAGTAACATACCATTAGAGAAAGATAGGTGAGAAAAATGAGAAGGAAGGTGGTACTTTTTAATCTAAAATATTCCCAAATTAAGCTCTGTTCACTTCCTCTTCCTACTCAGGAATTGGATAAGCTCATACATGAAAACAGTTTGACCTTTAGGAAGGAAAAACCCTGATGTCCTCAGTTCCCTTCGAGTTCGAAACAGGCCTGAGGCATACCTACCCATCTTGCATATACACTGGATTTGTAGTAAGCACAGCTAACGATTGTCACTAGTGGGTCCAGCTCTAATAATCAGGGACCTTTGTCCACAGGTTTGTCTCTTTCACTTAAAATAGAGTGAAGCAAAATCGAATTTATTGACTGTATCCTCCTCAGGCTTCAGAAAGTTCACTTAAAGTTGGTATTTCTTCAATTAAAAAAACATTTTGTTAAAGACACTATTAGAAATATTAGTGGTCTGTCACTTCTTGGGCTGTTGCTATTTTCTAAAAGTTAATGTTATATAATTTGAATTGCTTTAAAATAAGAAAGTTGTATAAATAGTAGAGTTGGCATAGTGCCTTTTTCATTTTCCTGTTTAATAGTTTTAGTTTATATTAGTGAGAGAGATAGATTATTCAGTAGTAGTAAATTGGCAATGTATTATAAGTGGTAAATTCGTCTTTGGAATGAAAAAATTAGGATCTGAAAGTAGCATTCAAAGCCACTAACCTTTGACTCAGCATTAGCCTTTTGCTGAATTTCTTATATCAGTAAGAAGTTGAACAGATTCAAATCTGATAGATTTTCAGCTCTAGTATCTTTATTTTTAGGTGAACAGGCAATTTTAAGTGAATAGAGAGGCATGAAGCTGGGTGTAGCACAAGAGCAAGAAGTGACCACATCGAATTGTTAAAAGAAAATGTAATAAAATGTACATTGATTGAAGAAAAGTATATTTTTATTAAAGAAAAAAGTTTTGGTTAAAATTTGAAGTGGACCAAATGAGAGAGCTTGAATAACTATCCAACAACTGCTGCTGCTTAATTGCAACTAAGCTAAGATTTACAATGTGCTGCTAGGCACTGTTTATGCTTTTATTTTTCATATCCTAACAAGTTGTAGGTACTATTACTGTTATTAGTCCCATTTCAAAAATGAGGAAGTGGAGGCTATTAGAGAAATTAAGTGATTTGCCCAAGGTGACTTAGTTTATAAATGACAGAGCGCAAAATCAGCACAGGAGAAAGAAATAGCTTTCTTAACACTTATGTTATCATCTTTGCTCAGACTGTGTCTTGTTTTAAGTATGAACTGATTTGCTTGGAAAAAAAAAACATAATTAGTATGACAACCTTTGGAAATTCCTAGTTCTTCTTTCAATTAAATAATTTGAATAATGAAAACAAATTACATAGCCTGGAAAGTGAAGCTATCTATGAGTAAACCCTTGAGTGTATTAACATACAGGTATATCCATCTGGAATTGTGCCTATCTGAAACAAATTGCATGGGTATTAAAGTTTCCTGTAAAGTTTTTTTAAAGTGGTGAAACATTTTTTATGTTTGTAAAATTTTCAGAGGAGCAAAGTTGAAATTTTTTATCTAAAATTATCATTCCTCTGCCACTACCACCACCTTTTATGTCTGGTTGTTTTTGATCTAATAGAAATTCAGATTGAATTCTTTCTTATTTTTTTTTTCTGAGACCAAGTCTTGCTCTGTCGCCCAGGCTAGAGTACAGTGGTACGATCTCGGCTCAGTGCAACCACCGTCTCCCAGGTTCAAGCAATTCTCCTGCCTCAGCTTCCCGAGCAGCTGGGACCACAGGCGTGTGCCACCATGCCTGGCTAATTTTTTTTTTTTGTATTTTTAATGGAGCTGGGGTTTCACCATGTGGCCAGGCTGATCTCAAACTCCTGACCTCAAGTGATCCACCCACCTCAGCCTCCCAAAGTGCTGGGATTACAGCCATGAGCCACGGTGCCCAGCCAGATTGAGTTCTTTGAGGGGTGAGAAATATATAAAATTAAATAATCTTAATAGAATTTTTCATTTGTTCTGTCTCACCCCACCCCTACTTCCTGAGGAGAATTACATGAGAATAATTGGAATAGAACATTGTTTTCAATTTCTCACTGAGGCAGAAACATCCCCTTCTTCCTTAAAGATTTCTGTGGAAGGTGATTTTAGCACTTTGGAAATAGAACATATGGAAGCAGTCTCCATTTGCTCAGAATAATAATCAGAAACAACCTTCTGAATTGTTATGCAGGGCTCTGATCTTGTAAATCTGATCTCTTAGAATAGGAATTGTTTTAATATTATTTCAGAAAAAATTGTAAGGTACCTTGGGACTTACTTTTTTAAGATTACCATGAAACTGTATGGTAGTTTTAGGTCTGGGATGAGCCTGTGCATTTATGTTTCATGAACTAATGTGGCAGTGTAGAATATGCTGTGTATGTGGAAACCACCTTCCTCAATTTGGTGGTTTTATATAATGGAAGTCCCATCTACCCACACACCACAGCTGTGGAAATGAAGTTACACAATGAAGTTGACAAGATAATTATAGTTTGAAGTAAAATAAGTTTGCTCAAGCAGTAAGCTTTTTAACAGATAGTACCTAAACATGTTAGGAAGTTTTACCCTTCACGTATGTAAACTTTTGATGAGTAATATTAAGACAAAGGAAATACCTTAAGATTTGAAATTGCCGTGTTTTAGGTTTAATCTTTATATGTGTTAGGATAATATCTTCATCTCTGGATTGTTTGGATTAAATGACTTAACATAAATAATTTAATAGTGTATGGCATAGAATAAGTATTTAGCAAATGTTTTCTTTTCCCCAATTCTCTTGATTCCCAATAAAAGCCATTCTTGTGGGCTTTCAAAACAGACTTGAACAGAAATCAGACAGGTTATTGCTCCCTTCCCCATAATGGACAATTAAACAGCAGTCCTTTTCCTGAACACACTTTGATGTGTGTGTGTTTGTTTCCAGTGCTTCTAATTGTTGTCTTTTCTTTCCATCTTGCATTCATTGTTTAAGGTTTACATTTTTATTGGCTCTTTTAGCAAATTGAGAGAGGCGTTTTACCATGGGCAAGCAACTTAATGCCTCCCACTGGACAGTCTTCATTTACATTTGAGCTGCTCACAGTGTGTGTCCCATGAATCACTGATGTAGGCATACCCTCAGTGTGTGTAAGCTGTTGCCCTGTTTTTGTGTTTTAGTTTCAGTAGTGGCTTTACTAGAATTTATATTGGCTAACAATATAAATTGGGTAGAACTGCTTGGGTAAAAATCCTGACCCAGTTGCTTTCTACCTTGAGCGAGTTTTCAAATCTTACTGGGCCTCAGTTTTCTGGACTGATCCGCCTTAATAGGGTTTGTGAAGATTCGATTAGTTAGCACGCTCAAGTGCTGAGGATACTTCCTCACACAGAACACTAAAAAAGTGTTAATCTTGTTCTTGAAATAATTTGTATTAATGTACATCCGGAACTTGAGTCATTTGTGTGTACCTTCCTATGGATAATATATTGGCTTCAGAAAAGCTGTAATTAAAAACCAGTATACTCTGCTTAAAGCTATTCTCGCTTTTAGCCAGCCTAAGGGGTCTTTCAGCAGGATTCAGATGAGTGTAGGCCTTTCTCTTTGCTTCTTAAATCTACCTCTTTTCACTTCCTGCTACCACCATCCTAGTTATCTTTGTTGATTGTTAGATGATTACTACCATACTGTCACCATTCTCTCTGTTCAAATATATTCTGCATTCTGATGGCAAGTTTTTATGGAAGTGAAGATTATGCCACTATCTCCTCTTAAGTGGTTAATGACTTTCCATCGATTATAAGATTAACACAAACTCAGGTGTTTGATATGTAAGACATTGTATGCAGCCTTATGCTTATGCTTAATGGTCCTACAAAACTGCACTCCTCACTCTACACAATTGTATTTTCCCTTGCCTTATCCACCACATTTCTCTTAGCCAGGAAATGCTTTCTCTACTAGACACCAATATCCATTGAAATCCTGTCCATTTGTAAAGCTCCTCTCAAACATAAGTGTTCTCTGTGAAGCCCATTCTGAGTCTTCTACCTGGTTTGTGGTTACTCTCCCTTTCACCCCAACTTGTAAATCCCTTCAGCAGTTTAAAGCTATGGGACTAGTTTCCATAAATTGCTTTATGGTTCTTCTCTAGAGACTGAATTTTCATGGTGTTTCATGTATAGCATGATTACTTATTTGAAAAATAGGTACAGTTGCTCAAAAGCTTTTTTTAAATTACTATTCTTATTTACATCCATTTTGTTATATTACTTTCTCCTTTTGCCTAAGCTTTTCATTAGTTTCACTGAAGTAACAGAAATACAGAATACTGATAATTAGATTTATTTTAAATGTTATATCTTTAGAATTGTCTCCAAGTCAGTCTACCAAAATTTAGTATTCGAGAAAAACAGAAAATTTCCTCCTGTTTCCTCCCTGTTGTTGAAACTGCTTCTCCAGTTAGTCAGTCTAGTTAATGTTGTCTTTCTCATTAAGTGAGATTATTTTCACATAGTAACTTAGTTAACAAAGCTGTTTATTAGTGGTGACTTTCTGATCAATGCTGGTGATTAAAAAAAAGAAAACATTTTCTGCATCTCTTATCCCTTATCTTTTTGGCAAAAATATTTTTGTGAATTATCTCCTTTTTGGTAGAGTTCAAATACTTTTAACATGTTAATTATTTCTGTAGCCTTATAGACTGCTTTTTGTTGGACTCGGCTCCTCTCAATGTTTCTATGTCTCCTACTGGAGACTTTCTGGCAACTTCCCATGTGGACCACCTTGGAATTTATCTATGGTAAGTTCTTTCATACAGTTCTGTTTTGGGATGAAGAAGATTGTATTGTCAGAGAGTTAGAGTTGCTAAAATTGTCATTTAGGCTGTTTTTAAGTGTATTAAATGGAAATGTCACAAGTTAACACAGATACTTAATTCACTGTAAGTCTGAGTGATTCAACATCTGCTTGATAATGTAGACAGCTTTGCTGAAGTATATTCTAAACCACATGATTGATTTTTGTCTGTTACATTTGGCTTTTATTTGCAGAAAGAATGAGTGATTTTTAAAAGTTTAGGAAAAGGGAGTCCCCAGCCAGGCCATGGTTTTCCTGCCAGTATCCCACAACTACTTTACGACCTTGGCCAATCCCTTCTGAACTTCAGCCTAGTTTGTATATAAAATAAGGCACAAGTATAAGCAGAATACTTTCTGAGATTTATTCTAGTTGCATGACTTTTATAACCGTGTAAAGATACTTCAAATTCTCTTTTGATGAACCTGTAAGGGACTGTCATTGCTCATAATAAATAGAACATCACCTGGGTTTAGAAAAAATTTTGTTTCTTTCCTAACTTTATATCTGTATTGGGTAAAAGAAAAAATTGATTTTTTATAAAAGAATTAATTATAAAATGTTATAATTACATTTGAAGATACAAAGGGAATTTTAATATATAATAGAAACAGACCCTGTTCACCTTAATTTGTAAAACAGAGTATGTTTTAGAATCCATGAGGCTTCAACAGTTTAGAAAAGAATAGCTATGAGCACTCACAGCAGGAGTATGGCCCTTCTCAATGAAGTACTGCTATTAATAACTTGAAACCTGAGATTCTCAATTTTTATTTTCTATTCCAGATTCATAAGGTGTGGGAAAAAGAACCTGTCCCCTAAAAGACCGGTATCTACATCTTGATTAGTCATCCATGGCTAGGGTGCAGGCTGAGTAGCAGAAATATGGCTACTTAGAGGGCCATTCTAGAGAAGGGGAATCTATGACCTTTCAGCAGCCACAAGAATATGCTCAGCATATTCGCACTCTGACTTACTCTCTGAGTTCATCTTTCCTTTTAATTTCCTTAAATAAAGGTTGATATATGTCAAAACAATATATGAAATTTACTTTACCTTATAAAATTATTATCTACTACTGGTCTGTCTTTAATATGTTTTTGTACTACATCAGGAAAGAGACTCAATAATGTATTTACACAGCTTTGTTATGATGGCATCTATGACATAAGTCAAGGCGTTTTTAAATTGATAACAATCTATCTTTGAGGTATTTTTTAACTAATAAAAGTCTGTAGTCAAATTCAAGATTGTAGAGTGTTTCTCTGAAAGAAACTTTTTATAATTTTTAAAATATTGCTTATGTTTTGATTTTTCAGGTCCAATATTTCCCTGTATTCAGTTGTTTCATTACGGCCACTTCCTGCAGATTATGTCCCTTCAATAGTCATGCTTCCTGGTACTTGTCAAACCCAAGGTAATTAGAAAATTGCAAAGTAATTTTTGAGGTGTAATATTATAAACCTAATGTAGGAGATATTGCTACCAAAGGCAAAGTTTAGTGCATTCAATCAAAGTGTTTTTTAACTGATATAAAAGACTTTGAATGACTTCATGAATTTATGCAAAAATATAATTGATGTGGTATTGATAAGCTATCAAATAGTATACCATTGAAGAAGGTGTTTTGGGTCTAGTGATGGGAGTTTTAGTTAATATGAGAAAATAAGGAAAAGACAGGGATAAGTAAATGAAATAAATGAACAGTCTACAAGGCTGCATTAAATGAACATGTTATGAAATACAGATGGATTTGGAATGAATTAAGTTGCTTTTATATGATAAAAATCTTTTGTTTTACCTGAAAAATTTTTTTAAGATGTAGAAGTATCAGAAGAAACAGTAGAACCAAGTGATGAATTGATAGAATATGATTCGCCAGAACAGTTGAATGAGCAATTGGTGACTCTTTCACTTCTTCCTGAATCACGATGGAAAAACCTTCTTAACCTTGATGTTATTAAGGTAATAATTAACATTCTTTATAGACCCTAAGCATGCATCCAGAAGCATTTTTATTTTTTTAAGCAGAGAGAACTTCTCCTACATTGAGGGCATTAGAAGAGCAATTAATATGTAAGACAGCACTGACAATGCTATTTAATCAAATATTGTTTAATATGGTATGATTATCACAAGATATTCATATATATATCAACTTTGAGAACACTCAGCAGACATTTGGATGTGGCAAAAGTTGAGCCTGTAACTACAGAGCTACTGGAAACTGATCTTTTAAAATCCAGCCTAAGAAATCACTTTTATATAAGTTTCTAAAACGAGCGGGAACACATATGGCTATTATAACATATTTCTACTGCTAGTCATTTGAGAACCAGAGAAATTCCACTAGACTTTCATTTTATTAAGTTAACCCTTTATCTCACACCACACCCTGTCAACTACTGAAAGATTTTTAGAACTTGCTGTGTCAGGGCTAGGTACATAAGTTAACATGAGCTAGGTACTAAATAATGTACCTGGAGAGTATGGTGGTGAAGAAAAAACAGCCCCTTTGTCCTTGAGGAATTTATGATTCTGCATGAAAAATGGACAACTATGGTATAGATTAGTATTTTTTAGAGTATGTTTTATGATCCCCCACTAGTGAGTAGCAAAAACTACTGAAAGGAATACAATACAGTGAAAAATTTCAGGTTACCTTTTGATCATGAATGCAAGTATTGTTTGGTGAAACTTGAGTTGGTTAGACATACACATACACTAGATCTGCTGGATGTACTTAAGTCACAGTATGGGCTGTGGTAAAAAGTTTAAGAAACACTGACTAAGTAACTAATAATTATCCTTGTAACTAATAACACAAGAAAAGAAGTGTGTGTCTTGGGTAAGGAAAGAGAAGTTTTCACATTACATTTCCTCACAGAAGTTAAAATTGCTTCTTTTTACTTGCTAACTTTTTGAGAGATTAGTCATCAGCATAAAGGTGTGCTGTCTAGGAGCATGGTGTGGAATCTCTTCATCATGCTGTCCACACATCAGCTTTAAAGGGAGTACTTTATGAAATAGTTCAAATGCAAGGCATTAATAAGTACAAATAGATTAGTGTGAGGGGAGCAATCAGAATAATGCTTAACTAATTGAGCAGAGTTTTGGGGCTACTGTGGTCCTCACTAAGATATAGTTTATACTGCATAAAATCTTATATCAAAACATAAGTGGATTATCTTTATGATAGGAATATGCTAAAACCTCTAATATTTTTATTTTCTGCTGAATAAAAGAGAATGTACCAAGACTATAGTTTACATTTGTCCTGTGGATAACTTCTATTTTTGCTTTTCTTTATAAGACTAGATAATTTCCAGGGCACTGTGGAGTTCCTCCAAAGCCTTATGGTTTTAACAAATCAGTGACCATCCCCTTTCTAACTCAAGAATGGTGAGTTAGAATGGTAACTGTGACTCATAACAGTCTCCACCATCCTAAAGGGCTCTGCTTACACTACAGTTTGCGGTGCTTTGTCCTGTGTTCATGTGATCATTTTATTTTATACCATGGCTTCCCTTTGGAATAGAATGTCTCCCTAGGGCGGCATAGCTCCTAAAGAATGGAAGAATAATGTGAGGTGAAATTGTGAGACTTCTTTATTAGGCACTTTACCATAGAAACGCTCTTCCATCAAATGTTCCTGAGAGGTGGGGCACGGTGGCGCACGCCTGTCCCACTTTGGGAGGCTGAAATGGTTGATCATTTGAGGTCAGGAGTTCGAGACCAGCCTGGTCAACATGGTGAAACCCCATCTCTACTATAAATACAAAAATGAGCCAGGCATGTTGTACGTGCCTGTAATCCCGGCTGCTCAGGAGGCTGAGGCAGGAGAATTGCTTGAACCCGGGAGGCGGAGGTTGCAGTGAGCTGAGATCGCACCACTTCACTCCAGCCTAGGCAATGGAGTGAAATTCCATCTCAAAAAAAAAAATGTTCCTGAGATACTGATATGTAGCAGTGTACTTACCAAAACAAAATTCTTTCAATGGAAATTTCAGTAGAGTTTTTGCTAATATAATTTTACTAGCATTTGAAATACTTATAAACCAGCAATCATGTTTTCTTGAATTTTAAAAGCACAAGGTACTAAAGAAAAAATTCCAGCAAAATAGAAAAATTAGAGCTGTACTTTGAAAGGAAATTATCAAATTACTTATAATGTCAGTCTGCTTCTGGCTCCAAAGTTCCTTTGGAGAAAAGTAATTTAAGAAACTCTTTTGTATTAAGCATTTATGTAAATTTTGCTTTCCATCCTGTTTTGTGAAAGAGTTTGTACTCAATACAAAAGGAAGTTTAAAATTACTTAATTGTTATATCTTCATGTAAATATATTCATATTTCAGGAAAATGAGCTGTGTTTGTCTTAGAACTTCCCCTGTGCCCTGTCACTTTTTTTCTGCCTTATCGGCAAGGGTGCTAGAGATCTGCATTGGGAAGCCCAAGTTAAGGATAGCTGTGGTATTGGTCAGAAGAGATCATATTTTAACATTCTTATGTGAAAGAGTTTCATTCCTCTTTTACTTTTTGGTATTTGTTTTAAAATTGATTTGAAATTAAATATGAGAAACTGTTGGCAAGATAATTCCTATTTTTCTTTCTCATTTTCTCTTAATCAGAAAAAGAATAAACCAAAGGAACCACCCAAAGTACCCAAATCAGCACCATTTTTCATTCCAACAATTCCTGGCCTTGTACCCAGATATGCTGCACCTGAACAAAATAATGATCCCCAGCAGGTAAAAAACAAATTAGAAGATTCTAAGTATATCGGTGTATGTTTGTATGTGTTTTCTGCACTTCTTTACCAAGACCTAGTTTTACAGATATAGGGTAAATTAATGATAGCTTTTAATTACAAACTATACATTTTTGGGTGATACTTGAATTATTTGAATAATGTGTATTTGTTTTTGTTTAAGTCTAAAGTGGTAAATCTTGGAGTTTTGGCTCAAAAATCAGATTTCTGCTTGAAACTTGAAGAAGGACTGGTAAATAATAAGTGTAAGTTGAATTATAAGATATTTTAACTAATATATTTAGCTTATTTTACTGTATATGAGGAGAAATTGAAGGAAATATCAGCGTTCTCAGTAGTTAAGATAGTAAAAATCAAAAAGATTGAAATTTTGGTTTTAATTTGACGTAATTTTAGCATTTATATTAAATAAGCCCACTAAACTCAAATGGTATTGATATTATAAAAATCTGTTGAAGATTTTTCATATATCTAACTTACTTTTTGCTATTGGAGATGGACACAGTTATTGACTATATTTATAATAAGGAGATCCTTCTTGTTGTGAATTAAATGTAAAAGTTTTGTTTGTCGTTTTTGTAGCAAGTAATTTGCAAGTCTTTTGTTTTTATTTATAATTTGTAATTCAGCGGACTGCTTAGGTGATTTCATATATTCCTAAATTATTTTATTAAAAAGGAAATGTTTTAATCTGTCTGTTGTGTTCATATATTTAAATTTCGAAGGCTACAGTCTGTAGCTAATAGTGATTAGCCATAAGAACTGTAATCATTTAAAAAACTGTAGTCACTCTCCTAATAATTTTAACTTGTCCTCTTGTTTTGATTCAAATGCTTTTGTTTTCATACCGAGATTACTTGAGTCCACATTAGCAAAAGTCAGAGAATGATACTGATGAGCCCTTGTAAATGACTTGTTATGTTTATGGGGAGACAAAGAAATAAAAACACTATTGTTTACTATATACTGAAGGATCTAAAAGTGATTAGACTTTTGTCATTGGTGATACTCTTTTTCAGAAAGCTAAAGCATAGTCATTGCAGTTCTCAAATGACTCATAAAAATAGCTGTAAGTGTACTGAGTGTGTTTTCCTAGGGTGCATATGAAACAATTCTTCTAGGGAAAAGAAGTAGGTTTGGGCTGGGTAAGAATAAGGGATGGGGTCTTCCCCCTCTGATTTTATATATTCTGTACTGTTAGTAATATAGTTCCTAATGATTATGTACTTTTATAACTTTATAACAATAGAAAAGAAAAATTATTTTACCTCATCAGATTCCCAATGCTAACCACTATTAATACTTTTGTATGTATCGTTATAGGCTTCTTAATTAGGATTTACTCTGAGAGAAGATATATGAGCATTTTAAAATTCTAACGTGCCTGTTGCAAGGCATTAGATTTTCTTTATTAACAGGAAAAAGGTTTAAATTACAGAAAAAAAATGTGTTTTGAGTACTTTCTCTTATATTGGTGTCATCGTTTGTACTGATTTTCAATTATTTTGGGTTTCATTCTACTACATAATATGAAAAAATTAACCCACAGGAAGAATTTCCTGTACCATTTAAATATATCCTATTTGGGGTATAAAAGGAAAACTGTAATTTTCTAAGTTAAATGATTATAATCAAGTCATAACTGGATTAAAATTTAATGCAGATGACACTGCTCTCAACCTTCTGAAAGAATCAGGCCCATCAGGAATTGAAACAGAGCTGCGAAGCTTGTCTCCTGATTGTGGTGGGTCCATAGAAGTTATGCAGAGCTTCTTGAAAATGATTGGGATGATGCTGGACAGAAAGCGTGATTTTGAGTTAGCCCAGGCATACCTTGCATTGTTTCTAAAGGTAAGTCTAATGTAAGACAGTACTGCCCAGCTTGTCTTCTTCTGGGGCAGTGCTATCTAACAGAACTTTCTGCAAAGATGGGTATGCTGTATATCCATCCTTTCCAGTATCATAGCCACTTGCCACATGTAGCTATTGAGTTCTTGAAATGTAAATAGTGTGATCAAGAAACTGGATTTTTAATTTTATAGAATTTTAATTAATTTAAATTTAAATAACCGCATGTGGCTAGTGACTACCACATTGGACAGCTAGACAGTGCAGCTTGGGAGTCTTGTTTTGTTTTTTTACTCAACTGCACAATAATTTTGACTTTACCCCCTGACATTTTTATGCTATCTGCTTGATCCAATGTGCTGAACCATTAACTTTTCTTTTTTTAGTGGTTAGTTACATTTTGGAAGTTTTTTGTGATTATGAATAGAAAGTTGGGTTTGTTTGTTTTTTTTTCTACTACTGAAATCAAAATGTTCACTTCTATCATTATTAAAGGAGTTTTGATCATTTGACAATAAGACTGTTACTTTTATGATTAATATAGTGGTGAACTCATGTTTTGAGGGTCTACTTTAGTGGTATAATGTGTTGAAGGAGGTAGATGATGCCGATTTTTGGTGATAATAGATTTGATTCTTTATCCCATTTATACCTAAAATGAGTTCACTTGATCTGATTATTTAAAAGTATCAGGACTGTCCTTAGGTGGAGAGGAGTGATGACCACTTTAATTCTACCAAGGAAGTCACAGTATCATAAAGGACCTTATAATAAAAAAAGTTTGATAGAGGAGGGGAAAATGGGAGATAGTAATAAACCAGCGCTTAAGAAAACAAATATTCACCTAGTGTCTTTTGTGGTTCCTTGGTAGAAAAATTGAATCCAGATTAGGTAAAATTTTAATTTTCTTAAATGTTCAATCATCATATTTTTCTTTGCAGTTACACCTTAAAATGCTTCCTTCAGAGCCAGTACTCCTAGAAGAAATAACAAATTTGTCATCCCAGGTGGAAGAAAACTGGACCCATTTGCAATCACTCTTCAATCAAAGCATGTGTATTTTAAATTATCTCAAAAGTGCTTTGTTGTAAAAATAAATTTGTGACTAAACAAAGACTTTCATATTAAATGGGTTCAATTGAACTCATTTCTTATTTTCCAAGTGTCAATGTGAAAAGAAAATAAATGCTAGCACTACTGACTAGTCAGTATATCTCCACTTTAAATGCTAAATACTTTCTTGAAATAAAATCGCACCTCCCGGCCAGGCATGATGGATAATGCCTGTAATTCCAGCACTTTCAGAGGCCAAAGCGGGAGGATTGCTTGAAGCCAGGAATTTGAGCCCAGCCTGGGCAACATAGCAAGCAAGATCCCATCTCTACAAAAAGTTAAAAAAATAAATTACACCTGCCTTTTGTTTTGAAGACTTAAAGAATCTGCTCAAATGATTTATTTTCTGAGTCTCTTCACATTAACTTTTATATGATTTTTAAAAAATTATTACCTGCTTATATTTTTTGAGTATCTGTTTCATATAAAGAGATGCTGCATGTTCACTGTGAAGTATTGCTGAATTAAATTGAAAATGTCAGATAAAACTGATACATGATGTAGTTATAAAAATGCTGTTATGAAGAAAAAAGGAATGCTTTTTTCCTCGGTGGCCTTTGATAAAAATATGAATGATTGACTCTCAGAGTTGGAGGATAAACTAATCATCTTCTAGCACAGCCCTGTTGTGTTGCAGGAGAGGAATCAGGCTAAAGTCTGCTGGTATTTCAGTGACAGATTAAAACTTTCTAACAGTGGCCTAGTGCTTTCTCCATTGTAATGTACTGAAAGGAAGTTGTTCATGGATCAGAAATGTGGGAGGCCCTTCCTTGCCCAAGGCAAGTCGCTGTAGATGGTTAAACTGATACCAAGGATAGGTAAGGGAAATTCCAAATTCCATTGGAAGATGGCCTTTTACTGACACTGCAGACATGTAGATAACAATAGTTTAATGTCCTCTGAAAAGGTAAAAATTCCATAAATCCTTGCAAACAATTTTTAGCAATATTGTTTATTGCTACCACAGCCAAGAATGGGTATTTCAAAGCCAGGGTTTTTTTTATTTTGTTTTGTTTTGTTTTTTTTTTTTTTTTTTTGGCTACACTTTTTTGGGGGGGACCTTTTAATTTGGGAAGAAAATGCTGAGTATACTTTTCTTTCACAACCATTGCAAACCCAGGTAGCCCTGGAGTTTTCTTTTTTTCTCATCATCATTGTTTTGTTTTTTTTATGGTTCAAGACTTTTGCAATACATGAATTAAAAATAAGCAGTTCTTTAAAGCATAGCGCTCTAAAAACTATTCTTAGTTTATACCCTCAAAAGTTGGGTCTTTCATGAAACACAGTGGTTTGAATATGAACACCAGTAGCATTCTCGTTCGTTGTTAGGGTAAGAGAGTTTTGTAGAATGATCTCCAAAAGAAGCAGTCCTCAAAAGGCATTTACCAGTGATATCTTTTAATATTCATGTTTTTATTTAATGATGTAAGATAGAATTAATAAACTACTAAGGAAATAAGCCAATGTGGTTATTGTACTCAATTTCGTTTTTCTTTTAGAAATGTGTATTGACTTATTAAAGCCACTGACAGAAATGTTAATCATGACTTAAGTTCTAATTTAAAAAACTATTTTCCTCTTTCCTAAATACTATATTCTAAATTGGAATATGGCAAAATCCCAATATATAATTCTATACCTAGTAAAGATTGTAAATAACTAAAACAAAATGATAAGAGCTGTGAACTGAAATTGTATTGCTTACAGAAATCATGAACCGAATTTTCTTCTCTTTTTAAAGTGAGCATAAAGACTTAAGTGTATTGTTACCAGAGATATATTTAGATAGAATACATCATTTTGGCAGGTAATCTTCTAGAACCTTTCATGTACTGTTTCCATCAAGGGAGGGAAAGAAATAGAAAATATAATTTTATCTATATTTTCCTTAAAATATATCAATCTGTGCACACTCTTTCAGTTTTTTAATTACTCATGTAATATATGACTACATTTTGCTTGTGTGCTTTTTGAAAACCATCTTCAGTCCCAATATCCTCTGTAGAAGTAATAGTTTTAACTCTCCTAGATCTTCTTTTAGAGTGTTTTTATGAGTGTTTAATGTAGGAATGTGTATATATTATCTACAGCCACAGGAAATGTATAGTTACGATTTTTACATACGTGTATGTATATTATTGTACAACTTGCTATTTCTACTTGGGAGTTTTTTATTTTGGTACATTCACATTTACCTAATCTCTTGTGCACTGTCCAACAGTACTTTGCCTATAATAGACACTTAAGGAAGTTTTCCTTCTTTTTATTCCTTTATAATTACAAACAATGCTGAAAGGAACATCATCCTACATGAGCCCTTTTTGTACATATAAGGCTCTCTCTGTGGTATATGCTTAGGATTTGAATTTCAGGCCAGAGTATAACCATTTTTAATTTGAAGAGATACTTCCATTTGGGTTCCAGAATGGCTGTATCAAGTTACAGTTCCCCTGAGCAAGATATGAGCATCTGCTTCCCCATGTAATTAATGACACTTGCTATTGGATTTTTGTAATTTAATTACTCTGAAAAAATTATTTTGGTTTTAAATCAGAAATTTCTCACTAGTGAAGATGGACATATTTTTGTATGTTTATTTTAGAACATATAAACATTTGTTAATTTTCTTTTTCCTCTCATTTTTCTATTGAATGATTTGTCCTTTTATCTCATGGATTTGTTAGGAGTTCTCTTGTATTTTCTGTATTTTATGTCTGTTGCCAATGTTTTCTCCTACTTAGCCATTTGGCTTTAATTTTACATGGTGTCTGTTTAAATAAATGTTTTATATTTGTATACAATCAAATTGATTAATTTTCATGACTTATTTCAGGATATAAAGCAAATTATTTTCTAAGACATTTACAGTGTATGTTTTCCTATGTTTACATGTGCTCATTTCACGTCATGTATTTTCCTCTACGACATGTTTCTGTGTGAGTAGTTAACATGTAGATCTTTAGAATTGATTTTTCTGAAGAGTGAAACAGCGCTGCTTCCAATATCTGTTCAAAATTCATTTATTGAAAAGTCCACTCATATGTCTGATTTGAAATGCTGTTTCATTATGTGTTAAATTCTTTCACTGAGCTCTTCCATATTCCTAGTAAATGATGCATTACTTTGGTATGTTCTCAGATTTGGGTAAAGCCTTCCTCATGTTCTATAAAAATTGGTTAACTGCTGGTGAGCACATCTCTTGAAGTTTTGATATGGGTTGCACAACATTTATAGGACTGATTTGGAGAGACCGACAATACCGAGTGCAGTCCTCCCTTGGTATCTAGTTCCAGGACCCCTGTGGATACCAAAATCCAAGCAATGCCCTGCAGATCATGGGACCTATGCATATGAAAAGTCGGTCCTTGTATTTGAGGGTTTTGCATCCCTCAAATACCATATGTTTTATTTGTGTTTGGTTGAAAAAAGTTTGCATATAAGTGAAACTTAGCATTTCAAACCTGTGTTGTTCAAAGATCATTTGTATTTCTCTTCAAGAACAATGAATGTCTTCATTAAATCATCTTTTGTGGGAGAGCTTTTGGTTTCATAGATTTTCATATATATATATGATATAATAAACACTTTTTGACATTCTGGGAGTTTTACTTTTGTTACTATAAGGAAATATCCTTTTCTAATGCATGTTATAATTGGTTGTTTCTGTTTGTGGTAAAATGACTTAATTTTTATATTCCAATCCGTCATGACACTGCAGAACCCTTTGTCAATACAGTCTTACTAGAAAATCCAAGAGAATTCTATCTTCTGCAATTGATGAGACTGTATTTCCTATGCAGTATTTGTGTACTTTGAAGTTTTTGTGCATTAGAAAGTTTTATACTTTAAATACATGCCCTTTTTAAAGATAAAAGCACTGAGAATAGAAAATACATAGACTTAAATATATATTTTGTATTGCGTGAAAATAAATATGATTTAAAAGCTGTTGTAACCCCCAAAACATTTTAAGCCTTGAGAGTGATGTGACTGTGATCTGAGTCACATATGGCTACTTCTTTTTCTTAGATTATAGCCCATCAACTCACTTTCTTATTTTGTTTGTTCTGTACAATGACTAGAGATACTTAAATGATGTCAAAGACAAAAACCTCTTGCCTTCTTAATGACCTTGTTATAAATTTCCCCTTTATTATCCTGCCTCGCTTGGACCAGATGACAGAAAACCCACGAGTATTTCACCCTCTATAAAAAAATGTTAAATGTACCCTTCCCAAAAAGAAATACCTATAACCAATTCCTGTAACTATTTTCCAACCTTGTATGAATAATGTTGTAATCCTGCTAAAGGAAACTCCTCTGTCTCTGCCTACATAAATGAAACCTTAACTTCTCTACTTTAGAATACTGACTCTGTATCTTTGGAGTTGATGTTTCCGGGTGGGCTATCCTCAAATTTTGCACTTGTATAAGCTCTTTAAATTAGATTCATACCCTTTTGATTATTTTAGGTTGACGTAAAGAGCTTGTTAAACAAAAAATTGGGGAAGGCCATGGTTTTGCACTGAACTTCTGCACTGGGTCCCAGCAGACCAGAACAAACTAATGGAGCTGCTCATACTAAATGCCACATAATCAAACTGAAACTTCAAGGAAGCAGATAAATTCCAAAGCAGACCATTGTTTCCTTTGAAAACAGATTTCAGTCTACCTGAGTCAGCACAATAAGGAAGTCCCCTCTACTTTAATCCTTACAAAAAAGTAACCCGATGTTAACCTTTTTTCTCTATTTTTCTGTTTCCCACCTTAAAAAACCCCTTGTTCTGCTATTGTCCAGTGGGATTTCTCATTCTACTTTATAGAATGAAGGGCTTCCCTGATGAATGGTGGATAAAAGGCAATTAAATTTATAACTAAATATGTTGTAATTTTGTCTTCTGACAAGCTAAATTAGCATTATATAGTCCAATCAAAGTGCCCAGAGAGAGCCAGGTCACTGAAACAAGATTTTACTAATGTCTCTGCCTGCAAGGCCAATGTTAATATTTTTTAAATTATACTTTCTAACATTATTTAGGACTCTTGACTGCAAATTACAGAAATGTTATGTTTAAACAGGAATGGAAATTTAAGAATTCAGGAATACTGGATTATCTAATAATATCTTTGTTTTCCGGAATTTTTTTGTGATCTGTGACACTGAGAAATTCAAGAAATACTCTTTGAATTCTGCTTTTCTTTGCAGAGTGCTGCATTCCTTTGATTGTGTATTTCTTCTGCAACTAGTGCCTGCCAAAGGCAGTCAACAATCCACTTGATGTGCAGCCTCTTCCTAAAGTCCAAGATTGCACACTGGAGACTAAAAACCCTCCCTTCTGGGTCCTAAGTCTTCCCCCTCACTTATGACACTTCCCTTTCTTCCTCTGAAGGAAGAGGAATCCTTCTGTTTTCTTTTTGTAATCTTTTCACCATCCTCCAGGGACAAAAAAGCTTCGCCCCACCCCCACACACCCCCACCTTCCTGTCTTCATGTTTCTTATAACTCTGTTATGCTAAAGGGAAGATTACATTTTCAGAGGATGGAAAGCTATCATCTCACTGAAAAATCCCATTTTTGAATGGTAGATTATGAGTATTCGCATAGTATTTCACCTTACAGCCCTGCAAAACAAAATGGTAGTCCCCTTCTAATATGACAGTTGCGTCAAATCTCAGAAAAGGTGATACGTTTGGAAAGGCAAAGGAAGAAGACCACATCACCCTTTAAAGAATTATTCTTACACATTTTTGGTCATTATTAGCCTTATTTAAGCTCTGCAGACTCTCTTGTTTTCTGCTGTTAATAGTTTGAGATCCTGAAAGTCTCAAGCCAAAATTGTTTCCAAGAGTAATCTCACTGATTCAGATATAAATTTAATACAATATAAGGCATATACCTTGCAGTCCTTCCCCCATTAAGGCTAAGCCATGGGACTTATTGCAAGGGAAAGGGAGCAGTGATATTAGAGAAGGTCACAGTATAGGTCAGTAGTTCTCAAAGTGTGTTTCCCCAATTAGCAATATCAACATCACCTGGGAACTTAGAACTGCAGGCCCCACTGCATAACTACTGAAATAAAAACTCTGTGGGTAGGGGCCAGCAATATGTATTTTAACAAATCTCCGTTTTGGTGACTTAATATAACTGAACTTAGAACTGGAGAAGGGAAAAAAGAAGGCTATGAGGCATAAGGTTCTCACCTATGTTCCCACTTGGTTCTAGGAAGAAACCTGAAGGAAGGAAAGTGAGCAAAAGGGTTAAAGATTTTGTAGGCCCTGGCCCCAGATCTAGAAGTAAAAGGGGAAGTGGGGATGGAGGGTTAGTTGGAGAAATCACTGGGTACATTAAGTGGAACTCCAGAGTTGTGGGGCTAGGTCCTGACTCCCCTGGAGGAGACTGGCTCACAAGCCCTCTATCCTGACACATGGTGGCCATAGTCAAGGGGTGTGACTTAACTTAGGTGGCAAGAAATGACTGTGACAGCTCACAGAGTTTCCATGACTGTGGGTGACACTGGGAGGGATCTGGAGGTTTCCACCTGCTCCCTGAGGGGAATGAGGGAGGCAGCTGGGAGTAGAATGCCAACAGGCCTGCCATAGAGCCCCAGTGGCAGAGTGTGGACACACCATCCTGGCCCAGGGCCCAGCTGGAAGATAGGCAGAGACTCAGGGCACAGGCTAAGTGGGACTGTGGTCCTGGTCGGGGGAGGTGAGAAGAGGGTCTGGCAACACAGAAGGCACTCACACATAGTGAACCTTCCTTTGTGAGGAAAGAAACAGACATGGTAGGGAATTTGAACATAAAATCTCACAAAATATTTATCCAAAAGAGACTAGGCTAATGTGAAAGAGACTGAGATACTTTTTAATTGGTAATTTTGTTCCCTACCCTAAATCTAGTAATATGAGGGCTCAAGATGAAATTTAATCATTTTGATATATAAAATATTCTTTAGGGATCTTTCTTTCAGTATCTGTGTACTATATGCTGAATTTCCCAATTCCAACCATGCTAATTTCCATTTCCAGCTGAATCTACTAAATGTCTCTGAAAAGGTACGTAAAATATTCAATACTTAGTTTTATCTCTGTGTTGTTAGTGATTTATTGACACTGCAGACATGTAGATAACAATAGTTTAATGTCCTCTGAAAACACAAAAATTCCATAAATCCTTGCAAACAATTTTTAGCAATATTGTTTATTGCTACCACAGCCAAGAATGGATATTTCAAAGCCGGGGGTTTTGTTCTGTTTTGTTTTGTTTTGTTTGGCTGCCCTTTTTTTCCCCCACTATCTCTGGCTAAATTCCAGTCTTTACTATTAATTTATTTTTTCTCATTTGAACTTTCCAAGTATGATGTCTGCCTCATAACTCTGGCCCTGTTTCCTCACTCCTGGCCACACTCTATTCTCTAGAGTAAATATGATGCAAGCCCATTGGGTGACTGAATGGTGGGTGAGAGTGAGTTATCGAAGCCTGGACTCACTTAACCATGTGGATTTAGTTTACAAGAAGCATCATATACCAAACAAAGGAGTCACATACCCGACAGCCTCCCCACCCAGCTCACAGCGCTGTGATCACTCCTCTTTCCTTCCTTCAATCATTGATTTATTCATTCTATCTTCAACAAATACTTAGCTCTGACCCTGTCTCAGATGCTGTTCTATGCTCTTGAGATACTTTAGAAAACAAAACATATAAAAATCCCGGTCCTATGAAGCTTGTATTTTAGCTCATTATTCTTTTATATTCTTTTGCTTAGCCTTTTGACTTGCTCTCTTTTAGAATCAAGATAAAGAAGAAGATGTTTCTAGGCCTTCACACTCTGCAAAGAGTGACTGCCAGGAGTTTCTCCCTTTATTTCAAAATGTGGCATACGTGGGTGTGTGTGTGTGTGTGCACGCACACGTGTGTGCACGTGTTTGTGTGTGTGTACAGGAATTCCCAAATAGCCTCCATATGAAAAAAAAAATGCCTGCATGCTGCTTCACTACCATTCTTGTTTTAACAAAGGGCTTGGTAACTTAGAAAAGCAGTGCATATGAAGAAGTAAAACAATTAAGGAGGAAAAAAAACTGGTTTTTTTTTTCCCTTGGAAGACTCCACCTCTCCATTCTCTGGCTGATAATAGATGGCCAGGCATAGGGAAGCAGAGACTAGGAATTAGCCTTGTAGTTTGTCAGACGTGGCTCCTGGAGCTGAGGGCCACCCCCCAGGGGCCTGGGTGCAGTTTTAGCTCTTGGCACACTGCGTGGAAAGGTGGAGGCAGGGGGCAGAGATGAGATGTTCATCTCTGTTGCTGTGGTGACAAGGAGGTGAAGTGAAGGTACTTCAAAAATGTAAGCTACAACACGTGAGGAAAAAGGTGCCTGTGGAACTGTGTGCTTCTCTCAACCTGTCCCATTCCCTCCTAAATAATCGTGTATGGGGTATGGCAAGATGGAGATCCCAACACACATGAGACAGGGTGCCTGACCCCCAGTCCAGGAGATGAGCCTTGCAGGAGGAAAGGCAGCACACATCTGCCTTCTCGGAGCCAGGGCAGGCTGCACAAAGAGGACAACTGCCATTGATCTTGAACAAAGGGGGTGGGAGGGGCATGGTATTACAGAGAGAGACAGGACAGCATTCAGAGATGAGGCCATGAGAAAGGCAATAGAAAGTCAGGGATGGCCAAAGTCATGCCAGCTGCTACCTCTGGGAATGTGTAGAGGTCAGTGGCCCTGGAACTGGGTACAAAGGAGACTTTATCTGCAATGTTTTGTGTAATTTTAAATTAAACAAAATAAGATAAAACATCAACTACTATTGATTCTAGGTGTTGATGTCTATATATTTTCATACTCTATATTTAGTTTAGTTTTTTTTAATTGTATTTCAATCTTTTTTTTTGTCTAGCTTTTCAAATAGAATGTATTTACACATCTCTAACCATTCATCCATCCATCCATTCATGCTACTTCGTAGATATATCTTGTGTGGCTGACCAGATCTTATTTCCTCTGGAAGGTGGCCTTTGGAAGCTGCAATTGTGTTTGCCACCCAAGTCACTGGACCTTTCCCAAAATTCCAGGCCACCACTTGACCTAACCACATTCATTTCGATGCAAGTCCCTGGCATTGGGTCTTTATGAGGCGCAGATGGTCTCCAGGTCAGCACTGAGCCCTGTCTCTTTCTCTCTGTGCCCAGCTGGCATGAATTGGAAGGCAGAGGAACCGAGGGAGTTCTGAGTCACCTAGCTTGACTGAGTCAGAGATTTCTCCAGGGAGTGGTGGAAAGGGTGGCTCTTGGCAGAAGAGATCCTCATCTCAATGGTGTGGTACTTGCCTGAGATTTCCCAGAAAGCACGAAGAACATCAGGGTGGAGAGTTTCACTCTCAGCGACAAATAGAAATAATCCACTTGATTCCACATGAACTAAGTGTTGAAGAAAAACATAATCTCACATTAGCTTATCTCTTTACCCTTTACCAGAACTCAAAGATGGAAATTACCATTCTCATCCTGCTGGGAAATGACAATCATGCAGCAAATACACCATACTTTGTGTCACTTGAAACCAGTTTTATCTATTAAAAAAATACTAATCCTTAAAATATTATTCCTTTATGAAACACAAGGCCTTTTTTTTTCATAGCCTTTGTTGCAGCAAAACTCCTCAATAAATAGCACTGCCCAGAGACAGTTAGGGTAAACTTAGATCATGCAGGAAAGTGTCTGTCACTGTTTGCCTGCATCTCTAATGCCCTTGATGGGTTGGTTTCCTCCTTTTGTGCCAGTGTGGAAGTCTCATTCCCATTGTCTGCCATCAGCTAAATGTCCAAATTTGCTATAGAGCCCATCTCAATTTTGTGCACACAAGTGTTCCATAAATACCTAATTTAGTGGTTTTCTAAGAGTTGTCTGTCCAGTGTTCCCTAGGGGTCCTTCAAATATTTCCAGATGGTCAGCAAAATATGATTAAAAACTATTTTCATAAAACTGTGTTTACTCACAGTATTTCAAGTACAGGAAATATCAACAGATATAATTAATGTCACACTGAGATCCTCAATAATTTTTTAGAAAGTGAAGGGCTCCTTAGACAAAAAATGTTGAGAATCATTGCACCAATTGATTGGTTAGAGAAATACATAGCCTTACCAAGAGGTGCTAGCATATACTAATACCCAATGCTTATCTCTGAAAATGCCTTAAATCTGATGTTCCAAGACATGGAATATGAATCAGTACTGCTCTTCATCCTCTGAGAGAGCCAGTGAGGTCAGGGCTGGTCTCAGGTTTTAAAACTCCATTCAACCTCAGATTTAGTTGGATCAGTCACCTATTGAGTTCAATTAGGACTAGATGGCAAAGTTTAGAATAAAACAATTAGGTCATAAACAAAAATTTTTTAATTAACATAATGAAATGTATTACTCAGAACCAGTTTTAGTTATTTTCAGCAGAAACTACTATTTAAGTACATTAAGGGTTTTTCCAAGTCCCTTGAAGACTTCGTGGCTGAGAACTACGTCTAGAACATCCCAAGGTTCACATGGCTGATACTGGCCCTAGATACTGGAACCTCTGTCCCTGATGCCTCACTGAACAGAGTCCACACAGCATCTGCTTCTCCATGGCACTTACAACTCCTATTGTAATGTTAGTGCATCCATATTGTAATGCATATGTAGTGCATAACATATTGTAATGTTAGTGCATTAGAACAGTCTAGGGCTCAGGCCTATACCCAATGCTGAGAGACGAAGGTTTTGGGTTCTGAGTTCAGGAAGCAGAGACTGTAAATGGGGAATTCCCCAAGCATAGAATAGTGTTCACAAAGTGTTGGGAGTCAAAAGTAGGACAATCCTCCCCTTGGCTGCCCAGCTTCGCAACACACTGGGAAGTTTTCACACTTAAACTTCTAGTAGCAAAAACAGCAGCAGCTATAATAAAATACTGTCCTTCACAGAGGGAAAAACATCTTGCTCTGTGTTTTCCTAAAAGGAGAAACAATTCTCTATTAGTTAAGAATATTTTCTCAGCCAGTGCAATGTGGTGAAACCCCATCTCTACTAAAAATACAAAAAATTAGCTGGGCGTGGTGACGTGCACCCATAGTCCCAGTTACTAGGGAGGCTAAAGCAGAAGAATCGGGAGGCGGAGGTTGCAGTGAACTGAGGTAGAGCCACTGCACTCCAGCCTGGGCAAAAGAGTGAGACTCCATCTCAGAAAAAAAAAAAAAAGAATATTTTCAAGACCAAGTAACAACTTAGTAACCTTGATTTTCACAAGTAGGAATTAATTTTTCTCGTACATCAAGAAATCTAAAAGTAGTTTTTCACAATGTTGCAATTACTCAATGGTCCTGAGAAAGACACAGGCTTTTTTTCCCCTACTTCCTCTGTTTCATTTTTACAACAAGACTTTTTTTCCTTATGTGTGTCATTTTACAGTCTCAAGCTGGCTACCACAGCTCTAGACATCAGACCTCAGAAAACCTAAATCAGGAAATAAAAGAGGCATGGGAAAGATACCTCTGGCCACTATCTAAACACAAAATCAGGATTCTGTTAGAAAGAAAGGGAAAGCAGAGCTCGCTGTTACATTGGCAGTAGACTCTGTCTTCTAGTTCATAAGGCCCAATACTCCTTTTACACCATTCACTGTCTATAGAGATAGTTTTCATGCATGTTATACATGGGATGGTTTAAACTAAAGACATTTTGATGTATACTTTATCAATGGCAAAATATTTTGGTGTGAAATAAAACAAGTTGGTACAAATACTCCAACTTGTTCTGGCTTGGGAACCTGGTTCAGCATCTCTAAGTAGCTGTAAGAGTTGAATGATGCTTCTAGAATTGGAAGTAATATGGCTCATAGAAAAAAGGTGACATATTGGATGAAAATGGAAACCATCATTCTCAGTAAACTATCGTAAGAACAAAAAACCAAACACCGCATATTCTCACTCATAGGTGGGAATTGAACAATGAGATCACATGGACACAGGAAGGGGAACATCACACTCTGGGGACTGTGGTGGGGTCGGGGGAGGGGGGAGGGATAGCATTGGGAGATATACCTAATGCTAGATGACACATTAGTGGGTGCAGCGCACCAGCATGGCACATGTATACATATGTAACTAACCTGCACAATGTGCACATGTACCCTAAAACTTAGAGTATAATAAAAAAAAAAAAAAACACCATAAATAAATCAAAAAAAAAAAAAGAAAAATATTAAACAAGTAGAGATAATATGGCAAACTGACATTCATAGCCATCTGATTCAAAGAGAACCTGTTTTTAATGAAAAACTGCCCCAGGAAGAAATTCTTTCCTTATATATTAGTGGATGAGACAGCTACACGTAAGGATGGTATTTAAATGTGTATTGAAATAATAAATTAATATCATTTCCCAAAAAAAAAAAAAAAAGAAAAAAGGTGACATATTAAAACCAATACCACAGAAATACAAAAGATGATTCAAGGCTACTATGAACACCTTTACGTGCACAAACTAGAACATCTAGAGGAAATAGATAAATTTCTGGTAATATACAACCCTTCTATATTAAATCAGGAAGAAATAGAAACCATGAACAGACCAATAACAGGCAGCAAAACTGAATCAGTAATTTTAAAAATGTCCCCCCGCCAAAAAAAAGAGCCCAGGACCAGATGCATTCACGGCTGAATTCTACCAGACATTTAAAGAAGAATTGGTACCAATTCTACTGAAACTATTCCAAAAGAAACAGGGAATCCTCCCTAAATCATTCTATGAAGCCAGTATCACCCTAATACCAAAGACAGCAAAGGCCATAACAAAAAAAGAAAACTACAGACCAATATCCTTGATGAGCATAGAGGCAAAAATCCTCAGCAACATACTAGCTAACTGGATCCAACAGCACACCAAAAAGATAATGCGTCATGACCAAATGGGTTTCATCCCAGGGATGCAGGGATGGTTTAACATATACAAGTCAATAAATGTGATACATCACATAAACAGCATTAAAAACAAAAACCATATGATTATTTCAATAAATGGAGAAAAAGCATTTGATAAAATCCAGTATCCTTTACAATAAAAGCCCTCAACAAAATAGGCATAGAAGGGACTTACCTCAAAGTAATAACAGCCATATATGACAAACCCAGAGCCAATATCATACTGAATGGGGAAAACTTGAAAGCATTCCTCTGAGAACTGGAACAAGACAAGGATGCCACTTTCATCACTTCTTTTCAACATAGTACTGGAAGTCCTAGCCAGAGCAATCAGGCAAGAGAAAGAAAGTACATCCAAATTAGAAAAGAGGAAGTCAGGCCAGGCGCAGGGGCTCCAGCCTATAATCCCAGCACTTTGGTAGGCTGAGGCAGGCGGATCATGAGGTCCAGAGATCAAGACAATCCTGGCCAACATGGTGAAACCCCATCTCTACTAAAAATACAAAAATTAGCTGGGAGTGGTGGCATGCACCTGTAGTCCCAGCTACTCAGGAGGCTGAGGCAGGAGAATTGCTTGAACCCAGGAGGCGGAGGTTGCAGTGAACCAAGATTGTGCCACTGTACTCCAGCCTGGTGATAGAGTGAGACTCCATCTCAAAAAAAAAAAAAAAAAAGAAAAGAAAAAGAAAGAAAGAAAAGAGGAAGTCAAACTGTCACTGTTTGCTGCTGATGTGATTGTATATCTAGAAAACTGTAAAGGCTCACCCAGAAAGCTCCTAGATCTGATAAATGAATTCAGTAAAGTCTCAGGATAAAAAACTCAATGTACACAAATTAACTGCACTGCTATACACCAACAACGACCAAGCAGAGAATCAAATCAAGAACTCAATCCCCTTTACAACAGCTGCAAAACAAAAAAACAAACAAACAAACCTTAGAAATATACTTAACCATGGAGGTGAAACATTTCTACAAGGAAAACTACAAAACACTGCTGAAAGAAATCATAGATGACAAACAAATGGAAACATCCAATGCTCATGGATGGGAAGAATCAATATTGTGAAAATGATCATACTGCCAAAGCAAGCTACAGATTCAATGCAATTCTTATCAAAATACCAGCATAAGTCTTCACAGAACTAGAAAAAACATCCTAAAGTTCATATGGAACCAAAAAGGAGCCCACATAACCAAAGCAATACTAAGCAAAAAGAACAAATCTAGAGGTATCACATTACCTGACTTCAAATCATACTACAAGGCTATGGTTACCAAAACAGTGTGACATAAAAATAGGCAAGTAGACCAATAGAACAGAAGAAAGAACCCAGAAATAAAGCCAAATACTTACAGCCAACTGATCTTCAACATAGAATACAAAAACATAAATTGGGGAAAAGACACCCTATTCAATAAAGAGTGATGAGAAAACTGGCAAGCCACACGTAGAAGAATAAAACCAGATCCCCATCTCTCACCTTATACAAAAATCAACTCAAGATGGATCAAAGACTTAAATCTAAGACCTGAAACCATAAAAATTCTAGAAGGTAACATCAGAAAAACTCTTGTGGACATTGGCTTAGGCATGGCTAAGACTCCAAAAGCAAATGCAACAAAAACAAAAATAAATAAATGGAACCTAATTAAACAAAAAGCTTCTGCACAGCAAAAGAAATAATCAGCAGAGTAAACAGACAATCCACAGAGTAGGAGAAAATATTTGCAAGCTATGTATCTAACAAAGGACTAGTATGAAGAATCTACAAAGAATTCAAACAAATCGACAAGAAAAAACAACCCCATCAAAAAGTGGGCAAAGGACATGAATAGACATTTCTCAAAAGAAGATGTACAAACAACTAACAAACACATGAAAAAATGCTCAACATCATTAATCATCAAGGAAATGCAAAATCAAAACCACAATGAGATACCTACCACCTTACTCCTGGAAGAAGGGCCATAGTTAAAAATCAAAAACAATAGCTGTTGGTGTGGATGTTGTGAAAAGGGAACAAGGTTACACTGCCGGTGGGAAAGTTAATTAGTACAACCACTATGGAAAACAGTATGGAGATTCCTTAAAGAACTAGAAGTAGAACTACCATTCGATCCAGCAATTCCACTGCTGGGTATCTACCCAAAGGAAAAGAAGTCATTATACAAAAAAGACACATGCACATGCATGTTTATACCAACACAATTCACACAGCAAAGCTATGGAACCAACCTAAGTGCCCATCGACTACGAGTGGGTAAAAAAAATGTGGCATATATATATATAAAATGTGGCATATATATATATATATATATATATATATATATATATATATAATGAAATACTACTCAGCCATAAAAAACGTCTTTTGCAGCAACTTGAATAGAGCTGGAGGCCATTATTCTAAGTGAAGCAGTAACTCAGGAATGCAAAATTAAATATTGTATGTTCTCACTTGCAAGTGAGAGCTAAGCTATGAGGATGCAAAGGCCTAAAAAAAGATGGTAGGGGAGAGAGGGATAAAATACTATATTTTGGATACAGTATACACAGCTCGGGTGACAAGTGCACTAAAATCTCACTAAAGGTGCACTAAATCACCACGAAAGAACTTAACCAAAAATGACCTGTACTCAGATAACAATTGAAATTTTAAAAATGAAATTTAAAAAAAAGAAGAGTCCAGGCACGATGGCTCATGCCTGTAATCCCAGCACTTTGGGAGGCTGAAGTGGGAGGATTACGAGGTCAGGAGATCAAGATCATCCTGGCCAACATGGTGAAACCCCGTCTCTACTAAAAATACAAAAATTAGCTAGGTGTGGTGGCACATGCCTGTAATCCCAGTTACTCGGAAGGCTGAGGCACAAGAATCGCTTGAACCCAGGAGGCGGAGGTTGCAGTGAGCCGAGATCGCGCCACTGCACTCCAGCCTGGGGACAGAGCGAGACTCTGTCTAAAAAAAAAAAGAAAAGAAAAGAAGGTGACAGTTGTGAGAGTGACCCTACTCTTTTCTATAAGCTTACTAAACAGCAGCCCGAATTCCAGGCCTCTCCCGACTTAAGGGCTGGCACCGGGTGGTCTCAACTGCTCTCGACCCCTGGTCTCAACTCTACTGATTGTCACTTATGAGTAAAGTCCCTAATAAAATAATTGTTAAAACAATGGAAAGTTAAGTTAGATTCTGGGATGCTTTGATGCTGTGGCGACCTTGAGGTTGGAGGGCCCTCTATTGATCCCATACTCATTCAGCAAGAAGAATTAAGGCCAATCTCAGGCCTAGTCTAGGATGTCTGAGGAAAGTATTGATGAGTCAGTCTTTTCATCACCTCATCTGTCGGGATGAATAGCCTGTAAAGATTGTTATTTATGGACAAATTGTATATATGTATATATTTCTAATGGACTTTATTTTTAGAGCAGTTTTAGATTCACAGCAAAATTGAGAGGAAGGTACAGAGATTTCTCATACACCCCCTCCCCTCAAACAAGCACAACCTCCCCCGTTATCAATACCCCCACCAAGGTGGTAAATTTGTTATAGCTGATGAACCTACACTGACACATCATTATCATCCAAAAATCACGCTTTAAGGATTTTTATCTTTATCCTCCGAGTAAAGATATTGAAAAGTGTTCATCAAGAGGGTGCTATCATTAGGTCCGCATTTTAAAGAGTTCAATGATTGCAGAATGAAGAACAGATTAAAGACTAGTGAAATGAGAATAAAAGTAGGGAGACCAATGAGGAATTTGGGGAAGATGATGGTGTCTTGGATCAGGTGGTAGAACAGAGACAGAGAAAACTGGATGTATTCAAGGGCTATTTATGGATTCGACTGTAGCATTTCACAACATACTACTGATCATATAACAAGGGGCTTGCAGTTTTAGTTATAACAATTAAAAAATAAAGTATAATATAATAACATACATGTTTTTTAAGCCATCAAAATGTTGTGGATAGGAAGAAGTCCAAAGGAACCCTATTCCAGGGAGACAAGTGCTTCCTAGAGAATGAAAATCAGTAGGCATTACCTTCGCTAGGGGCAACTACTGAGTCAGGCGTGGGCTGGTGAGGATTGGGCCTGATTCAAGCAGGGAGACTCTTCCTGCATAAGGTGCAGTCAGTGGAGTTTTAAATGTCTGTGTGTGGGTTAGTGAGACCAACTGGAATCTGGAGGAGTTTCAAGGCCAAGTTCTCCCGCCCACCGATTCTCCCTCGGGAGACTTGTGTGAGAGGATGTGGTAGCCCAGTAATCTGAAGGCTGGATAGTAAGTCCCTCCCAGATAGAGGGAGTTCTTGGCAACTCATTGTGCTGAGATCCCAAAGGCTTGCCAAAGGGAGGGACTTGTAATACATACAGGACTGATCTTGCACTGAAGACATTTGAAACCAGAGATAAATTGAAACTATTAGAAGTTGAAGAAAATATGAACAAACTGGATGAAAAGATGGAGAATTTTAACAGAGCTATTATAATTTCCTGACAATTACTAAAATAATATTCTAGAACTGAAAAATAAAATATAGATATTTTATTAAATATCTAAGTTAGTAAATTCATTGACCAACCTCTTCCAAGTCCTCCCTTTCCCCTTTCCTCCCAGCCTCTGGTGGCCACTATTCTACTTTCTACTTCTGTGAAATCAAGTTTAGATTCCACATATGAGTCAGTTCATGCAGTTTCTCTTTCTCTCCCTGGCTTGTCTGAATTTATGCCCTCTCGGTTTATCTATGTTGCCACAAATGACAGGATTTCATTCTGTTTTATAGCTGAATAGTATTCCACTGTATGTATATATGCCACATTTTTTTTATCCACTAATGTGCAGATGAGCATTTAAGTTGATTTCCTAATCTTGGCTATTGTGAGTAATGCTGCAATAAACAGGCAGTGCAAATGTCTCTTCAACATACTGATTTCATTTCCTTTGGATATGTATCCAGTAATGGGATTGCTGGAGATGGTACTTCTATTTTTAATTTTTTGTGAAATCTTTATACTGTTTTCCATAATAACTGTACCAATTTATATTCTCACCAATGATGTATAAAAATCCCCTTTTCTCTGCATCTTCACCAGCATTAGTGACTGTACCAAATAACAATACAGTGCATATTACAAGATCGCTAGAAGATTTTTGAACATTGCCACCACAAAGAAATGATAAATATTTGAGGTGGTTAATATGATAATTACCCCAATTTAATCTTTATACTATGCATATATGCATTAAAATATCAGGTTGTACTACATAAACATACAGTTATTATGTGTCAATTATAAATTTAAAAATTAAAACATTCATTGGATGGATTTAACAGTAGACACAATATAGAAAATAGTTTGAACTAAATAGTAATAGAAATATGATATATCATTATGTGTGGGATGCAACTAAGAAGATATTTAGGAGGTAGAAATAGACTTGGTGATAGTTGAGAGGTGGATAATAAAGTCAACTCCTGGGTTTCTATTTGTAGTACTGGATGGATGATTGTGTGATTGTTATTCACCACGATAAGAAATTGTGTGTGTGTGTGTGTGTGTGTAAGAGAGAAAGAGAGAGGTGTGCACATGCAAATGCAAGGAGGTAATTGAGGATGAAGTGAGGGTAGTTGAGTTTGAAGTGACTTGGTGGTTTCTAAATAGATGTTCCCACTCCCCAGATTGCACTTTTCCTACTTCTGCACTAGACATCAAGACTTGAATTCTTTCTCTTATGGGGAACCTCTTCTGACCACTAACCTTACCCCAGGATGGGTTAAGTGTTCCTATTCGGTGTACTCAAAACATCCTACACATAAGTCTCATAGTAATTTTATATTTTTTATTAAGTTATGTTGTTATAAAACTATTTGTTTATTTATCTCTTACCTTAGAGGTCCTTGGAAAGCAGAAATGCTGTTTCTAGCACAGAGTAAGTGCTCAGTTATAGTTTGTTGAGTAGCACTGGACTGTGAAAATCAAATTGAGGTATTTCCAGACATACTTAGGGCACTCAAAATTTTCACATCTCCTGCTTCTAAGTAAATACTAAACTTGAGAGTTATAGAGTAGAGTTGTTTAGGTGAAAAAAAATACTGAGACAGTATCACAAGATCACAAAATTTTTGCTCCCAAAGAAGCTTACAGTTAGAGTTTCCCAATTATAGTAAAAAGAGAGACAGAGAGAGATATTAATAAGGGATTTATATTGTAGCCTAAATTCTAAACTGCCTACACTTTGAACTTACAGTTGGAAAGGTATGACATCAGACGACCTTGGAGTCAGAGACACTTGGCTTCTAAGCAAAGCTCTGTCACCTGCCAGCTAGGCAGCTTTTGCTTATCTGAGTCTCAGTTTTCTCCTCAGTAAAGAGGAGATGAAACTAATCTTGCCCCACAGGGTTTTTATGAGCAGTGACTCTCTTCTTTTCTCAACTCTGAGAGGTCCAACCCTCCTGGGCAGGGCAGCAATCTGAGAAATAGGTTAGTATATGAAACCGATGCCTGGCCAAGTCACAGAGGTCCCTCTGAGTGAGCCTTTGTCTTTTTCCAGAAAGAACCAATAGAAAATTAGGTTTGCAATGCACACAGAGTCGTCAGACATTCAAGACTGATTGTATTTCTCACAATTATAATTCTCTCTCTTTTTGTTCCTTCTGATTTCACCCAGGTTCCTATCCGATGTCTTCCTGGTAGTGATCAGTACCATGCGATGTCCCAGTTAGCTCTGTACATCCACTTCTTCATATGCCATTCATTGTACTGTGTAGGATGGTCTGGTATCTCAAGTCTTTCTTGATAACTGTACTCTCCTTCCTTGGTGATATCCTTACCTATTCTTGGTATTCTTCCCACTGCAGGCCAACTATATTTCACATCTGTGACACACAAAAAACCAGAGATTGTCTTTCCATTTTGCTCTTGTGGACATCAGTTCTTGTCAACATCAGTTGATCTATGTTATCAGTCCTTGACTTTTGGGGGTTTTTCTCTGTTTATTTGTTTTGTGTAAGACTTTATCCTCAGATTAACTGCTTATTTCTAAAAATACTGTTTAGTTTAAACTCAGTAAGATGCATTTTTACCTAATTTAACTCATGACTTTTCTTCCCAACAATGAAAATTAGACATAGAAAGTGTGAAAACCATAAAACATGAGGTCTGATTCAAGGTAAAGACTTCATACCTGAAAGGTTTTGATGGGAACATACTTTAGTAAATGCTGTTCATTGCTTTATGCTTCCTTAGATATGTACAGTGTATGTTAAAGGTGCAACTGCTGACAAGTGATTTAGTCAGGCTTCTCCTCAAGGCCTCTTCTCGAAGCTTCTAAATTTTGATATATTAGAGACCATCCTCCTGTAGGGTCAGAGAAACAAGAAGGAGAGGTCGGCATTACCAGAATGCAGAAGCCTGGAGAAGAGGCCTTGAGGAGCAGGCACCCCCGTTAGACACAGTGGACCTCTAAAACAAGCGTCCTGTCCAAATGCAAGTGATGGCCCATGGATCTGGTATTTAGAACCCTAAGAAGAGTTGTGCTGCCTGGCTGATATTTGTGCCCGAGAAACTTGGAGGAGGTGCACCATGGAGAAAGAATCCAGATCTCTGAGGAGGTGGCATTGGTAAACTGGTCTTGATACCTCCGAGTGGATGCTATGAGGCTATGAGGTTCTAGTAGTCTAGAATAACTGTGAACTGGAATAAACCATTGCTTCTGGAATAAATTGCTCTTTCTGGATCAGTGCAGTGTTGTTGGGGGCCTGCTGACAGGAACAGGAAGGAAAGAAGAAAGAGAATGTCTCTTCCTGCTCCAGCCTTGCAGTCAGCCTTCAACAATCTCTTATCAGTGGAGTCCGACAGGACATTCCAGAGAACCCCCTGATTTCCTGTCTTCCCTAGCCCTAGGA
Organism: Homo sapiens; assembly: GCF_000001405.40. Taxonomy (NCBI): domain Eukaryota; kingdom Metazoa; phylum Chordata; class Mammalia; order Primates; family Hominidae; genus Homo; species Homo sapiens. Next base: position 111,147,770 of record NC_000005.10, read on the forward strand.
AAATAGCAGCTATACTTTTCCCCTTGGTAATCAGAAGAAATCAACCAGATAATAGAATAACGTATTTGTCTCCTTTTGCCTGTTGAATCCATGGCACAAGGAGCCTGAAAGATAAGTAGAGTCTCAATTTCCAAGTCAAAGGAATCTTTGATTTTTCCCTGGTAGAAGCATTCCTCCCTTAGTGACCAAGATGTCCAAACTCAAAGAGCTCAAAGTTGAGAAGAAGGGAAACAAGAATTTTGAGAGAGGGTGATTAAATGTAATAGTGAAAGGAATCTCTCCTGGTTCTACCACCTGATTCTCAGATTCACACATTATGTCTATGGGAGAAACAGCATCAAGTATTGGTTGTTGATTCAAAGCATACACTGCCCTTTGTAAAATAATACCCATCCTTGCAGAATATTATCTCTCAACTGGCCTCATAACTGAGTCTTCAGTAAGCTCTTCCACCGTTATATCAGGTCACTTCCTTCTGTAGTATCAAGTTCTTGGTAAGACCAGTGAAATCCATGGGGGTGAGCCCATTGATGCTCTACTTCTGCCATGACATGAGTTTCTTGATTTGAAACAATATTGTGGGTATACCATGGCAATGAATAAAGCAACTCATAAGTTCATCCATAATGGTGCTGACAGACATATTGAAGGCAAGGAATACAAATGTATATCCAGAATATGAGTCTATTCTAGTGAGGACAAATTGCTGTCCTCACTTGTGATAACAAAGGTCCAGTGTAATCAACCTGCCATCAGGTGGCTGGCTGGTTCTCTCAGTGTGGAGGCTGAAGCAACTCCAACTTGAAAGCTAATCTGCTATGTTGGCTTCGATCAACCCCTGTTACAGTGAGGTTTCTAAGATTTCCAGTTATCTATTGTTCCTTGTGTAAGAGCAGGTAATTACCATAAATCCTGCACCTATGTCAAACAACCTTGATGTTATCATACTTGAATTGTCCTACACATGCCTTCTGAATGTGTAGGACACATTCCTTCCCTGTGGTATATAAACCCCTAGGTCTGGTGGGCAATGCATGGGGATCTACCAGCTTGTCTTGCTGCTTCCCAAGACACAGACATGTCTTCTGTTCCTAAGTCCCTATTAAATGTCTTCCTTTCCTTCCTTCTCTCTCTCTTTCTTTCTTTCTTTCCTTTCTTTCTTTCTTTTTTTTTTTCTTTTTGAGACAGGGTCTTATTCTGTCACCCAGGCTGGAGTGCAGTGGCAGGTTAATGGCTCTCTGCAGCTGCGACCTCCCAGGCTCAGGTGACCCTCCCACCTCAGCCTCCTGAGTAGCTAGGACCACAGGCATGCACAAGGATCCCCAGCTAATTTTTTGTATTTTTGTAGAGACAGGGTTTTGCCATGTTTCCCAGGTTGGTCTTGAACTCCTGGGCTTGGGTGATCCGCTCAGCTCTGCCTTCCAAAGTGCTAGGATGGCAGGCATGACCCACTGCACCTAGACAAATGCTTCTTTCTGAGAAACTGTATTTGTCAGCCCCTTTCTTTGGTCTCTCAGCTTCCTCACACTTTACAGTAGGTTTGCATAGACCTGCCCACCACAAAACAGTGAAGAAGGGCTGGAATATCAGGGGTTCAGCATTAGTCTGTCTTGTGCATAGGAAATGCACTCAGCAGTAGACAGACCAACTTATGCACTTTTTTTAAAAAAGGCTATGCATTACCTTCATCATTGCCACCATACCTATTTTGTATATGGACATTTCATGCAAGCACCAGGGTGTCTAGGGAAAGAGGCCTACTGATATCTACAAAATGTGTCATCTTGTCCACTTGATTATTGGAAGCTTCCTATGCAGAGGATGCCCTTTGGTGACACTCAGATGGAACACAAATACCCTCAACACTGATCCATTCTGAGAGTCACTGCTCTCAATTTATGCAATGATAAAAATTCACATATATTGTCTGCTTTAAAAAGCCCAGCATCAGAATTAGCCAAATGGATGAAGTCCAGGGGAGCTCTTGTCTGTGTATAGATGCAGTAGCTTTAAGCATTACTTCAGTTTTTAATTAATCCATGGTACTGCATATGCAATGTTCATGGGTTTCATTGATTGTTATCAGAATGGAGGAAGGTAGGATAATCATATTATATCAGAGACCTCAACCTCTCACATGTATAAAAGCCTTGACAGGAGCTATTAGAAAATGAATAGGACTTTATAACTTTAAAGGTATCTCAAATCTGCTAACATGCCCAACTTCCTCCTCTGACAGCTGACTAGTGTGATGATATATTTCTCCATCCTTGCTGTAATGCTGAGGACCCATGCAGTAAGCAACCACTTCCTACCTTGACTCTACCCTTCTCCTACGCCAGCAAAAGTACCATATCCCAGTACTACCATTCGATGAAGAGTCATACACTTCTAATGGGAAACAATAATTTAGCAGTACTTAAAAATCATTCAAATGTTTGAATTTCTTATTCTTCCCTAATGCTTGCAAAGATTTTGATATTTTCTACATAGTTATGATATTAGAGAAGCAAGTCACCTGATAGAATGGTAAAATAATTTACTGACAACTCCATTATGTTTCTGAGGAAGTCTTTACCTTAAAAGGAAATCAAAATTGTCCTTCCACATATGTGTTAGGCAAGCAGATCTCTAAGAACAAGTTAAGAAATAATCTTATCTCACAATTTACATTTATTTGATCTCATTTGGTCATTCCAAAAAAATTATCTCATTGAATTCTCCAATTACTTCAGAGAAGTGAAGTAGTTTGAAGGTGGTTTGGCCAAGATGTCTATCTAGTTATTGGTAGACAGACTTTCTGACTCCAAAGCCCATTCCACTTAAGGAAACTGGTACAGTATCATTAATAATAAACAAGACTATTTTTGAACATCATATAAACACTGGAGTATCCCATCTGGGGTTATTTAGTACTGGCAGGCTCTTCTTCTTCTCACTGGGGTAAGGTCTGTACTTGCACAGATAAATAAAATGTCCTATTAATTTTCTCATTAACTGGAGAACCCTTTTGCTGACACGTTACCTTCATAGAAAAGACTGTGAAAAATTCGCATCCAATTGCCTTCTAGACCTGTTCGTTTTGGAAGTGTATCAAAGAGCCTGGCTAATGGAGAGCAAGACTCATTAATTACTGGCTTTGATCTCCTATAGTGCCCAACACTCCTTACTATATTCAGGAATATTGAATTCTTTGGAAAATGACTTCCTGAGACCTATTCTTCACATTACTTCCAATGGAAAAAAATTGCAGCCAGCCAGAAATGGATTATTTGGCTACAGTCTGCTCAGTTTTCAAGAAGGTAATTGAAACTTCAGGATCCTTAACTTAGGGAAAGTGTTGGCAAGTCTGTCACCCACATCTGTGATAGCCCTTTATTTTCCTTTCTAACTTTTCTTCTTGAAGTTTAATTTACAAATATCACAATGTAATATTAAGTGTTCAGGTCAACAAAATTTGACAATGGTAAATATTCATGAAACTATCAAAGCATTTCCATCACCCCAGTATGTTCTCTTTTGCCCCTTTCTGGTCAGTTCCCCTACCCTCCACATACTCACCTCAGAAACAACCACTGCGTGGATTTTTTTAACTGCAGATTACTGTTGGCTGTTCTTGGACTTCATGTACATAACATTATATGGTGTGTAGTTTTTTTGTGTCTAGCTTTTTTCATTCAACATAATGTTTTCAGGTTCATCTATGTTGTTGTGTGTATTAGTAGTTGTATTAGTTTGTTCTCATATTGCTATAAAGAAATACCTTAGGGCCGGGCGCGGTGGCTCACGCCTGTAATACCAGCACTTTGGGAAGCCGAGGCGGGCGGATCACGAGGTCGGGAGATCGAGACCATCCTGGCTAACACGGTGAAACCCTGTCTCTACTAAAAATACAAAAAATTAGCTGGGCGTGGTGGCTGGCACCTGTAGTCCCAGCTACTTGGGAGGCTGAAGCAGGAGAATGGCATGAACCACAGCTGCTCATCAGGTTACCTGGCAAGTGACACTGTGGGTGGGGGGAGTTGTCCCTGGAATAGCTTGCCTGATGGTGTGCTTACAGGCTATCATGCATCAAAGTATTTCCTACATGCCACCAGAAACTGAGAGAAAGAATATTTCAAAAGCTTGGAACTACAAGCACATACTTCAGACAATTAATTTTATCTTTGTATTCCTTTGTAATGCCTTACATCTTTTATTAGCCTTTCTCTACAAATCATGTTGTGTAATTCTTAAGTCATCAGTAGTAATGACATTTATCTTCCTTTTGTAGGTTTAGACCTGCAAGTTTCAAACTGTAGGTTTTACGTCCTTTGCTTTCCCTTTCTTTCCTTCTTCCCTTTTTATGTCACCCTTTTTCTTTCTCTCTTTCCCTTCCTTCCTTCCTCCTTTCTTTCCTTCTTTCTCTTTCGTTTTCTTTCTTTCTTTTTCATTTCTTCCTCTCTTCTCTATTTTCTTCCTCTCTTTCTCCCATTATTTTCATTCTTTCTTTCCTTCCTTTCTTTTTCTTTTCTTTTCTTTTCCTTCCTTCCTTCTTTCTTTCCTTCCTTCCTTCCTTCTCTTTCTCTTTCTCTCCTCCTTCTCTTTATTTCTGTTGGCTTTCCTTGCTGCTCTTTCTACATGGTTGATTTTTAAATGTTTTAAGGTGGTTTGATGGGATAAGTAAGTATAGCAAAATAGTATTTATGAAAATAGGTGAAAAAGAAAAATGGAAATCATGAGTGGAAAGATAAGCTGTAACTAGGAATGGGGCTGTTACAATACTGCACATCACAGAGACTTCCTGGCTAAAGACGAGCTCCAAACTTAGTTCTAAGCCATCTTGCAGTTAACATAAAAAGGGAAAACTGATCAGTCACCATATCCCCAGCTCTTGAGCACATTGCTGATTTTAACAAAATTGGGATTCCATTAATAAGAAATAAAAGGAGAAAGTTTATTGGGTAAAAAACTAGTGGCTTCTACCACATTCTACCCCTTTGGCTTTGTAATATTCATACACACTCTTCCTCTCATAAATAGACTACCTTCTCCAGCTTCTCCCTGAGAAATACCACACCATTGTCTCATCCAGTTATTTCATTCACTTCAAAGATAGGATCTTTTGTAATGTGCTTTCTGATTTTCATCAGGTCTCGAAGTGGCTCCTCATTATCTGTCGAGCAATAAGGTTAAAGGGAGGTTATAAGTCTTTGTTTGAAAAAAGGAAGAACAAGAAACATAGCAGGCACTGGCCCACATTAGCACATATCAACCAATTATTGCCAGGCAGGAACAATAAGGACTCCCTACTCTAGCAGTGAAATAAATTTCTTGGCTAGCCAAATTTGCTAGGGTCCTGTTGTTTATTACTCTCTGTGGCCACTCAAAAAGAGACACGGAGAGGATAACCTTTCAGGACTGCACAGCTTCCACAACTCATTTCTGTGGGTGAAATGTGGGGGCTCCGTTATTTCTTTATTAATTGATTAATCATTTGATGTTGGATATTTCTTTTTTTGGGGGGTAAAACAATTTTATTATTTTAATTTTATGCTTCAAATTCATGTTATGTACATTAAGTATCATATAAACTTGTCTTTAGGATATTAATATTTTACTTGGGCAATATTATTTTATCTGAATGTATTCGGAGAAATACAACTTAGCCGTCTGCTCATAAACATCACAAAAGATGAAAAATTGGAAAACAGAACATTAACAATTGGAAATATTAAATTGACCCTCACACCTTTTTTCTTTTAACTTGCTATTTGGTTAACTTATATTTAGCATTTACCCTTGAGATTGGTAAAACATGTTATCAATGTATTATGCAAGAGTTTATATCTTTTGCATAAGTGGCCCCCTGGGTTACCCTTACTCTTGACCAAATAAAAAACAAACACCACTGGCACCGTATATAAACTATCTTTGTATCATAGGTTGCAAGTCTTGATAAAAGCCAAAACAAATATTTGAGGTTGGAGGTACCACTTAGTAGTTCTTCTCTGGGCTTAGAGAAGGAAAAAGAATAGTCCCCTGCTGCATTTTATATCTCTTAAAAACAATGGTTCAGCAGCCTAAACCTTTTTGGTTATAAAGCTTATTACACTAGGGTTTACTTTGAAATATAGTTTACAACCAAATCAAGTATAACATACATACACTGGTAGTTCAGCACAAGGGCAAACTTAAAAAAATATTATTTTGGGCCTTTAAAATTAGGCCATAGTATAAAAAACGGTCCATAATCTTACATTCAGAAAATTCATATTAAATATTTAATTTCTGTAGGATAAAGGCCAAGAGAATTTTACACATGCATCAGTTTATTACACGTATTTACATGCCTCTTTCTTCCCTAGGTACTTACGACTTTCATATTATGGAACTGCCCCAAGCAAGTTTCCTCTCTCCAAAGCATGTTTTGCAGGAATGATGACTCCAGATCACTTTCAGAATAGGTTGTGCAGTGCTGTAAGACAAAAATATATTTTGAAAGCTATTGAGTGACCATTAAATACTGTTTATATAAAAGATGGTTTTGGTATATTGTTGTCAGACCCTTACTGACTACATTTAAGAAACAGGGCCATTGGAGTATACTATGCCTCATTCTAACGAGTCCCAAGTGCCCTTTCCACCTTCACCACTGTACAATTGACTGAAATGCAACTATTAAAAACATTCACGTTTTCCTTTAGCAGTGCATCTGGTTGTTGGCTTATTCCTAGTTTGGGTGTTTCTAGAGACTAAACTTTCAGTTGTTTACCTAGTCCTCAGTCCTTGTATGTTTTAGATAAATGTTTATAATCTGATTCACTAACTTTCAAAATCTACTGATCCATGAATGATAAACTTAAATCACCATTTTCCCCGAACAAGCAAAAGAACAAGTTGATTCCTTTACCACTCCCCACATCTAAACTTGAATGGTTTCACTTAAAAGTTACTCAGTTGAGAACACTTAATATCAAGTACAATTATTAATTTAATTACTTTAAGTTGCACTGATGCTACATTACATCACAATGCACATAAAACAAATGAGGTGAAGTCTAATTATATGTTTTACATTAATTAGCAATTCTACACTAATAGATTAATTCCCTGGTGAATTTGTTTCAGACCAACTGACAATTATCTGTAAACACAACTAATTTTTTTTTTTTTTTGATGGAGTTTCACTCCTGTTGCCCAGGCTGGAGTGCAATGGCACGATCTCGGCTCATCGCAAACTCCACCTCCCGGATTCAAGCAATTCTCCTGCCTCAGCCTCCCGAGTAGCTAGGATTACACGTATGCACCACCACGCCCGGCTAATTTTGTACTTTTAACAGAGATGGGATTTCTCCGTGTTGGTTAGGCTGGTCTCAAACTGCCGACCTCAGGTGATCCGCCCACCTCGGCCTCCCACAGTGCTGGGATTATAAGTGTGAGCCACCGCGCCCAGCAACACAACTAAATTTAAACATCAGTACTTTATCTTATTTTATACCTGTACTTTAAGTAAGGTTTTAATTTGAAATATCATTATTTCCTTATCTGAAGGAATAAAGGAAACAGGAACCCAGTGGAAGGATAGTTTGGGAAGAACTCTTCGTGATGGCAGCTCAATCAATTTGGCTCCAGTATAGTTGTGATTCGCTTGAGATTTAAAAAGTAAGCTGGGGCCCAGGCGCGGTGGCTCATACCTGTAATCCCAGCACTTTGAGACGCCAAAGCAGGCGGACCGCTTCAGGTCAGGAGTTCAAGACCAGGCTGGCCAATATGGTGAAACCATGTCTATTAAAAATACCAAAAGTGTCCAGGCATGGTGGCAGGCACTTGTAGTCCCAGCTACTCAGGAGGCTGAGGCAGGAGAATCTCTTGAACCTGAGAGGCGGAGGTTGAAGTGAGCCGAGTTGGCACCAGTGCACTCCAGTGTGGGCGATAGTGTGAGACCCTGTCTCAAAAAAAAAAAAAAAAAAAAAGTAAGCTGGGACCTGATAAGCTAGAGCTCCAATTTTGATTATTTGGGAAATTTTTATTCTTCCCCCCATTTTGCATGACCTGTTATGCAGCTGCTAATTAATTCCACCCACATCCTCTTTCTTTTTTCTTATGAACCATCTTCTGGGAATTCTGATCCTTGGTCTTCTATTAAGTTGCTTTTGGTTCTTACTAATATTTCTAGATTGAGGGGCTAGAATGTTATACCTGTCTCCACCACCCATCTTCAGCTTTTTTGTCACTTTTCGGTCAGCTTTTTAGAGAGCAGGGTTTCCAATACCTGTCCTCTTCCTTGCTGCCAAGCTCAAGATAATAGATGTTACTTTCTGATGGATCCTTTCCTTTGTCTCAGTATAGAAGTTCTCATAGGTCGATCTGCTAAATGCAGCCTAGGAGCTGAGGCCAATATCTGAGTTTCCTCAGTACACAAGTCTGAGATAAGTCCTAGCAACCTCAAGCTCAGAACTATGGCGGCAGCAGCTCCCTCTCCATGTCAAAGCCTTCCTGCCTTTCCAGGGAGAGGCATGGACCAAAGCCCATGGGCACTGAGGAGTGAACTGCTGCCCACCCTGGTGTGTGCAACCCTACCTCCTCCTTCTGCCTCTACTGACCTGATATTTCTTTAGAAATACAGTTCTTTCTGAAATTTTGTAGCCTTTCAGTCTATTCAATGCCACATGTGAGAAACCATAGCCAAAGATAGTATGGACTCATAATATTAATGTCTGAGAAATATTGTTTCCTGGTCACAGGTCTTCATTTTTCACACATAGTCTTTCCTTTTACCTTCTGTCATCAGCAATGTGAAATCACACATTTGGAGGAAAAGCAACACCCTTTAATCTCTATTTACCAGCAGGTGTGCCTCTTTTGTCCAGCAGAGACCTGGAAGAGAGAGCTGGGAACCCAATACCAGCCCCTGCTAGGGCTGCTGCTTCAGCTCTGACGTGAAAGGCTTCAGTTTAAGGTAGGAAAGCAATGTGTTTTCTTCACAAAGCTGGTAGACTCTTATCATATAGGCTTCTCAGACATCTTAGATTGCAGGCCACAGGCCCACACCTGCTCTCTTAGCTGTCAGAATGACTAGCTTTAGTATGAATTCATTTCTTTCAAGTAGGACTTTGCAAAACTCAGCAATAAGAAACACGCACATTTTAAATTTTTCTATTACTTCCCTTGATGCTGCAGCTACAATAAGCACAAAAATATAAATATTTAATAACCACATTAAAAAGGTCATCAACTTCGCAGCTTGTAATGGGTGAGACCTGTCTACTTCTCTACCTTGTATTCCTGGAGATTTCACATTTTTATTCCTTTTACTTGCAATATCCCACTTTCAGGTACCCCATTTTGCATCAGAGGAGAGGGTGCAGGCAAGCAGTAGAAAACCCACTACAGTGGCTTAACCAGATGAGGTTTTTTTTAGTCTGTGTAGGCTGCTGTAACTAAATACTCTAGACTGGGTGACTTACACAACAGAAATTTATTTCCCACCGTTCTGGAGGCTAGGGAGTCTAAGATTAAGGCGCTGCTCTTTTCAGTTCCTCAGATCTCTTTTTCTTCTTCTAAGACCACCAGTCTGATCAGATTAGGTCCCACCCCTATGACCCATTTAACCTTAAATACTTCCAAAAGGACCTATCTTCAGTCACATGAGGGGTTAAGACTCCACATAAATTTTGTGGGGACAAAATTCAGTCTATAATGGCTTTCTTTAGGCAGACAGAGAGTCCAGAGCTAGGGTAGTAAGTCCATGAAGCCATTGCTGTTCCAGGCTCCATCTGCCTCCCTACCTTCCTGTCTTTAGCATGTAGCTTCTGTTCTAATGGCCACAGGATGCCTATTTTACATTTGCCCACGTTACTGGTAGAAAGTATGAAGAAGAATTGCATGTTTATCAGGAAGCAAAACTTTTCCCCAGAAATTCCCAGCAGACTGTTGTTATCGACATTCCATTGATGAGAACTGTTTCATGCAGAGGCCCGTAACTGAAGGGCATGGGGTGCTAGTTGAGTTTTGTAGCTTGGGACAATTTTTCTTGGAACAAAATTTGAATGCTGTTAGTAAAGGGGAAGAGGCTAATAGATATTGGGAAGATAAATCTCAGGGTTTGTTATAGGGTTCCTCCAGATAGGCTGATTATAACACTCACAAGCATTATTCAGTACAATTAAAATAAATCAGGAGCGGGGAAGGCTCCTAATATTCTGGATTTATAAGTCTTTGAAATTTTAGTTTAATCCACAGAATTCTTTTAAAGTTTCCTCCAAAACATTTTTTTTCTGTATTTCTATTCTCCACAAATATTTTTTTCTGCATCAGAACACAATTTGATTGAACACTAACTCTGATATTCAGAGACAGCATCAGATTTTGGTCACTAGTACTAGTCTTTATGTAAGAACCAAGATTCCTTGGAGGATAGCGGAATCCACGTATTGGACCCAGAAAAATTATGTTTCGCTGAAGTGAATGATAAACCGCTTCTGGGCAGAAGCACTCTTACTCTCTCGGAGTCCTCAGCATCTCAGGAATGAGCTGCAATACCACATTGTGCCAGTAGATGACGACACCATCTAACATGTGAGGACTCCTTACCCGAAATCCCTTAAATTTCAAGCATCGAATTAGAAATTATTTTCTGTTATCAAGTATGTTAGTTTGACTTCCTACCAGTTGATTTTAGAAATGAGAAACATATATTGAAATAGTAACATTAAATATCAGAATTTGGTGTGTATTTGTCTTTCAATTAGTGGTAATTTCTGCAAAATGAAAATCATCTTCAAGGCAATGCAAATGATTTATTATAGGCGAGCACAAGTTTCCAGGTGAACCAACTGTTTTGTGAAGGAGCCAGAGGAAAACTGATTAGATGAGTTTAACTGTTGTGGCCACAAAGTCTTATGGCAGCCACTGGTTTTCAATCTTGACTGAATATTGAAATATATTTGTACTAACTGCCCAGATTATATTGAAATAATGTAGGCAGTTAAAAAAATACCTGTCTGGTTCTTAACTCAAAAAACGCTCATTTAATTGGTCTACAGTACGGTCTGAGAGTCAAGCCTTTTAAACGCTTCCCAGGTGATTCTATTTTGCAGCCCATATTGAGAACACCTGCCCTTGGCTTAAGGCTCCCATCACCCCATGTTGCAATTAGTTGCTTAAACGGGCCGATCTCACCCAAATACAGAGTTGGTGATTATCTACCAGGTGTAATCTGTGAAACTAGGAAGGCCCCTGCTCCTCCTTAGGAAAAAAACCATGGTGTCTGCACATCTACCATCATGAATGCATTTCTTCGTTGCACAGATAGATGGTAAAACAAACCAATCACAAACTAACAGAAAAATTCAGGAGAATCACACTCTGAGCTTTATTCAACATTGCTATTAATTTGTTTTAATTGTGTTTCAATGAATGTTCTTTGTGTGAAAGGGACATAAGGGAAGAGAGTTTTGGAGTTTGACCATGTCGAGGAAGAAGTGAGCAAATGCTAAAGATTTGGGCATGGCTCGAAGAGGATAGGCTCAGTAGGACCCAAAGATCAAGTTGTGGGGCCACTGGGGAGCTCAACAGACAGAATACGTTACAGAACACAGGGAGACAATATAATCACTTCTTTAGTTAATCCTCAAAACAGCCCTACAAGAGAATACTAGCATTCTTTCTTTCTTTTTTTTTTTAATTTTACTTTAAGTTCTGGGATACATGTGCAGAATGTGCAGGTTTGTTACACAGGTATACATTTGCTGCACCTATCAACCCATCATCTAGGTTTTAAGCCCCGCATGCATCAGATATTTGTCTTAATGCTCTCTCTCCCCTTGCCCCCCACTCCTCGACAGGCCCCGGTGTGTGGTGTGTGATGTTCTCCTCCCTGTGTCCATGTGTTCTCATTGTTCAGCTCCCAATGAGTGAGAACATGTGGTGTTTGGTTTTCTGTTCCTGTGTTGGTTTGCTGAGAATGATGGCTCCCAGCTTCATCCATGTCCCTGCAAAGGACGTTAACTCATTCTTTTTATGGCTGCATGGAATACATATAGTATTCCATGGTGTATATGTGAAATACTGGCATTATGTCTACATCACATATAAGGCAACCCAAAAAACAAGAGTGTGTTTCAATAACTTGGCCAAGGTCACTGTACTAGTCCATTTTTATGCTGCTATAAAGAACTGCCTGAGACTGGGTAAATCATAAACGAAAGAGGTTTAATTGACTCACAGCTCCAAAGAGCTGTAGAGGCCTCAGAAAATTTACATCAGGGCAGAAGGAAAAAGCAAACACGTCCTTATTCACATGGTGGCAGTAAAGAGAAGAATGAGAACTGAGTGAAGGGGGAAGACCCTTATATATCCATCAGATCTTATGGGAACTTACTATCACAAGAACGGCATGGGGGAAACCGCCTCCGTGATTCAATTACCTTCCACTTGGTCCCTCACATCGCACGTGGGGATTACAGAAACTATAAAATGAGATTTGGCTGGGGACGCAGACAATCCATATCAATCGCTTAACTGGTAAGTGGCAGAGCTGCACCATTTGGGGTTCCAACCAATGCATTTCACCCTTCTCATTCATGTTTGCTGCCCTTATGAACTGAATGCCTCCAAGTCCGTTAGCTATATTTCCTTATTTATTATTTGGAAATGTTAATGCCCCTACATCTTAGAGTTGTACTGAGAAATACAAGGTACAACATATTTAAAAGTGCTCAGAGCACAGCACGAAGGTCACACTGTTTAGATCCCAGTGCGGTGCGTCCTGTTATTATCTTTCTGACACTTAGACATTACTGCCTCTCTAGACTCATTGCTATGATCTGAATATTTTGTCTTCCCAAAATACATATGTGAAATCTTTATTTTATTTTATTTTATTTTATTTTACCTTTTCTATGTTTAGATATTTAAAAAAAATTTTCCATAAGACATTGGGGTACAGATGGTATTTGGTTACAGGAGTAAGTTCTTTAGTGGTGATTTGTGAGATTTTGGTGCACCCATCACACAAGCAGTACACACTGCACTTTATTTGTAGTCTTGTATGCTTCGTCCCTCTCCCACTCTTCCTCCCAAGTTTCCAATGTCCATTGTATCATTCTTATGACTTTGCATCCTCATAGCTTGACTCCCACATATCAGTGAGAACATGCGATGTTTGGTTTTCCATTCCTGTGTTACTTCACTTAGAATACATATGTTGATATCTTAATCCTCAAAGTTATGGTATTAGGAGCTGGAGCCTTTGGGAGATGACTAGGTCCTTAGTGCAGAGCACCCTCATCAATGGAATTAGTGCCTTTATAAAAGAGGCCCCAGAAAAGCAAAATGGGTAACTGAGATGATGAATATGTTGATACATTCATCTGTTCCCTGTAGTAACCATCTTACTATATATGTATCCTACAACATCATGTTGTATGACTTAAATGTGCACAATAAAATTGTTTTTTTAAAAAAGAAATAGTTCCATTCAAATAAATAATTTGTATTAAGTAAATATAAAAGGCCTCAGAGAGCTGCTTTGTTCCTTTCGCCATTTGAGGACATAGCTAGAAGGTGCTGTCTATGAATTAGAAAGCCCTTACCAGACACTGAATCTGTTGACACCTTGATCTTAGACTTCCCAGCTTCTAAAACCATGAGAAACTAATTTCTATTGTTTATAAGCCACCCAGTTTATTTTGTTATAGCAGCCTGCACATACTAAGACACCCAGAAAACCTCCAAAAATTTTAAACCACTTAAATAATATGATTATTTAAACAAAGAAAAGCATGAGCAAAAAGTCTGAAAATTTTATTCATTCACTTATTAGGCAAACATTTAATAAAAATCTGATATATACTAGCTATTGCAGTAAGGATACAGAGTTAAAAGAGTCATAGATTCCACCTGATATGGTTCAGCTGTGTCCCCACCCGAATCTCATCTTGAATTGCAATTCTCATAGTCCCCATGTGTCAGGGGAGGAACCCAGTGGAAGGTAATTGAATCATGGAAGTGCTTACCCCCATACTTCTGTTTTCATGATAGTGAATGAGTTCTCACAAGATCTGAATGGTTTTAAAGGGACTTTACCCCGCTTTACTTGGCTCTTCCTCCTGCTGCCATGTGAATAAGGACAAGTTTGCTTCCCCTTCTGCCATGATTGTAAGTTTCCTGAGGCCTTCCCAGCCATGTGGAACTGTAAGTCAATTAAACCTCTCTCCTTTATAAATTACCCAGTATTGGGTAGTTCTTTACAGCAGTGTGAGAAGAGATTAATACACTACCTACAAGGAGCTTATAGTAATAGCTCAGGCAAATGAATACATTGTAATTTCAGAATGGTGGTATAAAATAACATATTTTCTAATACATCTGATATACTACTGTGTTAATCAGCATTCTCTAGAGGTACAGAATTAATAGGAGATATATATATATATAATAGGATATATATATAATAGAATATATATATATATGTGCGTTTATTAAGGAGTATTAACTCACATGATCACAACTCAAGTCCCACGATAGGCCATCTACAAGCTAAGGAGCAAGTAAGCCAGTCTGAGTCCCAAAGCTGAAGAACTTGGAGTCTGATGTTTGAGGGCAGAAAGCATCCAGCATGAGGGAAAGATGTAGGCTCAGAGGCTAAGCCAGTCTAATCTCTCCATGTTCTTCTGCCTGCTTTTATTCTGGCCACACTGGCAGCTGGTTAGATGGTGCCCACACAGATTGAGGGTGTGTCTGCCTCTCCCGTCCACTGACTCAAATGTTAATCTCCTTTGGCAACACCCTCACAGACACACCAGGAACAATACTTCGCATTCTTAAATCCAATCAAGTTGACATTCAATATTAACCATCACAACTATTCAGAGTAACTCATAATAACTAAGGTTTATTGAGTACTTACTATGTGCCAGACATTGTGCTCCATGCTTTATGGTTTCAAATTAATCCTCAGAAGTTCCTTATGAAGTAGGTGTCCACAATATTTCCACACAGAAATGAGAAAACGAAAGCACAGAAAGGTAAAATAACTTGTTGAAGTTCTTACAGCTAGGAAAGGGTAAAAACACATCTGGATCTAGACAATCTGACTCCAGAACCTGGAAAGAAGCATCTAAGTGATCCTGGGAGGATCCATGTGAGATGCTAGGAGGCCATGAGCTTTGAATATATGCATATTTTCATTTTTAAAGCGCTCAAACAAGTTTGTGTATTGAAATCCTGTGATATAAGTGTTTGCTATCTTCATTTTAGTATTTGTTGAAGCATTTGTTATCTTAATTTTGCATTGATTCTTCCACATCCACATCTGAGAAATGATAAAAAGGAGCTGTGGTGTGGGAAGCCCCTAGAGCTACAATATAAGCACTAAAAGAATCATAAAGGTCAAGGTCATAAATGGAATGTTTATGACTAACATAGATGTTAGGTGCCTCAATGAAGAGTTTAAAATTGATGCCAAATTCAGTTTCAGGCCCTGATATGAGCTCTGATAAGGTGGGGTGATGGTGGGATGGGTGATTCTCTGTGTCTATTGTGCAGTCTGTGCCTAACGGACTGGTCCATGTGCTGTGCTTTAGGACCTTTGGTTATGTCAATTATATGAAGACATGCTTTTTGACATCAAAAGTAACCTTTCATTGGAGTCCAAATACAGGCCTACGTATTTCATACTTGGTGATGGATTTGAGTGGTGTTCAAATTCTCCCACCTCAAATACCTTGATAGCCCCACTCAGTAATTCAAGACTGAAAATTTATCATTAATGCTCTTGTTGGTTCAATGGATTGCACCTTTTAAAATGTGAACATCCCTCCTAGAGGGGAAAGATCACTTTTTAGAATGTTGTCAGTTATTGAATTGGTTTAACAGTCTCTTCCTAGTCAGGTGACTAAATGCTCCCCCAAAAGAAAAAAAGAAAGCAGAGGCTTCTTATTTACAGATGTAAGTGTGAACTGAAGAGTTAAGAAGAGTATTAACACAGAGAGGGAAGGGATTTCTTTTAGTTCATTTTGTGTTGCTATAAAGAAATGCCTGAGGCTAATTATTTGACACACAATTCTGATGCCTGGAAAGTTCAAGACTGGGTACGTAGTGAGGGCCTCAATCTGCTTCCACTCATGGTGAAAGGTGCAAGGGAACCAGTGTGTGCAGAGATAACATGGCAAGAGAAGAGGCAAGTGAGGGGGTGGGAGGTACCAGGCTATTTTTAACAACCAGCTCTTGTGGAAACAAACAGAATGAGTCTGGGCACAGTGGCTCACACCTGTAATCCCAGCAGTTTGGGAAGCTGAGGTGGGCGGATCACTTGAGGTCAGGAGTTTGAGACCGGCCTGACCAACATGACGAAACTCTGTCTCTACTGAAAACACAAAAATTATCTGGGTATGGTGGTGCATGCCTGTAATCTCAGCTACTTGGGAGTCTGAGACATGAGAATTGCTTGAACCTAGGAGGCAGAGGTTGCAGTGAGCCAAGATTACACCACTGCACTCCAGTCTGGGCAAGAAGTGAGACTCTGTCTCAAAACAAACAAACAAAAAACTCACAGAATGAGAATTCACCCTTCCCTAAGAAAAGGCATTAATCCATTTATGAAGGATCTGCCCCCATGACCCAACCGCGTCCTAGGAGGCCCAACCTTGAATATCAAATTTCAACATAAGGTTTGGAGGGGACAAATATCCAAACTATAGGAGGCACTAGGGCCAGAAAGCTCATTCCACAATTCTGCCCTGAACACCTGCAAAGGCTGATGTCACGGGGATTAAATTCAATTAAGGAAGGCTTTCTCTTTCACTGAGGAAGTGACTACATAGAAATAAGTGGATATCTTGCTGCCATTCTTTGCCATTCAGTCTATTCGCTATCCAGTAGCCAGAGTAATTTTGATGAAGTATAAATGGAATTATGTCACTCCTGTCTTTGAAATCTTTCAATAGCTCCAAGTTGTCCTTAAAATTAATTACTGCAGGTATCCTTCCCATGGCCTGCCAGGCCTACTTGATTCTCTGCCTGTTTCATAAATCTCAGTTTACACCAGTCTCTTTCTTTGCACTGTAGTCTCTATCGCAAGTGTTCAATAAACATTTTTAGTGCTAAATTATTGGAAAAATAAGTGTCTGTCCATCTATAAAAATTACTGACACTCAGACACTGGGCCAGCTCAGACACTCAGCTTCTTTCCTGCTTCATATCCCTTTTCCACCTTTATTTCTGGCCCCTGCCCCTTCTCCTGTCCTGCCAACCTGGAAGTCAGTGTACTCATGTTTGCTTTTATTATTTACTTATCTAAAAAAATAAAATAAGACTAATCACTAGCCTATGGGGGGATTTTTACAGCTTTCACCCTTCCTCTGTTATTCCCCAGTTCTGTCTTGGTACCTGTTTGCTGATCTTTTCATTGTTATCTCTCTTTTATTCCCCTTATGGAGGACCCATAACTCTGCCAGTCCTCCTGCTGTGACATCTAAGCTAGCCTGCTCCTCCTATAGGCTAGTCGCACTACTGACTTTGCCTTATCTCTCATTTCGAAAGAGCACAAATGCAGAGCCTGCAGACACAAATGCAAATCCCAGCCCAAATGCTTATTGGCCATATAAACCTGAGCAATTTCCTTAACCTGGCTTGAGTTTTCTCAGTTGGAAAAGGAGAAAATAATTGCTTTTCAGGATTGTTGTGAAAATTAAATGATAGAAAGTATAGAATATCACAGTACCTAGCACAAAGAAAGTCTTCAATAAATTTGTTTCCTTTCCTTCCTACTCAAACCAACTGGTCTTGTGTTCCACTGTAGGGTGGACGTTATTTGGTTCATATGTCTGTTCAACATCTATTCTTCTTCCTGAAAACAACCTGATTTCCTTTTGGTAGATTTATCTATGCTGTACAGTTCTGGTGGGGCTGTACATTGGTAGCCTTATTCTCTGTGGACTTGATCCAAACTTGTCCCGTTAATTCCTTTACCCTTAGGCCTAAGAAAAGACACATGGATAGAAAAAAAAAATGGTGTCTGTATAGCCAGAGCTGCTCTTGCATCTGGTCCTGATTCCTCTCTGGCATCCAGACTTGGGTTTCCAGCCTCTGGTCCATTCCATAAAGTGCTTGTTATCCCTTTAATACATTCCCTATATTGCTTAAGTAACCCGAATTGTTTCCTGTTACTTGCAAATGAAGACTCTTATCTGAGAAGTATTCCCCTGTGAATCTTTGAAGTCTCATTACATTTTACCTTGTTTTGTTGTAATTTGTATATTTGCAAGGCCAGATGCTATCTTTTAAAAGTCTGTTCACATATTTTTTTCTCCCACAAGACCTTTCTTAATATGTCTACTTGTTAATTTTTCTATTATTCAAACTATGACTGATGGTATTAATAACCAAGAGTCATTATTTGAATATAGATCTCTCATTTTCCTTTCAAGACTCCAACAGAATTAAATCAACTTTCTTAGTGGAATGATAGCTGGCTGATCTAACTAGTTTCATTAACTAAACTCACCAGAAAGACATATGCAAACCGCCTACCAGGTAAAGATATTTAAACAAGTAAGAGGTCTTCTCAATATACAACGCTTTACATTCCCAGAGGTAACCAAACAAGGGAGACAAGGATGTCAGATTGAAGGGTGCTTAATGGAGTCTTTCAGGGATTTCCTCCTGGAAGGTCAAAGAACACTCTACATCTGTGGCAGCCCAACCTACCTACACACAGGCTCTGAATGAATAATAGATGTTTTATATGCAGCCTCCTTGACCTTGAATTTATTATTTCCATTCTATAGGTAAAGAATAAATGGCTCATGGAACTTCAATGACTTGGAACACTGTATTCTGAATTTATCAAGGTCTCTAAATCCTGATCTTTTTCCACCTAACCTCATTAAAATGTTGATTAATGATAAGAGGTAGCAGATGCTAAAAGGAATCATCATAGGGAGTGTCAAGTGAAGACTGAATTCTAATACCAGCCCTGCCACTGTCCAGCTAGTTGGGTCACCTTCGGGCAGTCACTCAGTTTGTTACAGGCTTTAGTTTTATTATTTATATTAGGTTGAAGTCTATGAAGTTGCTGTTTTTGCAGGTTACAAAAGGTTAGAGTTCAACAATTTGAGTAAAATGAGACTGTAGGATGAATATAACAACATGATTTGTTTTTGTCTATTATTTTCCATAATTACAATTTGTGCTATGATCTAAATGTGTCCTTCAAAATTCATATGTTGAAACATAATTGCCAGTGTGATAAAATGAATTATAATGTAAAAAGATAGAGCCTTTAGGAGGAGATTAAGTTATGATTATAAATGGAATTACTGACCTTATAAAGAGCTGGAGGGAACTAACTAGGCCCTTTATTGCCCTTCTGCCTTCTGCAATGTGAAGACACAGCATTCATGTCTTTTGTCCGTTTGCCCCTTCTGCCATGTGAAGATGCAACATGAATGCCTAACTCACCATACCCTGAATCTGCAGGCACCTTGATCTTGGACTTCCCTATGTCCAGAACAGTAAGAAATAAGTTGTTATAATAAATTACCTGGTCTCATATATTTTACTATAGCAGCACAAAGAGAATAACACAATTTGGTAACTACCATGGTCTCTATGAAAAATTTTGCCATGATTAATGGTGATGACATTGCAAGGTCAGGCAAGTCAGTTGATTCCTTGGGAGCTGCATTACTTAGTATTGACATGGGATGATTCCACCCAACCAGAAGCACAGTATGATAATTTTCTATTGTTTCTATGCAATACATCAAGGCTTTAAAACTTGCATACCGAAGGCAAGGAAGCAGTGAATGCTAGAATAGCACACTGAAATCTTACTTCATGTGAAAAATTAAAATAAGGATAAACAGGAAGAACCCAGGGAATTGATCTGAATTTCATTTTCCTTTTGCCTTTTATCCCAATTACAGGACCATTTCCAGGAGTGGCTGTCTCATGGAAAGCCCAGGAGTCTTTTGTTGTAATCAGGACAGGAAGCCTAATGCTTTAGGATGCTGTAATTACGTTTTCCATGAGTGTTTTCTCAGGGGACTGGCTTCAGAACTCAGAAAATTCTCCTCAAGGAAATGAAATTGTTCTGATTTAAAACTCATGGTTTCCACTGAAACTCGAGTGGTCTTTAGCTTCAGAAGTTTAGGACAGGAAGTGATGGGTAGAATTGAATAAACCTGAGGGTGAATGAAGTGGGAGATGCCATCTTTTAACTGTTACAAAGAGAGTCCAACTTGACCGCTTCCTATGTGTAGAAAGTTGGCATTATTGGAAAGTCTTCAGCATGGATGTCTGGTTAAGACAATGTAATCTAGATGTCAGCTGGGACATCTAGAGATCTAAAAAAATTATGATGCTGAGTTCTTCATCCATTTCTATTGCAGTGTAACAAACTATACCAAAATGTAGTGACTTAACACAACCACCATTTTATTTGCTCATGATTCTAAGGGTCAAGAATTCAAGCAGGCCTTACTGGTGACATTGGCCAGGTCACTCAGTCAACTGAGTTAAGTTAGTTCCTTAGAGGTCCAAGAAGGCTTTATTTACGTATTTATATGTTGTATTTTTGTGCTTCTCTTGTATCCTGTTTCTCTTCATATGTGTAGCTTGGACTTCCTCACAAAATGGTGGTCTCATGGTAGCATGATTTCTTATATGGTAGCTGGTTTCCAAGGAGAACTATTCTCAGTAGCGAAGTCAGAAGGCAGGGATCTCTTAAGGCCCAGCCTTAGATGTTATATGGCATCACTTCTGCTTCAGGTCATCCAGCCAGATTCAAGGGTATGGGAAACAGATCTCATTTCCTAATGGCAGAGTGGGAGAAGTAACATTGCAAAAACGCATGTAGAATGAGAAATATTGTTAGGGCCATCTTGGAAAAGATAATCTACCACACTTGCCTTATGAGAACCTAAAGCCATTCTCATTATTTCTCTGATTTCTTGCTGCAGAGCACTTCATGGGAATGACTGAAGGCTTAATTGCAACTGCACAGCAATTCCATGTCTCCCTCTGCTTCCCCAGCTTCCTCTATGAGATTGTGGCTGAGACCACTCCCTAGTAAACTTCCTGCACACAATTCTCCACCTCAGATTCTGTCTCTTGGGAATTAACCTAAGAAAAATGTTTTCGTGTATTTTTCCCTAGTGAGAGAACTGCTCTTCTGTCAGAGACATCTCTTTATTCTCTAGGAAGATAAGCACTAGGGTAGGCATGCAAAGGAGTCATTTTTGAATATCCAAATTAGAGTTTTTCAATCTATATCAGGATAATAATATTGAAATCCAGTATTTGTTGTGTGAGAGGAATTGTAAATTTCAAATTTTCTTTGCACATTTTATTTTTATATATGAAGAGACTAGCTGGATGTGATTCCAGATTTTAGAATTAATTTAAAGAGATAATGTAAACAGAATGCAAGGAGGATTCCATTCACACAGAAAAGAAAGTCAGAAAACAGTGTGACTCCCTCCTGGACCAAGACCCTGGAATGTGGTTAGTATCCCCAGAAAAAAATGGGACAGTCCCAGAGATAAGTGGCTTACTCCTTGCTTTTTTGGAAGACTAGAAAACTTCAAACTGTTTTGTAGATAATTGATTAGTAGCGGCTAAGGGAGAGATTTAGGTAAAGAAACAGACAAAAGTACTGCTCTCTGAGTCTGTCTTTGCTCTCATGCACAATAAAAGGTATCTGCATTTCCTGCAATCTCCCATAGGGAGCTCAGTGTTAGGCAAGCAGCAAGGCTGATATTGCAAGGGAGTGAAGTTGTCATTATTTCTTTATACATCTGAATAGTGGAATATAGTCATTCTATCGACAGATGCAATCTCTGCCTCAAGGTTTTTACAGCCTACTTATTCATATTTATAGTTAATTTCAATGTTTTAGGGCAATAGCTAAGCTAGAGATAGCCACTGTGTGCTAGTGGATCACAGAGGAAGAACATTTGTACATCACTGGGGACCCTGGTTGAAGATGGTAACTAAGTTGAGTTCTGAAAGATGAGTAAAAATAGCTAGAGATGGGTTGATAGGTGCAGCAAATCACCATGGCACACGTTTACCTATATATCAAATCTGCACATCCTGCACATGTATCCCGGAACTTAAAATTAAATTAAATTAACACTTTAAAAAATAGCTAGAGGAAAGAGAGCAAACCAGGAGCAGTGGCTCATGCCTGTAATCCCAGCACTTTGGGAGGCCGTGGCAGGAGAATTGCTTGAACCCAGGAGTCCGAGTCCAGCCTGGGCAATACAGTGAGATTCCATCTCTAAAAACAGAAAGAGAAAGAGAGAGAAGACATTTAATACACACAGGACAACTAAACAAAGGCACATTGGGAACAATAAACTAAGAGCCCAAACTGAAGTGGTAGCTTTGGATTTAGAGAAAGAAATAGTTCAATGGGGTATAAATAACACAATTTAGTGATTTGTTGAATTTGGAGAGCAAGAGAGAAGGAGGGGTCTAGGACAACCCAAGGTTTGTATTATTAAGAGAGATGGTAAATTTGTGAGAGTGTGTGTGTGTGTGTGTGTGTGTGTGTTAGCATAAGACTAAACAGCTTTAAAAAGATAACTGACAATAATCCAGTAGCTTACCTGAGATAGGCCTTTAAATACAGCTTCTTACACCTTAGTTCAAGGTCAGCATTCCAGGTTGGTGCGTAGCTCTGCTTCTTATTCAGTAACCCAGGTTCCTAGGTTGCTCTTCCATTCCTTAAAGCCTTGTCATCATCTGCATTGAGGCTGGGTTCCATAGATTCCAGATGTTGCAAAGAGGAAAGAAAATGAAACATGGAAGAAACAGGTCTGGACATCTTAAGTCTCAGAGCTGGAAATGGCACACACATTTTTTCACATTCCTTTGAGGAGAAATGAACGTGGTCACAACTAATGTCAAAAAAGACTGGGAAATTCTGTATGTCTGGGAACGTCTATGTCAACTTGCAATTCCATTTCTATGAAGGAAGAAGATAATGGATTTTGGTGGACGGTGAGCAGTCTCTGCTACAGTTAAGTAAATGAAGGTGGCTAAAGAGTTATATTTAAGAGCCATTGAACTGTGAGAGTAGATGAGATCACAAGAGTGTGTGTGCAGATCAGAGAAGAGAGCAAAGAAGGAAGCAGCAACATGTAGAAGAGGAGCTCATGAAAGAGATCACAAAGGACTGTGCACAGATATAGTAGTATAACCTTATCTTTTTTGCTTAGACATTTGTCATTCTTTTTGCCTGCCCAGCATCTAAGCCTTCTTCCTATGTTTGAAGAATTCCTCATCTCATACATTTTGGTAGGAGGAGAAGCCATCTCCTAATATAGAGGTTGAAGATGCTACGTATTTCTCTCCCAGCCTTCCTTGTATTGAGAGTGTGAGCATGTGATGTAGCTCTCTAATCAAATGCATCTGTAAGTTGCAAGCTAGTAACGTAGAGCATGGGAAACTCGAGAAACCTCTGGCAGCAGCAGTGGTTGCAGTGAGATGGAGTTTTCAGGACAGCCATGGCAGTCATGCTATGGCTGTGTCCAGAATCCAGTGCTAGTGATATTGGCAGTACAAACTGAAGTACTTAGTGCATATGTCAGTAATGATGATATTGGTGTTCCAAGCAGACCACTTCTGCTGGATTATTTTAAGTATTGTTTCTGCCTGCATAGCTTGTGAGCACCTTCTCCATCTTCCTCTGAGATTCTTAGATCAATGCAAGATTATTACAATAAATTCTTTTTTTCTTAAATAACCAGAATGTCTTTCTCCTGCAATTAAGAACTATGGCAATACATCTCTTAAAATGCACACTTTTGGTTTTTCCCTTCTATTTTAAGGGTCTTGTGAATACGTTTCAAAATATTGTCTAAGAAGAAAAGCATCTGCTTTTGAGAAAACGTAGAAGATCTAAATTTCTCGAGAAAAATATGGATGTGCATAATTTAGGCACTGGGACATAGGTTGTGGTAATAATCTATGGTTCGTTACAAAAACCCCTACCATAATCAGGCGGGCAAACCTAGAAATCATTATGATTTAGAAAATGTTCTAGGTTTTGTTTCCAGCAATACAAGGCTGGTGGTTTTGTTAAATTGCACGAACACTGGTTTAGATCTCAAGAGAAACTGTACATGTACTTTTAGCAGTGATTAAGTAATGGGAAGTGCAGAAGAAATGTTAAGCTATCAGTTCTTAATAATGCAAATTTCAAACACGATTTTAAATTTGTTTTCCAGGTCAGGTGACTCTTTTGTAAATTAACCTATTCTCATGGGAATCAGTTACACATGTTATATTATATTTCTAATATAAACCAGAAATCTGACAGCACTATTTTGCATTAGGGTTATTTTAAGTGACTTATTCTTTATGCCCCTTACTCCTTACCTTCTCCTAACCCTCTTTTCTGCCTCCTTTTACCAAGACCTTCCTAAGTGAACATCAACTTCTCTATTCCACATTCCCATCACTGGTCCTAGGTTATCCAACCATCTTTTCATTTTTTACTTAAAGAAATAAAAACATTTTGTGGGTTTGAGTGTACATTAAAATTTGCTTATCAAGGCAGTCTTAGCTTTGAGGTCAGGGGATTTTACTAAGCTTTGTTTTTGAGCAAAAAGATGAGGTACAACTAGGAAGAACTGTACTCATTAAACAAAAAAAATACTAAAAAATTTTTAAAAACTTTAATTTTTAGCTAGTGCTACCCTGTGTCTGTGAATTTCAGGGCTGGAATTTAGCCAACCCCTACTTCTCTTATATGGAAATCAGAATATTATTTTTCGGCTATAATGCTTAAGAGTGGAACTGGGCTGATGCCCCAGGGTGCTGAATCGGTATTTATTGTTGATTTAGGCTGCCTCCTTTCCTAGCAATGAGGTTGGGGTGGGGCTTCAGTCCACAGAACAACAGCCCTGAGAGAGTTTGAACCTGTCACACACACAGCTTTTGAAGCCCCACCCCCAAGCCACACCCCCATTTATTTTGTCCTCTAAACCTTGGAATGAGGTCAGAACATGTGGCAAACTTCAGAGCTGATACATAGAACTATGTTGTTTTGATTCTCTCCAGTCCACACCTCAGTTTTTTTCTTTACCTAGGCATTTCTGTTATCTTGAGAATTTACTGAAAAAATGGTTTCGATTCTTAACTGTCCCCCAAACTCCATTGATTTCCTAGTTATTTCTAATGTTTATTTTTATTACCTGAAGACACTTGGAAAGGGTTTTTAAAAGCAGAAATAGGCTCCCAGCAATTTGTTTCCACCCTGTTAAAGACCTTATTAAGTTTATCTCATTAATTTGCTGGCAAAATCAGAGCACAGACTCTGTAAAACTTATCAACACACCATACCAAAAAAAAACAAAAAACAAAAACCACCTAATAATAATGTGAGTTTCTTTAAAGAGCCATCCACAAGTAGATAAACTAGGGGAATAAGTTAATACCAACAGGGACTTAAGCCTTCTTCCTACCTCGGTGCTAGAATCTTGAGATAAGACTGATGGTCTGTTTTTTGTTCTTGAGTGGGTCAATGCTGAAGACATTGAAGAGTCACAATAATTCAGTATTGTTGGAATATCACGCAAGATAATGTTCTTAATAAAAGGAGAAATATAAAGATGAAGGAAAGTGAGTGAGAATGATAAGAAGAAAGGCACAATGAAGGAAAGTAAAACTAGGAGAAAAGAAGAGAGCAAAAAGGAACAGCAGCAGAAGGAAGGAGATGGGGAAGAGAAAGAAAGGAAAATGTTAAAAAGATGAGAACTGTGTTCTCGTATAGTTCCAGATGCTAATTTATCTTCTCACTAGCCCAGGCTGCCTTGCATAATCTCCAGAATGGAAAGAATTGGCCTCTTTTATGAAATAATCCCCAACTCTGTCTTCAGCCTGCCTTTGTGGTCTTAAGCAAATAAGGAGAAAATCAGCACAATTTGTTTGGGTCTTTGTCATTACTCATAGGAGAGTCTGGTTTAGAGACATGTAGGATCCACACAGTTATTTCAAATCAAAGTAATCTTATTTCTGAACTTTTGGATGTAGACTCTGCCAAAGCAGGGTTGAGTAACGTATCTGATTAATTGTAATGATCTGGCTCATTCAGACAAGAAAACTTGTATCTCCTACACATTAGACTGTTGTTTTGAGTGCAGTTTTTGGAAATATGTTGAACTGATGAGGAGGCAGGTAATAACGCTCCTACTTTCAGCCTCAGGCTTAGTAGCTGTGTAGGTTAGGGAAATTTACCTAACATACCTGGTTCAACTGAACATCCATAACATGATCAAGTTGAATTCATTCTGTTCAGCTTGAACATTATACAACGGAATGATTTAAGACCTTTCTTGAGACTCCTTACATATCTGATTTGTGAAGACACAGGTCATATGGAGATGAACACAGTAAGTATACAGTGTTCTAGAAAACGTGGGGGTTAAGAGCACAGGTTACAGAAGGCCTAATTTAAATCCCAACATTGTCACATAAACTTAGACAGGTTATTTATCCTATTTCACCTTAGTCCTTGAGCATTAAGATTTTTAAATGATTAAATATAGCTAATCCTAGTTCAAAATCAGTTGTCGAAAGGATGCAGATAACTTGACTTTTGTCTGACCTGCATACTTAAAAGATTACTTTTAAGTAAATACCCAAAGGAATAGATTACTGGGTAAATACCCAAAGGAATAGAAATCATTCCATTATAAAGATGCATACACTTGTATGTTCATTGCAGCACTCTTCACAATAGCAAAGACATGGAGTCAACCCAAATGACCATCAATGATAGACTGGATAAAGAAAATGTGGTACATATACACCATGGAATACTATGCAGCTGTAAAAGAGAAAGAGATCGTGTCTTTTGCAGGGACATGAATGGAACCCATAATCCTCAGCAAACTAACACAGGAAGAGAAAACCAAACACCGCCTATTCTAAGTGGGAGGTGAGCAATGAGAACACATGGACACAGGGAGGGAACGACACACACTGGAGCCTGTCGGGAGTAGTGGGGTGGGAGGGAGAGCATTGGGTAAATAGCTACTGTATGTGGGACTTAATACCTAGGTGATGGGCTGATACGTGCAGTAAAACACCATGGCAAACATTTACTTGTGTAACAAACCTACACGTCCTGCAAATGTATCCCGAAACTTAAAATAAAATAAAATTTAAAAAAATGGTTACCCTTGCTCTCTCTACTTTCTCCTTCCATTTCACTGTAACATGGAGCTTCCACCCCACTGCCACATGGTAGCTAAGGTAATTGCTGCCCTTGCCAGCATCATCCTTTATTTTATTATTGTGAAATTCAAGACAGAATTTCTTTGTCTTTGTGTTGTTTTTTTGTAGCATTTGCCAGTCTTCTTCTTTTTTAAAAATATTCTCTCAATTTCTGAAACACTATTCTTGTCAAGTTTTCTTCTGATCATTCCTTCTCTATTAGTTTTAGTCTCTCTTCTATAAATGTTCCCCTAAATGTTGGTATGTTTTAGAGTTCTTTCCAAGGACTCATCACTTTATGTACTCTCATTAGAATTCACTTGGTCTCTGGGCTCCAATAACTGTCTCCAGTCCACACTTTTTCCTGAATCCTTTGTCTATTGGGCAGCTGAACCTAGACACCTCACATCTTACAAACACAAATGTGAAACACTACTCATTATTTCCTATAAAAATGTGTACCTCTTTTAAATTCTTTTCCCAGTAAATTCTCCCAGAAGACAAAACAGAAACCTGAAATTCAGCTGTGACTTCACCTTCCCTACCTATCCCAGGACCTATATATTTCATCTCTTTAGAATGTGTAGGGTATGTTTACTCTCCATCTCTACTGCTATCATTTCTTTTTAGATTACTTCACCAGCCTCCTAAGTGACCTGTTTGTCTCCTCATTTTCCAACACATCTCCCATTTGAAAGATCATTCTTGCCTCAGACAAATCCGTTCTGTCAATCCCCTTTTGAGCATAGAAGATCCTCCTCCATGATTTGAACATTGACTCAGCCAACTCCTCCCTCAACAGTTGCTTCCTCTCCTACATTCCCCATTCCCACTCATCTGAACTACTTGGGGTCCTCGCCAATGAAGCATATTTTTGAATGTCACTTAGCTGAATGCCATTTAGCACCTTTGTCCCTCAATCTTGTGATTAACTCCAATTTATCTTTTGATGAGTTAAGGAATAATTTGCTCTGAGAAAACTCTACCCCAACTCTTTGCTGAGCTACTGAATTCCTGTTTGTCTTTTTTCACAGAACTTCTCACAAACTATATATTTATTTATTAATTTAAAATTTTCTCTTAGAGCCAGAGAGAAGGCCGTGTTACTACTCACTATAAAAGTAGTGGAATCCCTAAGTTTAGTCTTCCTCAGGTGAAATACAGTCTCACTATGTATATAGAATCCATCTGGATCCCTCCGAGGTGCAACTCTGGCAAGTACAGCAAGAGAAATCAAAGCAACTGTGCTAATGCTCATGCTCCTTGTGGTGTGAGTGATAAAATCCTTTCTGACATGCAAACCTTGTGTTTTCTATAAAGCATCTATGAAATCAGTAATCAGTTGACTTAGTAGATTGTAAGTAGGGCCAAGCCAAATCCCAGACCCAAATATTTTCTTTTTAATTTTCAATTTTATTTACATATTTATTTAAGAAAGGGTCTCACCCAGGCTGGAGTGCAATGGCGTAATCTCAGCTCACTGCGGCCTCGACCTCCTTGGCTCAAGCAATCTTGCCACCTCAGCCTCCCAAGTAGCTGAGACTATAGGCATGGGCCAACACACCTGGCTAATTTTGTGCATTTTTTGTAGAGTCAAGGTCTCACTATGTTGCCCAGGCTAGTCTCGAACTCCTAGATTCAAGCAATCCTCCCATCTCAGCCTCTCAAATTGATGGGATTATAGGCATCAGTCACTGTGCCCAACAAAACCAACTATCTTTTTTTAGGCAAAAGTTTTTAACTGTGAACTCAAATTATTTAATATCTGTATGACTACTCATGCTATTTTCTCTTTAGCGAGCACAGTCTCTGCCTTTCAGGGAATTTATTTATTTCATCTATGTTGTTGAATTTACCTAAACAAAATTGTTTATAATATTTTCTTGTTATCCTTTTATTTTCTGTAGAAAGTGAAGTGATGCTATCTATTTCTTTATCAAAACTGGTCATTTGTTCTCTCATTTCTCCCGATGACTAAAAGTAAACATTTACCAATTTGCTTTATCTTCTCAAAAAATTCAACTTTTTAAAAATTTCAATAGGTTTTTGGAAAACAGGTGGTGTTTGGTACATGGATAAGTTCTTTAGTGGTGATTTCTGAGATTTTGGTGCACTTGTCACCCAAGTAGTGTAAACTCTACCCAATGTGTAGTCTTTTATCCCTCACCCCCTCCCACCCTTTCTCCCAAGTCCCCAAAGTACATTGTATCATTCTTATGCCTTTGGGTCTTCACAGCTTAGCTCCCACTTATGAGAACAGGTGATGTTTGGTTTTCTCTTCCTGAATTACTTCACTTAGAATAATGGTCTCCAGTTCTATCCAGGTTGCTGCAAATGCCATTATTTCATTCTTTTTCGTGGCTGAGTAGTATGCCACGGTTATATATATACCACATTTTCTTTATTCTTTCATTGATTGATGGGCATTTGGGCTGGTTCCATACTTTTGCAGTTGCGAGTTGTGCTGCTATAAATGTGTGTGCAAGTACCTTTTGCATATAATGACTTCTTTTCCTCTGGGTAGATACCTAGTGGTGGGATTGCTGAATCAAATGGTAGATCTACTTTTAGTTTTTAAAGGAGTCTCCGCCGGGTGTGGTGGCTCACACCTGTTTTCCCAGCACTTTGGGAGGCCGAGGTAGGTAGATCACGAGGTCAGGAGATCAAGACCATCCTGGCCAACATGGTGAAACCCTGTCTCTACTAAAAATACAAAACTTAGCTGGGAGTGGTGGCACATGCCTGTAATCCTAGCTACTTGGGAGGCTGAGGCAGGAGAATCACTTGAACCAGGGCATCAGAGATTGCAGTGAGCCAAGACAGTGCCACTGCACTCCAGCCTGGCCACAGAGCGAGACTCTGTCAAAAAAATAAAAAATAAAATAAGGGAGTCTCCGTACTGTTTTCCATAGTACTTGTACTAGTTTACATTCTCACCAGCAGTATAAAAGTGTTCCCTTTTCACCACATCCATGCCCATCTATTATTTTCTTATTATGACCATTCTTTCAAGAGTGAGGTGGTATTGCATTGCAATTTTGATTTGCATTTCCATGATCATTAGTGATGTTGAGCATTTTTTCATATGTTTGTTAACCATTTGTATATCTTCTTTTGAGAATTATCCATTCCTGTCCTTAGCCCACTTTTTGATGGGATTGTTTGTTTTTTTCTTGCTGATTTGTTTGAGTTCCTTGTAGATTCTGGATATTAGTCCTTTGTCAGATGTATAGATTGTGAAGATTTTCTCCCACTCTGTGGGTTGTCTGTTTACTCTGCTGATTATTTCTTTTGCTGTCCGGAAGCTTTTTAGTTTAATTAAGTCCCATCTATTTTTGTTTTTGTTGCATTTGCTTTTGGGTTCTTGGTCACAAAGTCTTTGCCTAAGCCAGCGTCTAGAAAAGTTTTTCCAATGTTATCTTCTAGAATTTTTATGGTTTCAGCTCTTAGATTTAAGTCTTTGATCCATCTTGAGTTGATTTTTATACAAGGTGAGAGGTGAGGATCCAGCTTTATTCTTCTACGTGTGGGTTGCCAATTATCCTAGCACTACTTACTGAATAGTGTGTCCTTCCCCCACTTTATATTTTTCTTTGCTGTGTCAAAGCTTAGTTGGTTGTAACTATTTAGCTTTATTTCTGGGTTCTCTATTCTGTTCAATTGAGCTATGTGCCTATTTTTATACCAGTAACAAGTTGTTTTGGTGACTGTGGCCTTATGGTATAGTTTGAAGTTTGATAGTGTGATGCCTCCAGATTTATTCTTTTTGCTTAGTCTTGTTTGGCTATGCGGGCTTTGTTTTGCTTCCATATGAATTTTAGGATCGGTTTTTCTAATTCTGTGAAGAATGATGGTGGTATTTTGATGCAATTGCATTGAATTTGTAGATTGCTTTTGGCAGTGTGGTCATTTTCATCATATTGATTCTACCCATCCATAAGCATGGGATGTGTTTCCATTTGTTTGTGTCATTTATGATTTCTTTCAGCAGTGTTTTGTAGTTTTCCTTGTAGAGGTCTTTCACCTCCTTGGTAAAGTATATTCCTTAGTATTTTAATTTTTTGCAGCTATTGTAAAAGAGGTTGAGTTCTTGATTTTATTCTCAGCTTGGTCACTATCGGTGTATAGCAGTGCTACTGATTTGCATACATCGATTTTGTATCCTGAAACTTTACCAAATTCATTTATTAGATCTAGATTCTGGATGAGTCTTTAGGGTTTCCTAGACATACAATGATATCATCAGCGAACAGTGACAGTTTGACTTCCACTTTACCAATTCAGATGCCCTTTATTTCTTTTCTTGTGTGATTGCTCTGGCTAGGACTTCCAGTACTATGTTGAATAAAAGTGGTGAGAGTGGTCCTCCTTGGTGAGAGTGGGCATCCTAGTCTTGTTTCAGTTCTTGGGGGAAATACTTTCCACTTTTCCATGTTCAGTATAATGTTGGCTGTGGGTTTGTCATAGATGGTTTTTGTTACTTTAATGTATGTCCCTTCTATGTCAATTTTGCTGAGGGTGGTAATCATAAAGGGATGCTGGATTTTGTCAAATGCTTTTTCTGTGTCTATTGAGATGATTATGTGACTGTTATTTTTAATTCTGTTTATGTGGTGTATCACATTTATTGACTTCCATATGTTAAACCATCCCTGCATCCTGGGTAAGAAACCCATTTGATCATGGTGGATTACCTTTTTCATATGCTGTTGGATTTGGTTAGCTAGTATTTTGCTGAGGATTTTTGCTTCTGTGCTTTTCGGGGATACTGGTTTGTAGTTTTCTTTTTTTGTTATGTTCTTTCCTGGTTTTGGTATTAGGATGATTCTGGCTGCAGAGAATGATTTAGGGAGGATTCCCTCTTTCACTATCTTTTGAAATAGTTGTCAATAGCATTGGCACCAATTCTTTGAATGTCTGATAGAATTCAGCTTTGAATCCGTCTGGTCCTTGACATTATTTTTGTTGACAATTTTTTTTTTTTTTTACTATGGATTCAACCTTGCTACTTGGATTGGTCTGCTGAGTTTCTATTTCTTCCAGGTTTAATCTAGGTGCACTGCATATTTCCAGGAATGTATCCATCTCCTCTAGGTTTTCTAGTTTATGTGTGTGCAGGTGTCCATAGTAGCCTGAAATAATCTTTTGTATTTCTGTGATATGAGTTGTAATATCTCCTGTTTTGTTTCTAATTGAGCTTACGTGGATCTTCCCTCTTCTTTTCTTGGTTAATCTCACTAATGATCTATCAATTTCGTCTTTTCAAAGAACCAGCTTTCTGTTTGGTTTATCTTTTCTATTGTTTTTTGTTTGTTTCTTTCAATTTCATTTAGTTCTGCT
This sequence comes from Homo sapiens, assembly GCF_000001405.40. Lineage (NCBI taxonomy): Eukaryota > Metazoa > Chordata > Mammalia > Primates > Hominidae > Homo > Homo sapiens. The sequence goes on from NC_000005.10 coordinate 111,180,326, forward strand.
CCGATCTTTCTTATTTTCTTCTGCTGGATTTCAGTTTGATTTGTTTTTGTTTCCCTAGTTCTTTTGAGGTATGACCTTAGATTGTCTATTTGCACTCTTTCAGACTTTTTGATGTAGGCATTTAATGCTATGAACTTTCACCTTAGCACCATTTTTGCTGTATCGCAGAGGTTTTGATAGGTTGTGTCACTATTATCGTTCAGTTCAAAGAAAAAAATTCAACTTTTGTGCTTATTAATTTTCTCTCTTTTTGTTTTCTATTTCATTGATTTCCACCCTGATCTATATATTATAAGTTAATTTACATGAAAGGAGTTGGCTGCTTTTGAGGCTTGCTTTAAAGATCTCTCAGACTAGGCCGAAAGCAGGATTATTCTAGGGCTGATTTAGCCTCACTACTAAAGCAATAACCTTCTGATGACACTAACCAATGACCCATATATTGGAAAATCTTTCCATTCTGGTGGATGGAAACGAACACTAATTCTATCCTTTTTTATTTTTAACATGAAAATTGTTTTGCCTACTTTTTTTTCAGTGATTTATTACCCAGACTTAGGTAGTTTCCTCACATGCATGCATAGATCAATACTCAGCCGAAGATTCAAGTGGACCCCTCTAGAGATCTTAGAGGTCTCTTTCTGTGAAAGTCCTTTCTTCCTGTGTTTCCCCCAACAGATTCTAGCTGCTTTGGTTTTAAAATTCCAGCCCTTTCTCCTCAACTCAATATGATTGTGAGGGCTCTCTGTGTTCCCCCTCTGTGAATGGCACATTGGAAATGTTCTCTAGAATGAGGTGGATTACTTATTCTTTTGGATTCATTTTTCATATTTCTAAATACAAGAGATGTACTGCTTGCTTATAATTAAGGTGAAAAGGCTTCTGTTGTCCTTCCTTAAAGTTTAATTTATGCAACATTGTGTATGTATTATCACCCTGAATAAATAAATCAGTATTTCTCCGTTACTAAAATATAAAATTTTATATTCCTTAATTCCATGAAAGGCTATCAGCCCATGTACTAGGTCCCAGCTCTCAGACTGGTATAACTTAACAGTAATTTTCTTATGTACATGGCTCAATAAATCAGGGATAAATTCTGATATTTCAGGTATTAGGCACAGCATTCTTTGCCACTGAGATGTAAAGTCTTCCCGGAAATTCCCATGCAACTTCTCAGGAACTAGTTCTAATTGCTACCATCTCAACTGTGAGCAGGTTTGGGAAAGCAGTTCTGTTCTAAAGGCTAAAGTTCTTATTTGTCTCAAAGAACTCCCAACTCCAAATGTAGGGATAATTACATCCCCTATACATTTAATGTGCTTCAATTAAAATTATTTCATTACAAAAATTTACAAAGTTGCAATTTAAAAAATTTCATCTAGGGAAGGTGACGGTAGGAGCAAGGTAATTTATACAGCGTAAGCCCAACCAATCTCATGGCAATCGTGGGTAAGCATGGGTTCTGCAAATAAAATATGCGCCTTTAAGAATAGACTGGATTAAGAAAATGTGGCACATATACACCATGGAATACTATGCAGCCATAAAAAACGATGAGTTCATGTCCTTTGTAGGGACATGGATGAAATTGGAAATCATCATTCTCAGTAAACTATCGCAAGAACAAAAAACCAAACACTGCATATTCTCACTCATAGGTGGGAATTGAACAATGAGATCACATGGACACAGGAAGGGGAACATCACACTCTGGGGACTGTTGTGGGGTGGGGGGAGGGGGGAGGGATAGCATTGGGAGATATACCTAATGCTAGATGACGAGTTAGTGGGTGCAGCACACCAGCATGGCACGTGTGTACGTATGTAACTAACCTGCACAATGTGCACATGTACCCTAAAACTTAAAATATAATAATAAAAAATAAATAAAAAATAAAAAAATAAAAAAAAAGAACTTTAAAAAAAAAAAAAGAGTGTCATCTTTTCGGCCAGGAGCAGTGGCTCATGCCTGTAATCCTAGTACTTTGGGAGGCCAAGACAGGCGGATTGCATGAGCTCAGGAGTTCAAAACCAGCCTGGACAACACAGTGAAACCCCGTCTGTACTAAAAAATAAAAAAATAAAAAAAATTAGCCAGGCGTGGTGTCGGGCGTCTGTAGTCCCAGCTACTAGGGAGGCTGAGGCAGGAGAATGGTCTGAACCCGGGAGGCAGAGCTTGCAGTGAGCTGAGATGGTGCCACTGCACTCCAGCCTGGGCGACAGAGCAAGACTCCATCTACACACACACACAAAAAAAAAAAAAAAAAAAAAAAAGTCATCTTTTCTTTTCTAAAACTTCAACTTTTCCCCAAATCAAAGTGGCATTAGAATTTACAAAGTTCACAATTTAGCACAGGTTAAGTTAGAGCTACAAGTGCTTATTCCAGTAACACAGTGTCATTGTTGACACAGAGCCTTGACCTGCATATGCCAGTTGCTAAAAGATGGATACATCCATCTTGTCTCACTAATGTGAGAAGGAAAAGTATCAATTGTATAAGGTTTACACAGCAAGAGCCACCCAACGCTTCCAAGTACTTCCTTAGTTGAGAGGCGCTGGTACCACAAAGGCTTTTCCATCACTATTCTGAGATGTATGTCATTAGATCCAACTTTGGAACTGTAAGCATTCTGCATAGATTTTTTTGACAGCCCAAAGAGTGTATCGTTACTTTTTTTTTTTTTTTTTGAGACTGGAGCACCAGTAAAAAGGAGTATAGTAAAGCACTAGGTACAAGTCCATCGTTTTCTATATTTTTTCAACATTGAATAATTTTTCAATGCGTAACAGATCCTCATGATTCAAAAATGAAAACAACACAAAAAGGTATATGTTGAAAATTACTGCTCCCCCCTCATCCCCCAATCACTTTCACTCTTCCCCCTTCTCTCTTACTAATTTCTTGTGTTAACTTTTCAGTTGTTTTTAATGCAAACACAGCAATTTTAAGTATGCATTTTTTCTTTTTAATACAAATGTTAGCATAACATATAGCATACTATGAACTTTGCTTTTTGACTTCATAATATAGTCTTGAGATATTTTCACCTGAATATTGATATAGTATTGAGTAGTATTTTTTTATTTTTTAGAGACGGAGTCTTGCTATGTTGTCCCAGTCTGGCCTTGAACTCCTGGTCTTAAGTGATCCTCCCACCTCAGCCTCCTCAATAGCTGGGACTACAGGTGCACACCACTGCACCCAGTTTTGAACAGTGTTACTTTTTATGTGAACATATCATATTTTAGTTAACCAGTCCACTCCTGATGTACACCTGGGTTGTTTCCTATCTTTTGCTATAATAAGCAATGCAGCAATAAAAAATCTTACACGTACTTTATTTGGTATGTGTTCTAGTTTAGCTGTAGGATAAATTTCCAGAAGTGTGTCTACTAGGTCAAAAGGCAAATGCATTTATAACTTTGACAAATAGTCATATTTCTTTGTAAAGTGTTTGTACAATTTCTTACTCTTACAAATAGATTGGCTTTGCTCATAGCTTTGTCATCAGTATGTTGTCAAATTTGTATTTTTTACAACATAATAAAGAAGTCATATTTTAATGTAGTTCCAATATACATTGCCCAATTTATTAGTCAGCTTAAATAATTTTATATGCATAATAATAAATTATGTTTATTTCTGTGAACTCAATTTTTTTACCTGCTTTTCTGTAAATTTATTGACCTTTTCTTATTTATATTAAGAAATATTTATAATTAGACAGATTGGCTCTTTTAACATAAGTCACAAATATTTATTCTCAGAAAGTCATTTATGTGGGGTTTTACTTATGGTATATATTTACCAGGCAAGAGGTTGTTTCTTTTTAATTTAGTTGTTCTTCTATAGTTTCTGAGTGTTAAGTCCTAGAAAGTCCTTTCCAAATCCAAGGTTATAAAGGAATTCTTCCATCTACTTTATACATATATCTGTACACATATATATTTACATACATTTATATATATACATATATTATGTATATGCATGCATATGTATATGTATGTATATGTACATGTATGCATATGTATACGTACATATTATATATACATATATTTATATATGCATATACACATATATTTATATATTTATACTATATTTATATAATTATATATTTATATTTATATTTATATATTATATAAAATATATAATATATAAATATATTTTTATATATTTATATTATATTATGTATATATAAATATATTTATATGCATATATTTACATACATTTACATACACATATACATATATGTATGTGTGTATACATATATATATATATGTTTTTATATATATGAGGGAGTCTTGCTATGTTATCCATGCTGGAATACTGTGGTTATTCATGGACACTATATATGTACATAGATATATATAGATATATATACACACACACACATATATATATATATAAAATATATAATATATATTTTTTTTTTGAGAGGAAGTCTTTCTATGTTATCCATGCTGGAGTGCTGTGGTTATTCATGGGCACAATGATCACACACTACAGTCTTGAACTCCTGGGCTCATCCTCCTTCATCCTCTTCATCCTCCAGACTGGCTGGGATTACAGGTTTGGACCACCACAGGCATCTCACGTACTTTTATTTTTGTTTTACACTTACATATTTGATTTATCTGAAATTTACTCTGGTGCTTAGTTTGAGGCATGGATCTTATTTTATCTTTTCCAGATGGCTCCCAATTGCCCAAGCACCATGTATTAGACAGTCTAACTTTTTTGACTTTTTGATATATAACCTTTATGACATATTAAATCTAAGCATGAATGTAGCTCTATTTCTGAACATTTTATTTTGTTCTATCAACAGAGGAGAAAGTGGGAAGCAATATGAGATAACTACTAATATATCTGAAACTATGCTAAATTTATTACTTGTTATGGAACAGAGAAATATGTTCTTAGGAGACGGTCTTTCTGAATAAAACAAAAAGCTAACCGTATAGAGTTTGGGGAAATATGAAGGTTAAGAATTGGCTAATTTTCAAAACTGAGAAATTTTTAAGGATTGGCTGACACTTAGCATGGAGTTTAGAGAACAAGTGACTTTCAGAGTGGGTTTACTGAACCAGAGGTGTGATTGATTGATTGACTGATTGGAGATGATTTAAATCAGTGCTGTGGTTATTTATTTACACAGTACTACAGACTAGGAACAAGCAAATTTGGAATGTAGGAAGTTTGTCTCCTCTGTTCCATTTTCTGTTCATCTATTCATGTTATGTCCTTATTCCAACCAAGCCCATCATGTTATACAACCATAAGTCTCGTGGGTCTATTCATGAAAATTTCATGAGTGAGGTAATTTCATAATCACATGAGCCACGGATAGTATGTCTGGTTCCTTAAAAACTTTGGTGAATTTATTTTTAACAGTTCTGTTTTCACCTTCTATTTTCCCCATTGATTCTGGGTAGTATGGGCAGAATTAGGTATTGCCGAATCTTTAGGGCTTTACAGATTCACTTAAAATATAGTTTATAAAATATGTGCCTTGGTTCTGTTCATAGGTGAGACTATTACAAACCTAGAAATGAAGTCATGTAAATATGTCTTGCTGCCAATTATTTTGCCAGTTTTTGCACAAAAATATGCACCTATCAATCCTGAAACGGTACTATATACAATCACTAAAATATTTTAATGGAATAAATACTTTTTTTTTTTTTTTTGAGATGGCATTTCACTGTTATTGTCCAGGCTGGAATGCAGTGGCACGACCTCGGCTTACTGCAACCTCCGCCTCCTGGGTTCAAGTGATTCTCCTGCCTCAGCCTCCTGGGTAGCTGGGATTACAGGTGCCCGCCACCACACCCAGCTAATTTTTGTATTTTTAGTAGAGATGGGGTTTCACCATGTTGTCCAGGCTGGTCTCGAACTCTTGACCTCTGCTGATCCACCTGCCTCCCAAAGTGCTGGGATTACAGGTGTGAGCCATCACACTAGCAGAATCAGTACTTTTCACCTGAAAAAGATCAAGCTAAAAAATATATATATATACACACACACACATATATACACACATATATATGTGTGTATATATATATACACATATATACATATATGTGTGTACATATATGTGTGTGTATATATATATACACATATGTACATATATGTGTACATATATATGTGTATGTGTGTGTGTGTGTGTGTGTATAGTGTCTCTAATGGAGAGAATGTTATCTTTTGTCTTGTCCAACTTTTCTTACTCTGTAGTCTTGACAATTGAACAGGGAACTCTGTTCAATGGGAATTGACCAATATGGGACTCTTCGGAGTAATCTTAAGTTTATGATATTTCAGGTTTGCTGTTATGTACTACTCATTCATCTGGGTTTCATCTTTATAAATTTTATCTCTATGTCTACTTCTGTTACATTTTTATGTAGGTTAATGTGTTTTAAAATTATTTAATTTTATTTTATGTTTTACTGTCAATTTATGGAGTTTTATATGACAGCAACGATAAATGCATGTGTTTACATACATTTTTCCACTAGAAATCTTCCCATAGTACTGTAATTATTACTTTATCTGTCTCAGACTAATTAAAAATCCTCTGAAAGAATACCTATGACTTATTCATTTTTGTATAATTAAAACAATAGTAAAATATGAAGAATAAAACAATAATATAGTGATAATAAAATTTAGACAATGAAATAGTAATAAAATTTAGCCCAAGGTAAACCACCATAGGTTCTCACTAGATTATTATTATTTTAATTAACTTGTATACTGCAAAATACAGGCACAGCTGAGAGAAGGAACTTTTTAAAGGCTGCAGTGATAGGAAATCTTCTACCAGAGTGTGTTGTGCTTTAATTAAATTGTTTGGATCTGACAGGGGGGTGAAAGTTTTTCTGTTCAGTTCTCATTATCCATTTTAATCCACTTATTCTCAATATAAGCAACTTGCTTAGATTTGAAATAAGATTAAATCTTACCCAGAAAAAAAACAGAACACGGCAACAGAGTGAATTGCTGTCATTTTATGTCAAGTAAAATAAATTTCATTTCATGATGATATGTGGTACACTATAATAAATTCTCAACCCTGTTACTGCCTGTTTTCCCAGGAAAAAACATAAACATTCCATTCCAAGAACTGCTTTCTATCCACAAAAAGTTGTTCATGAAATAATTACCTCTTCCTCTCCTCAAAATCATTGGATTGATAAAGTTTCCCTACAGAAGCCTTACATCCATTCGTTGCAATGTTCTTTGCATTGGCCTTCATTCAATAGAGAAAATGAGAGAACCAAATTTATCATAAATGGAGCATTCTTATGTACATTTATACTGACATTTATTGACTCACAGAAGAGAATCCATTTGATGTTAAGAATAAAATAACTGACCATATTTTCATTTTACCACTCAATCCAAAAACAATAGTTAGCAATGCTAGGAAAGTGGATATTACAGCTGTCATAAAGATAAAAATTTTAATACTGACTGCTGATAAAACTCTAAAATTAACATTTCTTCCATCCCTCTGTCTTTCCTTCATTCCTTCTCCCTCTCACACATTGCCTTGAAGGAGTAATACTTGATAGATAGTAAAAAAATTAAAGTACAAAGGTATATGGTAAAAACAGGTTGATGGCTCATCACCAGTCTCTTGTCTCTCTCCCCATAGGCACCTGCTGGGGAACAGCCAATTTAATGTGAATCATTCTAGATATAGTCTATGCTATACATGTGTATATACACAGATGTTAAATTTTTAATTTTTCTCAAAGGTTTGCATATCACACATACTTTTTGAACCTTCATTATCACATCATAATATACATAGGAGAGTTTCTGTTTAGGAATATTTATGTTTAACAGCTGTGACTGCCATTGCGTAGATGTGGCAGCACTGAACATATATCCTACTGGTGAAAATTTAGGTGGTTTTTACTTTTATGTTACTACAAACATGTGGTAATATATACTCTAGTATATATTCTTCATACATAAGGGATAAATATCTGCAGAATAAATTCCCAAATATGTAATTGCTGGGGAATGAAGTATGTATACTTACCATTTTGAGAGACATTTCTAATTTGCAAGTTTATAATCCCACTGAATGTATGGATGGTCTGGGTTCTCCATACCACATATGTTATCAAATTTTCATGCGGTGTTTGGTTTTTTGTTCTTGCGATAGTTTACTGAGAATGATGGACCAGCATGGCACATGTATACATATGTAACTAACCTGCACAATGTGCACATGTACCCTAAAACTTAAAGTATAATAAAAAAAAAAGCTACCAAAAAAAAAATTTTCATTTTTTCTGTCCTGATTGAAAAATCTGGACTCTTTTAGTTTTATTTTGCATTTATCTATTATAAATAAGGTCCAGCATTCTTTCATTATTATAAGTGCCATTTCGATTTGACTTTTTATATTCTTTGCCTACTTCTCTATTGGACGGTTGATTGGTACAAGTTTATTATATTAATGACATTAGTTCTTATTATCTTTTGTGCTGCAACTATTTTTTCCTAATTTTTAGTTATTGTTTGAACCAATTTATGTTAAAATTTTTGTTTTTAGGAAGCCAAATATATCTTATTTTAATTGCTTCTGGTTTCTGTTTGATTGTTCAGAGAGAGAATAAGAGTTCAAAATGTTTCTCTTATTTTCTTTTAGCAATCTTTAGTAACCTCAACTACCTTTTAAAATCCACGTTACACAAAAAATGCTTTACCTGGGATGTATTTGGCTCTAAAAAGCGAAGTATGAGTTCAACTGTCACTATATCTATAATTTACTTTGAAGTTTTTTTTTTTTGCACATATAGTATGATACCATGTGTGTTACTTAGCTTATGCTATATTGCAGATGAGCTAGTGTTACATCAGAAAACAAGTACTCCTGAGGAGCAACCACAGGCTCTTCTGTTATCCCAATCTCCATCAAGCCATGCTTTTCTAATTAGTATATTGGACATCAGAAATTGTTTTCTATTGATAAAAATTCTATTGAAAATTGTTACCTGCTCACTAGCTTGATGAAAATTAGAAATACAATCTTATTGATGAAATTAAAGGTCTTTAAGATACATAGATAGGTCAAAAAAATTTCGAGTCACTCTCTACTCATGCATGAACAGGATTTAAGAATACATTGAGGCCATACTTTGCACCTTTAGGGATGGAGCTAGAGCCTTGAATCTTGAAACAGTTCCGGATCCAGCCATTGGTTTAAAAGATTGGTTGATGCTGATTATATGATGCTGTTGATTATATGAGTAACAAAATCTTTTCTCATGAATGTTGTCAGGTCTACCTCATGTGCATCTTTTAAGGAAGTTAGTGGTTAGAGCACCTCAAACTTTAGTCAACTGGACTTCATCAAGTTTACAGAGCAGGTCATGGATTGTTTTGTGCTGTTTGCTGTTGATTGTTTAATCAGTGTTTATATGTGGAAATTTGCTTGCTTTCTAACCAAAGGAATACCTGACTTTGTCCATCTCCTCAAGGGTTTTCAGTGGCTACTGTTATATATCCAAACTTAGCTGTACATACTCAATAAGCTTGAGTCAGCTGGTCACAACTTAATTCATTACTGATAGTCGTTTTCTTGCTCTAATCTCATCTGCTAAGTAATTCATATTTCCCTGCTGATTTGAAGGGCCATATTTATCATATAATAAATTCCCATAGACATTTGAGTCTGTTTCTGGATTCTGCATTCTGTTTACTCAATCTATGCTAGCATCAATTTTTTAATTTATATTTTAGCTTATTTTTGAGAATTTTTTGAGTTATTTAGTACAACTTTATTTTTTCATGTAAACAAAGAATATTGTCTCCCCCAACCCCTACCATAAAAAAATCCATTGACATTCTATCTATCTATCTATCTATCTATCTATCTATCTATCTATCCATTTATCACTTGTATAGTGCTTACCACACACTAAGTCTTAACTCATTTTCATAACAACTCCATAAGGTAGGTTTTATTATTACCCTTATATTATAGGTGAGCCACAGAGAGGTGAAGTAATTTAGTTGTGAACATGCTAAATTTACAAGCTAATATAGAAGTCCTTATAATTTTTAGTCTTCTTAACCAAAAACACGTAGGTATTTCCACTTACAAAAGTTTTCTCTTAATTTTTCAGTAAGCTTTATGGTTTTCTTCCTATAGATTGTATACACTTCTAAAGTTCATTCTTTAGTGGTAACTGCAATTTTTTCATCCATTATATTCTATAACGGACTGTTGCTTACATATGTAAGTCCAAAACCAAAAGGCGACTGCTTTTTCAGTGTTAGTTTCATATCCACTTAGAGGATTACACTCTCTTATTATGGTTTCTTGAAGTACAATGTTATTATCCAGAAATAATATTTTTGCTTTCTTCTTTCCATTGTTTATACCTTGTCTTTCTGGTGGCTAATTAGGTCAGCTAGCACATCCAAAACTATATTAAATGTTCTTTGAGTAGGAAATCTCACAGCATGATTTTAGCTTGTTTTGAAAGCTCTTTAAGAAGAATACTCGTAGATATTTGAAGGTCTTCTCACTACATTCTGTATAACCCAATTGCATGGATTTTTGTTTTGTTTGTTTGTTTGCTTGTTTTAGGATTGTAACTCCAGAACCTAGTTTAGCCTTTGGGGCATACATACATGCTGACCAAATGTTTATTGAATGCAGAAGTCAGTGAATGGATAAATAAATGGCATAGTTATCTAAGGAAAGTATTTACTGGCGCATTTTTATTAATCTTCCTGAGTACTTTTCTTATTAAGCTGTTTCCTTTGTGTCAGACTTTTTGCCCTCAATGTTCTTTTGCTTTTACAGTTTTTATGTTTTTCCTGCTGTCTGGAATCTAACAGTGTATTTTCCAAAGACCTCACTAACCTGAACCTGTTCTGCCTATCCAAACCTAATTTGTACCATTCTCCTAAATGTTTACTTTTCTCTGTGAGGCCAGTCTCTACTGTCCCATACAAAACACAGTAGGCTCATTCTCATTTTAATGTCTTCAATCTGGGTTCCCTTTCTGGCTTCCCATTATTCTCCACATCGCTATGAATAGCCTAATTCTACCCCCTCTTCATATTCTTAAGTTCAATGGCCATCTCTCTCATAAACGTTCTCAATTTTCCCAGCATTTATTCTCATGCCTTTTTCGAAACACCTACAACATTTGTGGTCAATACTGAATACCCTAGTAGATAATTATATACTGTTTTGTATTGCTGTCAGTGATTCATGACTGTTCATCTTACTACCCAAGGTAAATTCTTGAGGACAGTGATCTTAGGCTGTCCAGTATCCCCCCGCCAGCATCTTGCACAATGATGACCACAGAGGAGAGTGGAGGTTGCATACTGGTGCCCATAAATAGATAAATAACACCCATAACCTTGATTTACTTGGCTGAAAATATCTCTTGAAAAATTGAACAGGAATGCCTTAGGCTGTACTTGTTTTCTTCTCGTCATCACATCTTCTCTATCTCTATCTTATTTAAGCTTCATTTACACACTTATGTTACCTGCATGGCCCTGTAGACAAGTTTGTTTGTGATACTCCAGGGTTTCAGCATTCATTGGCTGAAAATACCTCTGTAAATTTTTAGAATGATAATTCAGACCATCTCATAAGAACCTGTGATATCATTCTCATAATTTATATGTCAAACATGTCAAAAGCCTATTCAAATGAACAAAAACTATAAAATATATGAAAATCAAAATATACCAAAATAACACCTAGCTGAGTACACAGTGTTAACAATTTATCCTAAGAGAAAAATTATGGAATATCTAATTGTAGAGCAAGATATGTATACACATATATATATATATTTTTTTTCAAATAGCACTTTTTATTTGCCACTATTTGAAGTCTGAACTTTAAACAGATTCTTGGACTGGTGGTTCATATCCATCAGCTCGTTCAACTTTAGCACTTGTCTCATCCCCAGTGGCTCTTCCAGAACTACTGCCTTCACCATGAAGCTCCATGAGCTTTCCCAATTCAAACTTGGGCTTCTTCAGCATTTTTACTTTTCTAACGAAGACATCATGGAGAGGATAAATAGGTTGGCAAGCCTTTTCTATGTCTTTTCCAATGCTGTCTGGAATCAATTTATTGACCACTGTAATTTGTCTGCACCTCTGGGTCTTTCAAGTCATTTGTCTGCACCTCTGGGGTCATGATTTCCATCATCTTCTTCCGGATTTGGCGGACCTGTTGGTGCTGAGCATAAGAGGTCTTCCGTATCTGATTGTTGCGTTTTTTAGTAAAACCAACACAGAACAGATGAAGCAAGTAACCATCGGTAGTCCTGACATCAACATGAGCTTCAATCATTGTCTGCCATTTTTTGACCATGGAACACATTTTATCACGGGTAAGATCCATGCCATGGAAGTTGCTCAGGCAGTTTTTGCCCTGAACATCTTCAGTAATCAGCTTGAATTTTCTAAATGCAACTTCATCATTCTGCAAATCAGCAAGACTCACTTCAAACACACGACCCTTGAGACCATCAGATGCAATTTTGGTTCCTTGGGTCCTGGTGACGAGCGTCTTTCCAATATTTCTTATACTGAACATAGCAGATGCTTTCACATCATACCAATCTTTCTTAGAAAATTGATCAACCACTTTCTTCTTGGCTCCCTTTTTGCCGCCTTTCGTAAGGCACTTGTTCTTGCCAACTGCCATGGTGCTGGTCAGAGAGCCAAAAAGGTGATATATTTTTATTTATTGATGAGGAGATATTCAAAAGGTATGAGGTTAAAAAAGTGAGGTTTCAAATGTGCAAGAAAATCTCACTTTTATTAAAAAATTTTATGTATATGTAAAAGACTGTTAAACAAACTAAGCATAATTATATTTAGATAGTTGAATTATAGGTGATTTTAGTTTTCCTATATTTTTATGAAATGTTATTTTATCATGAATAAAATACAATGAGATGACACACAAAAAATTTGTCAAGTCTACTTCATGAGAAGGATGTTACTTATAAAAAGATATATATTTGTCAAACCAAAACAAAATGGCCTCCTTATTGAAGAGATAAAAAAAATCCATATAAAATAAAACTTACTGTCATTTATTAATTATAGGAAAATTTAGCCTTCCTAATAACAACAAATAATAGGTATTAATGAAAATGAATAATGTTCAACTATAAATTCATTAGATCTAAATACAGTATTTATTCTTTCATTTGACAGAGAGGAAGAGCATTCTAAAGTGCTTTTCTCATTTATTTTATAGTTTTTGTTCATTTGAATAGGCTTTTGATATATTTGACTTACATAAATTATGGGAATGATGTCACAGTTCTTATGAGATGGTGTCAATTATCATTCCAATAATCTTACCCACCTCCTACCAATACAAAAAAGTACCAGAATTAAGAGACATAATAAAAATGTTTGATGGCATCCTCTTTCCCTTTTTTTTTCCTGGGATTTAATTTCATTGCATGAACTTTTATTTATACTATGATCTGGAGCAGAGTATGTAGAAGAGGGCAGGCTAGAATATAGACCAACATAGTGATCCTCTATGAAAGATTTTTGTTGAATTTACTTAAAAGCAAATTGTAAAACATTTTAAAAACTGGGGAACAGATATTTTAAAATAAGTAACTTACATTTTTACTTCTATAGAGCTGAGCAAAGGAATCAGGATGTAAAAGAAAAAAATTAAAATTAATATTATTATTTAAGACTATAAGCAATAGTTTAAATGTTAAAATAGATATCTGGAAAATATATACTTTAAATCTCACTTTAAACTTTTACTACTCTTGCCTTCCTCCTGCACCTCCAAGACAATCCAGCCAGAATCTGCTAGTTGGCTTTTTGCTGAAGCCATCAACCCACCAAGTAGGTGAGATCATTCCTCTGACCCCACTTCTTTCATGCTCCTTCCCCCTCCCAGAGGCAATACTAGATAGAACAGAGACCTGCTAAAACCACTCTCTTTCCTCCCTTTATCTTTTCCTTCTTTTTCTCTCCTCAGGAAGTAAAAAGGCATGGGATTTTCGAAACTTGCATCTCATCCATTAACAATACTAAAGGAGAAAGGAGTAAGAAGATTTTTCCTTAAGGCAGCAGCCTGGCTTACAAGATTAGTTTCCTAACATCATTTCCTATTTTTGAAAGGCAGATGCCAAATATTACCTTATTTTTTCTGGGAAAACGAAAAAAGACTATGCAATTTTATTGGAAGTTCAGATTTATTAATACTTACATCTTTTAGCTTATGTTTTCTATTTACCATGGCTTTTCTTTTTATTAATTGCCTCATATTAGCATAATTTAGTTTTCATTATTTTACTTTTTCCTCCTCTAGAGATGTGAATGTTGTGTATTCTATTTTTATTCTTTTAATATTTTAATATTTCAGATATATATTTGTAATATATTTGTTTTTTTAAGTTTCAAATTAATCAATAATTCTACCTACCTCCTATCAATACAAAACAAAATATTTTAAGTCTAATCGTTTCTTTACAATCTTCTGAGGATGTGCTTTCACATCCTCATTGAAATTTGCTATTTTCTCTCTTTTTCATTTTAGCCAATTTGGTGGATGTATAGTGGTGTTGCATTATGGTTTAAATTTAAATTTGCATTACCCTGATTGTTACTGAAGTGGAGCCCATTTTATATGTTTATTGATTATTTGAATATCCTCTTTCAGAAAGTATCTGTTTGTCTTTTATCTATATTTCTCTTCGGCTGGCTGCATTTTTCTTACTGGTTGGTAGGAGTTGTATATATTACCAGATATGAGTCATCCCCAATCTATGACCTGTTTTTTTGTAGTATGCACAAACGTGATATATTTTTAATATAATCCAATGTATCTATTTCTTCCTTTGACTTTTTGTCCCAGTTTAATAAATATTTGCTTACTTCACAGACTTGAAGATATTCTTCCATGTTTTTGTCTACAGGCTTTCTTTTGTTACCTTTTACTTTTAAATTTGCAATTCATCTGAAAGTGATTCCTGTGTATGGTGTGAGGTACAGGTCAAGATATATCACTTTTAATATGAATATCCAATTGACTAAATTATTTTTATGGAAAACACTTCAGTGTCATCTTTGCCAGAGAGTAAGTATGATTTTTTGCAATGTCCATTATATTCCACTGGTCAATTTGCTAATCTGTGTGCCAATACTACTTTTGTCTTAAGTAATATACCTTTTAATAGATATTAATATCTGGTTTTGTAATATCTCTAGTTTCATTCTTTAAAATTGCTGTGACTGTATTTAGCTCTTTGTACCTCTATGTGAATTTTGAAACCAGCTTGTCAGGTTTTTTTTTTTTTGAAAATAAATAAATAAAATACTTCCTAATATTTTGACTGGGACAGAACTAAATGTATATACTAATTTAAGAAGAATTGACATCAACATCTTTTCACCATGGAGTTTTCCAATCCATATGCATGGTTTATTACTCTTGTCATGCATTTCTTTTTTCTTTTTGAGACAGGGTCTTGCTCTGTTGCCCAGGCTGTGAATATGGCTGACTGCAGCCTTGACCTCCTGGGTTCAAGAAATCTTCTACCTCAGCTTCCCAAGTAGCTGGGACCACAGGTGCATACCACCATGCCCAGCTAATTTTTTAAAATTATTTTTGTAGAGATGAGGCCTTGCCATGTTGTCCAGGCTGGTCTTGAAATCCTGGACTCAAGTGATCCTCCTGCCTCAGCCTCCCAAAGTGCTAGGATTATATTTTATAGTTTTGAGCATAGAAATTCTTCCTACTATCTAATAAATGTATTCCTAGATGTTTGCTGAATTTTGATAATATCGTAAATGGTGCTATTTTGTTTTTCATTTTTGTTGCCGATATTTAGAAATAGAATTAAATCTTGTACATTGGTGTTGTATCTGGCAACCTTCATATACTGATTTACCGGTTGTCTTGTGATGAGAATTAAATGAGATGGTGCCTGTAAACCACATAGCATTGTGCCTAGGAAGAGCAAGGGCTCAAAAAGTGTTAGGGTATTATAAGAAGAGATTTGTTAATTAGATTGAGGGTTAGTTACTGGGGTCCTTTCCAACTCTGAGACTTTATTATTCCATCATTGGATTAGACTATGATCATAATTTATACTCTCCTAGTAGTATGCATCATAAACCACTGCTAAGGACATAATTCTGTGTGAAGAGAGAATTGTGAAGATTGTAGGTTATATTCTTTCTGAAAAAATTATAATATTTTAGGGAAAGAAATCAAGTTTGAATCTTACCAATGGTAAGATTAAGCAAGTAATATCAATGACAACGTAGTTGATGTTAATGGCAGTATAACAAAGCTTAATTATTGGTATCCGATTAATTAGCCATGTGATTTTAGTGGAAATTACTCATGCTTTTACATCCTCAGTCCCATTCATTATAATAATACCTGACTCAAAAATTTGTAATGAGGATTTTCTCTGTAATGAGCATGACAGTATCTGGCACAAGGCAGGTATTACAAAAATACTGACATTATTTATTCCAAGTATGTAGCTTGACAGAAAAACATATATGCATATATTTTAGAGCCAAAGTTGGAAATCAAACACTTCTATATTTACATTTATAAAGACTGTTTTCTAATTCGATCAAAATTATGTTATTTCATACTATAATTTTATAATATTCTTTTCATAAGTAGTACTAATATTTGAAAAAAATCACATTTGGAGAAAACCTTGGAGATTAATTGATAAGCAAAGACTGATTATAAGGCTGTAATTTCATCAATGAATTCTTACACTGTGTCATAAGCAAAGGCATTAAATAGTTTAGTGTATCATTGGCAACTTGAATAAAATTATGACATAAGTAATCCATTATTTGTTTTAAGGCAAGAAAAAATCACTTTTTAGAAACTGATTAATGTGATATTAACAAAAAGTTCAACTGCAAATATAGTAACAATTAGGATTATTATATGTAATTATATAATACTTGTTATAATTATTTTAATAATTATATGATTGTTACAATTATTTTAATAATTATATAATTGTTATAATTATTATAACAATTTTTTCCCTTTTGAAGGAATTGCATTTGGTATAATATAGAAATAATGAAGACTTAAAATATTAGTTAAAATTGTGTAGTATGCATATCCATTAAGACGTAAACGAGTAGTTCCTGATACTTTCTGTTTATTAGTTTTTATTTCTTAGCTTCAAGCCCACTCTTCTCTATGATCCTGGAACTGGAACTCTGGACTCTGTGTTTCTTCACCACCTGGCTTCCTGCCAAACTGGGGCTCCGGAGGCAGAATGCAAAACCAGAGGCAGAAAAGATTCTCTCCTTCCAGTTTTGTGTCCTGCTCCTGCAGTGTCACCACAGCAATTCTTCACCTTGGCAGCAGCAGTTTATTTCTTACACTCCCAGAGCCAGGCTCATTTGCCTCCTTAGAAATAGCAGCACCAGCTTGCAAGTGCCCCCTCAGTGGCCTTCCTGAGACTTCTGAGTCTCAGCTATGCAGGATCCCTCTTCCACACTCCTGAGATACCAGAACCAGCTAGTCAGTTTCAATAACCTTAAGCTTTCCCTTCGTTCTTCCAGCCCTAAAGATAGCAGCTGACTCTTAGAATTTCTGTATCTGTTACTTCAGTGTTTCCCTTTGCATTCTCCAATAATTCCTTAACCAATTCCTTAAATGAAATTTACTCTGTTAAAATAACTACGGTTTCTGTTTTCATGACTGGACCCTAACCGATAGATTAATTTTTTTTATAAGGCAAAGAAAAGGTGCGCACATTTTACAAGTTTATTCATGTGACAGCAGTAAGCTATCCAAAATAGAAAAAAAATTGAATTGCATCCTAATCACTGGGATTGGGAGAGAAATGTACATTTGAAAAAATATAGATGTAATAAAAAGTGAAAACATGAAATGAGTAAAATTTTTTTTAGTGTGAATATCTACTAAGGCATAAAAACCTGATTACTGAGTGTTACTGCTTGTTTTTCATCCTTTTTGGCAAGCTATACATGTTCTCCATTAAAAGTTTTTGGAAAATCCTCTTAATTGTAGCACTGATTATGCTTCACCTTACAGAACCTGTGTTGCTGTTCTTCAGCGTGGGTTTTGCAAGATCCCTGGCTATCACTGCAGGGCTGCCCCTGGAGATCCCCACGTGCTGTATCTCGGGTTATACTCTCCCAAAGCTAGTCCCCTATAACCTTACGAGGTACAACCTCAGGGTCTGGTTTCAATTGTCTTTTTTTTTCCTAATAAGTAATTTTTATTTTATGAGGCTCAGAAGTTCAAGACAGAGAGGAATTAGAAGTACACAAAATCATTGACATTCTGCAAAGAGAATTTGCTCTAATAGATGCCTCTGCATTCCAGTACAATTTGTTACAGCATACTGCTAAAGAAAGAACTAGACTAAATGTTTCCACCTACCCATTAATCCAAATAGCATCTTCCTTTGTGAAATATCCATTCTCTCTGCTAGACCATGTGATCCTACCACAGTGATATTAATAGGGCCATTCCTCTTTTGTCACTGGAAACAGTCTTCAGAAATGTGAACCATAGCTAAGTTTCAGTAGAAATGTTATTAGGGACCTAAACATTTGTACATGAAACACTAATATTTTTTTCTTCGCAATTTCACCGAAATCTTTTACATTGCAGATATTGTATAAGCCCAATTGCTTTTAAGACTAAGTAATAGTCTTATTGAAAATAACAATAGTTATGGAAAATATTGAAATAGTCATATTGAAAATAACAATTATTTACTGTCCAAAATTTCCAGGAATAAAGGCTTCTGGTGGATTATAGATTATTCATTCATTTGGTCAGGCAAAGCACATAGTAGGGGGATAATAAACAAAAGCAAACATTCTGGCTTCAAGGAGCTTATGAATTCCTATGACAAAGTAAGTCGTGTATAAATAGAAATAATACAAAGAAGAAAGTTAGTATGAAGAGAAATATATTTGCTTTGAAATAGTGCTAAGGAAATTCAGATTCTGAAAAAATTACCTTTAATAAAGACAATGAGGGAATACTCACTGTTGCAGTGTTTGACTTGACCCTGAAACACAGACTATGGGGGAAGGGCATTCCAGGAAGGGTGAATAGCACTTGAATAAAGGCATGAGATGAAATTGGAAAGTGTGAACATTTTAGAAGAAAAAAGGGAGAAAATATGTTGGCAGGGATGGTTGAAAAAAGAGAATAGAAAAGGAAAAACAAAAAAGTAAATTCACCTTTTTTTTTTTTTTTTGCCAAAGGGTTGTGGATTAGTACTTAGCTGACATTCTGGTTTAACTTTGGTATATAACCCTGAGGTAATCATAACCATTGCCATGGTTATTTACCACAATCATAACCACAATCACAATCATACCCATATTCACTGAATCTTTGTGAAATAACAGATCTGTGGCTCTTAACTCTATCAAACTAGACACCCCATTCACTGTTCTTTGATTAAATTTAGGAATATTAAAACCTGAAAATGACATACCTTTAAAATCAATATAATGCCCTAACTTTATTAAAAATAGAAAATAGTTCATAAAATTATATATAGATATGTAAATATTAAATAAGATTACAACAGAAAACATACTGAGCAAGCTAGATATATGCACTTTTTCAAAATGAACAAATATGGATTAAGATAAATTAATCTGACACTTTCAGTACAAGAACACAGAAGAATCATACAGCAGAGGTACAGAAGACATAAAAATAAAAACCAGCATTGGGATATATAATAACAGGACTTATTTGTGTTCAATAAAAGTGAGCCTACCTCAAATGATATGGGGATAACAACAGATAATTATAGACGATTACCTCTGTCTCTGACACTGAGAAACAGGGGATAGAGGATGGACTGAAACAAACAGAAACATCAAGGGCCATAGAGAGGTTGTGTGGTTGATTCTGGGCACAGGAAAATAGTAAGAGTAACAGGTAACTCCAAAAGAAATAGTTTTAAGATATAATTTTCTAACCTAGATTTATTCTGAGCTATAATTTATAATTACATAGGAGGTCAATAAAATGAAAATTAAATAAAACTTTTAAAATAGATTCAGTAAAATTTCTAAATGATATTTGCCCCTGCTAATTTAAAAATATTTGTTCTAAGTCTGTCAGAAGGAGTCTCAATGTCTTCTGTTACATATTTGCACATGAACTAAGCATTAGAAGGCAGGCCAATAGTAGTGTAGTGTATGGGCAACTCAAAATCCACTAGCAGTGTTGCTCTCCATAATGCGATTTCCTAAAATAATGGTCAATATTTCAGTTGTGTTTTTGAAAAGTATTCAAACCATGAGAAATATTTTGTGGTTATATTTTAAAGATTTTGTGTGTTTATATGTCAAGTGTTTTAAACTCAGCTAATTATAAACCATTCTTTCAATTGCATAAACATCTGTCAAGGTGTTGGAAAGTTGTGTTTATGTGAGACAATTCTTCAACGTGCACAACTGTTCCTTGCATTGCAGGACCCCTAACATTTCTCACTCTGTCCACTAAATGAAAGTAGCAACCACTGTTGTTTTCTCTGCTTTTATGAGTTTGACAGCTATAGGTATCTCAAATACTTCATGATTTCATTCATTTTTATGAGGTATCCATAATCATTAAACTCATGAAGCAGAGAATACAGCAGTGGTTGCCAGATCTGGGGGTTGGGGAAGTGGAGAGTTGTTCAATGGGTATAAAGTTTCAGTTACACTAGCTAAGTAAGTTCTGGAGATCTGCTGTACAACATAGTGCCTACAGTTCACACTGTGGTATTGTGCACTTCAAAAGTTGTTAAGAGGGTAGATCTCATGTTAAGTGTTCTTATCACAAAACGTAAACCAAAAATAAAAACAAAGGAATACAAGGAAAGCTTTTGAGAGCTATGAGATGTATCTACTACCTTGATTGTGTTGATGGTATTATGGGTGTTTGCAGATATCCAAACTCATCAAATTGTATACATAAGACATATGCAGTTCTTAGTATATTAATTATACCTCTGTAAAGCTGCTAAAAATAAATAAATAAGTGTAATTAGCAGTCCCCAGTCACTGTGATGACCCAAAACGGCCCTGCAGATCTACAGAATTCTCCCTAGGACATGGTAAAAACTTCACTGAAAATCACTGTTTATCTTAATTATCAGCTTGTTAGCGTCAGACTCAAAGAATGAGAACTTTTAGCAATGATCTGAAAAATGGCTAAGTGATTTTTAATGCTCAGCGTTCACTGAAGCTACTAGAAGTGAGGCAATCAGGAGGAAAAAAACCACAAAATTTGTAATTCAGAGAAGCAATTATATTCCCATGTAATCGAACACATATTTTAAAAAGAGTTTGCCTCTAATTGCTGTATTCACATGTTTTTAAAGTAATTTTGTGTATCTATTTCATAAGCATCATTCTATGTTGGCATTTTACAAAGGCAATCTTTCACAAAACATTGTATTGTGTAATTCTCAGTTCTGTTTTCTGTAAAATTAAAGGTCTCAATATGAACAACTGCTCTAGTAACTATCACGTATTTGAATCACAGTTGAGAACTACAACAATAACTACATCAGAATAAGCTCAGGAAATAAAACCTTAAAGTGAACAAATTTGGAGGAGGAAGGGAGCATGGTAGGGAAATTGTCAAATCTTGAAAAATGAAGGTAACAGTGAGTAACTCGAGTAATGAAGTCGATCTTGGGAGCCCCTAGAAACCTGTCAGCCAAGCAGATCATTACAGCAGCAAAGGTAACTTTCATCAGCACCCACATCTTGGAACAGTGATTGTTTTAAAGAACCTGTGAACACCTGTTTTATACACTCATATAATGAGAAAAAAATGATTAATTAGCTGAGCGTTTTCCCCAGACATTTACTTCATTAAACTTCATTAAAAATTTCTAATGAATGATATCAATGATCTAAAAGAGAAAGTATGCTATCTTTTTCAAAATGTTTTCCTATTTAGTAAAGTCATACATGTTATTGCAGATTACTTTGGTACTCGGTATTGGTGAAGGTATTTTCTTACATGAGGAAAAACTTTATAGACAGAAAACTTCACCTTAAAGTGTTTCCCATAATGGAAATATCTGCCATAATTATGAACTCCTACAAGGTAGAAACCATTGTTGTCTAACCTACTTTGTGACTGTGCCATCTACTAGAAAAGAAACTGGGTTCAGGACAGCCTGTATTAATTTCTATCATAGCAATTATTTCCCATATTATAATTGCCTGTCTACTTGCCTGTTCATTCCCTCATTCCCAACAACTCTATTAGAAAATAAGCTTCTTTTCTACTAGAGTGAATTAATTATTAAAGTGGCATATTAAAATTTCCCTCTAAATTTTTTGTTATTTTTATAGTTATAATAGTTATCACATAGTGTTTTCGGTCATCGTGTTATCTGATGCATACATGTATCTGCTTATTATACCTTCTTCAAAAATTGTGTCTTTTCTTTTATACAATGGCTCATTTTGTCTGAGCAGTGATTGCATTTTACAATTTTATCTTGTTCAATGTATCTATTTCCCTCTGATTCTTTCTTGTTACATTTTCCTGGTAAGGTCTCTGCCTTTTTAATGTCTTTTTTAGTTTATCACATTAGCGATATTTCTTACAAATAACATATAGTTGGGTTTTGTTTTTTAAACAAAATTGAGCAATTTGGTTCATTCATATTTAAAGTAAGAAGTTATATATTTTCTGCCATATTACTAAAGTTTACTATTTATTTTATTGTTTCCTTCCTTACTTTTACTTGTTTCTCTTGGTATGATCAAACCACTCTTCTTCTCTTGTTTACACTTGATAATTTGGAAATTTAACTTTATTGAACTTTATCCATTACACTGGGGGTTACCATCTCATTTCAAGTACAAATTCTCACTTGTGATATAAAAGCAACTTATTAACTGTTCCAGTTGTGGACACTGCTAGTTACCTAACTGATTCTCCTTTTTTTCTCTATTAATCAGAATGCAGATATTTCAGGAGGCAGGAGGTGTTGCCAACTTGATTGCCCTTGCTTTCTTTTGATTAGAAGTGGCCCATGGACCACTCCCTGGCTAATGATATGGAAGCAGAAATTTATTGGGTACGGCTCTAGGGAAAACAACTCTAGACTCAGCTGGCAATGTATTTTTGCCTTTTGCTCTTCCTCTCCTTTTTGCCTAAAATACAGATATCATGCCTAAAGGGAGTGCAGCCAGGTGATGATGACAAAAGCAACAAGAAAGAGGACTGAGTGGGAATGCAGGAGATTAGGCCCCTCTTAGCACCGTGGAACTGCACTGGATGGCCTGCTTCCAGACTCCTGTTATGTGAGAAACACAAGCCCCTTTTTAGTCAGATTTCTTGTTTTGTGTAGCTGAAGGTAACCCTAATGGAAACACTCCCCACTGACCAAAGCACCTCTAATCCCTGGCAGCCCCTCAAAAGATGAATGAGATGAATGCCCAAATTCCCTACTCTCTCCAAACAATGATTAGAATTCTTTTACTTCTCCTCCTTCTTCCTCATTCTCAACCCAAAGGTTACAGGGAAATATTTTGTGCTTTAATTATAAACTATTAATCTGTATTATTTTAGAGTTCCATTTTATTTCAAAGCCCTTTATTATTTCAAGTCATTCTCTCATTATATAGAGAGATATATATTGCAAAGTTCATTTCTAACCATCATTTTCTTTCTTCCTCACCTTTCCTTACATTATGATTTCTGTTCTGATTCATTTCTTTGGCTAAAGTGGTTTTTTTGTTTTTTGTTTTTTTAAGTATTCTCATTGGAAGAGATGTGTGTGGATACCATCTGTGATTTCTTGCTCATTGGGTCACAGATCTTTTCTCTCACTAGCCTGTGGAGTTATTTAAATGTCATCCAGCTTCAAGGATCACAGATAAAAAATCTGATGTCAGTCTGTTTCATTTTTCTTTTGTAACTGATTCTTTCTGTTTTGAAACTTATGTTGTTAATTTTTTTCTTTATCTTGGACATGTTTTACCAGTCACTCCTGCTCAAAGTTAGTGAGAACTTTCAATTTGCAGAATCAAATCTGTCTTGAAGCTAGAGAATTTTTCTCTAGTATTTAATTATTGCCTCTTTTCTCTTGTTTCTCTCTCTCTTATGGATCTACTATAATTTACATATTTTGATTTCTAGATACTTTTTCCAAATCACTTTTCCCTTCCCTGAGGATTTCTATTGCTTTTTATTTTTTGCTCCATGTTTTGAAAGATTTCTACATTTTGATTTTCCATGACAATAATTTAATTCAACACAGTGCTCATTCTATTACACTGAACTTGAAAAAATTTTAAAAAACAGCTTTTTATTTCCAGGAAGTATATTTTAGTGCAGTGATTAAACGCCCTTAAGTGCTGTTATTATTTTGTTGTTGTTGATGATGTTAAATGTGTGGCCTCTCTCTATCAGCAGTTCTCTATTACTAGAAGCTACCTTTTTCCTAGGAGCTACAAGCGTTGCTTGTTCTGGGACCCTAATGATTGATCCCTTAGGGAACTGGCTTTTACCATCTTTAGCACTCAGGTTGACCTACGTGGGTGCTATGAACATAATTTTAAAAAGGTGGCATGATGTGCTCTTGCGAGTCAGTGATAGATAAGCATGGCTTTCTCCCAGACAAGGCTCTCTCCTCCCCAGTTTCAACTGGTAGAGTCTGGCTGATGGAATAGGAAGTCAGTCTTCTTTTTGGCATATTATGCTCCAGGTCCTGTTCTAAACAATTTATAAAAATCAAAACTTTTAATTATAATAACTCTTTGATCTAGATACTACTATCTTCATTTTACAAAAGAGGAGTTAAGAAACTTGCCCAAGCTTCCATTGTGACAAAGTAATGGAGCCAGAACATACAAATCCCAGCAGAGCAGGCTTTGTTCATAACAATGGTTCTCAAACAATATGAGGGCATGCCACATGTGTGAATACCCAATAGGCATTCCAGGGCCAGGGAAACCAGCAGCTCCTCCAGAGGGACCAAGGTTCTCCAGGGGCCAAAATTTCAGGGCTCAGCTCCTTGCCTGAGGCCTGTTCACCGCCAGTCTTCAAGCTCTGTTGGTCAGAAAAGGAAAACATCCTGCATCCCTTCACTCCTTCAACACCCAGGAAGGGCAGAGGCTTTGCACACACTCACTACATACCCTGCCTCTTTGTCCAGCCATTGTCCAGGGCAAAATGTAGTTGGAAGCTAGGACAGAGTTTGAATAAGCTGGAAGCAGATATAGGCCTTCATTTTATACAAAGCTTTAAAGTAATCTTCTTGAGTGTGGCAACTGTTTTCATCAACTATTGCATTCTCAAAATCCAGAATATTGTAACATAGTAGTAGCTTAATAACTATTTACTGAATGAATTATAACAGGTCTTTGCCATCTGAGAACCATCATCCTAAAGCAATGTGTAAGACCTAGGACTTTGTTCCCAAACTCTAACCTTCAGACCAATCCTCTTCTGAGTTTTTGGAAAGCCATCTCTGAAGTTATTATCATCTTAGAATTGGAAAAAGGAAGCCTCTCTTCATTCTTTTAGTTATGAGTTTACAACAATAAAAAAGACAAGACACTTTCTTACAGAACAAATAAATGAATAAACATGTACATAGACAAGCTCTAGAACATTCTATGTGTGTGTTTATGTGTACGAGAGAAGATGATTAGAAGAAAAAGAAGAGAAAGATGAAGTTGAGGAAGAGATGGAAGCTGGTATAGTACAGCAACCATGCTCCATAGAGAAGAAAATGTTGCTTAGCAACTAGAGGTTTCAGGAAGGAAAATTCTCAATTCCGGTTGGAGAAAAATATGGAAGGTAGGTAAATATGTAGCAAAAGAGAAGGCTTTTCACATGATTGTTGTGATGAATAATTTGCTTTGAGAAATATGCTGCTTCTTTTCCTTTGCATCTATTAAAAATTTGGCTGTATCTCAAAGCATGATTACTAAATGGCCAAAATCAACGGAATGGCCAAACTGGAGTCCAGTTTGTCCATCATAGACAGATATTGTTAGGGACCAAAAATGAATTTTTTTTTGCTACCTCACTGCTGTAACTGTTTTATCTTTTGATTTACCTTGCTAATGCATGAACATATTCTCTCGGTAGAAGATTTTTAAAATACAGAAATATTGAGAGCAAACCCTGAAATGACCCCTGCAGTATGCCTTTCCTGGTTTCCTCTCCCAGATGGTACCACTGTTAAGCATCTGGTGTGCATACTTTTGTCGCTTCCCGTGCAATTACATGTATTTACATATACCTTTACTGACTTTTTAACACAAGGGGATCGTATTCTACTACTTGAACTTACAAAAATATGATTGGAAAATTATTCATGTAATATAGGTTGGTTATATATGCCATATATCATATTCCTTTCGCAACTTTCCCCTAGTGATGGAAATTTTAGTGTTTCCAGTCTTGTACTAATACAATGAAGTTATGAATGGCCTTGAATGGACATCACTGGGCACTCATGAATGTATTGCTTGAGAATATATTGCTAGAGCCAGAATTGTTGGGCCAAGGAAATTTAAGATTTAGAATATATTCTTCCTAATTTCCTTACTTCACCAAAAAAGACTCTTATCTGCTGTATATGAACGTGTTGGTTTCCCTATATCCGTCCCAAATTTGACAATGTATGCCATCTGATAACTGAACAACCAAATACACACACACACAAAAACACACACACACACAAACGATTGCCAGTGAGAATGAATATCTTTTACATGTTTATTGGCCGTTTTGTTTCTCGTTTTGAGAATTACCATCTGGCATCCTTTACTCATTTTAGCATTGAGTTGTTTGCCTTTTCCTAAATTATTTATAGAAGTCTTTATACATTCTGGTTATTAATAACTTGTCTACTAAATGTGTTGCAGTAATTCATCTCTGCCACTTGTATTTTATCTTTTCTCTGTCCCCCTCCCCCATCCCCATTATACAGAAGTTTTTAAGTTTCTTAGGTGAAAATTGTTATTTATACTTTAAGTTTCTGGGTCGAGGTTTCACTTAAGACCTTTGCTATCCCATAGCTTTAAAAAGTATTCTGTATTTTTCTCTAACACATTTCTATTTTTGCTTAATGTTTTGTGTTTTAAACCATCTGAAGTTTAGCAAAAGATGTGAGGCATAAATATTACATTACTTTATTTTTTCCATATTGATAGCTACTATTCCTACTATTTAATGATGACACAATGTTTTCCCACTACTTAAAAAACAAATTAATCGTAAATTAAAGTCTTACATATACACGAATCTTCTTATATACTCTATTCAATTTTATTGACTCATTTTCCAATTTCTAAACTCTTCAAGTTTAATTAGTATAGGCCTAGTAACATGTAATTATATCTAAATAAAAGTCCTCTCTCATTGATAGTCTTTTTCAGATTTTTTGGCTCTTTTGTGGTATCTTCTCTTTCTTATGAAAGAGGAGATTATATAGCTAGGTAAATATATAATTAGATATGTATATATATCTACATAATCCCTTGAGTTTTATATTCTAAGTCCTTATATTTTTCAATGAGATCCATTTTCTCACTGATATTGTTTGCAAAAAGAAGTGTTAGCTTTGCCTCTTTGTTTCCCATAGCAATGCCTCTTTTTTCTTTCTCGTATGTCTTCATTACACTGAGTACGCCATAGCCACAACAGGTACCCCTTTCTTTTCTTGTTTTTAGTGAGAATATTTCTCATATTTTTGCCATCAACTATGGTATTTTCTATAGATTTCATGAAAGCATCCTTTATTAGAAATATCCCTTTGGTCTCTGCTTGCTAATTTTTTGAATCATTAAAGGGTATTGAACATAATCTAATGGATTTTCTCTTTTAGTCTACTATAATGATATATACATTTATTTTCTAATGTTTAACTAGGTGTTCTGAAAAACCCTTGGTTAGACTCTTCCTTGTAAGTATACATTTCAAAATGTTCCTCTCCCTTTCCTACTAACGAACAGAGAGGAACTTTACCATTTAACCAGTGTGAATAAGGAAATGGAACAATAACTGGTTAGAATTACTGCCAATACAGGCTGTACCAGGAGAGGTTAGGCAAAGATCTGTTTATCTCCCACAAAGAGAGAAGGAAAGGAGTCAATATTAGTTCAGACAAATGAAAAAAAGAAAAAGAAACAGAATCTCATAAGCAAAGGCTGAAACCACGGTGACAATTTTTGAATTTTGTGTAATATAATATTGGGTATAGAATAAGTGGTTAGTGCAATAACACTCTATTTTCTAAATTTTTTCATATCCTGAAATTTCTGCCTCTTTATTTATCATATATATGCCCAGAGAAGCAATTGTTCTCTGATTTTTGCAAATGTCTAAGAGACGGAGATAACTTATACTTGAATATGAAGTACAGTGTTCTTTAATTTTCTGCTGGGTTTAGTATGTTAATATTTACTTTAGGATTTTAATATTCATGCACATGAGGAGAAATGTAATTATCTTTCTCTTTTTTGTACATTTTTTGTCCTTTGTTGATGGCAGAGTTTGGCTATTCTCATAGAATAACTACGAAGCTTTTCATATTTTTTTCTGCTCTGGAATACTTTATATATAATATAAAAAGTGTCTGCTGCTTGAAGTGTTATAAAATTCTTCTATGAAATTACTTGGACCTAAGGTCTTTTTAAAGAGTATATTTTAGTTGCCTGCTCATTTCTTTATTCATAATACTTCTAGCCCTACTTTTGTACTTCTTGAATTAGTTATTATATACGTTTCTATGAAGTGATACATTTCACCTAGTTTTCTAAATGTCTGGCATAAAGGTAATAAAAATATTTTCCTATGATTCTTGCTCTAATATAATTTTAAATTTCCTTTGCACTTACAATGTTGTTTATCCACATCTTTTCTAGTTTTCTTTTCATTATAATTGCCAAATGTTGAATTTAATGGTCTTTCCAAAAACAGTTTTGATTTTGTTGATTGGTGGGACAGATCCTGAGGAAGATGCATACTCTCTGATAAGCCAGAGGTCTCTGTAGCATCTTCAATCAAGGGAGGTGCAATAGCCTTTAATAGGGAGGAATGGGCCACTTCTGCAGGTGGTTCAGGGAAACTGGGGGTTTCAAATTTCTTTAGTGTGTCAACCAAGAAGTTCCCATCTCAAGACTCCTTCCAAAAGAGGACCTGACCTGGGTTTAGAAGCACTTCCAAGATTGAGAATTCAGTGTTTTTGCAACTGGCCAGCTTTACAAATAAGTCCTGTACCTGATCCACCACTCTTTCTGCTATCCAGCTGCAGCAGTTGAGAGTTTCTTCAAAAGCTGCCAAGGAAGCCCACCAGCTTTCTCACTTTGCCTGTAGTTCATGATAATCACCCTCAGCCTTTTGTTTTCTTTCTCTAGTGCCTTGGTTGCATGCAGCAAAATGCATCTGATTCCATTGTCTATAATTATTACTTTCCCCAAATTTTTCAAACTTTTGAGATATTGCACCCATCAGTGCCTTTCCTTCACTATTATACCCTCTGAGTTCTCCACTAGTGAAATTTTAACAATTATACTGTGCACTAGCTGGTCTGTTAAGGTGGCCTCAGTTTTACCCTACCTTCCGTATACATGCTCCATGTCCTGCTTCCTCTCTCTTTGAATGTGGTCTATGCTTGTGATTACATTGATAATAGAATATGGTGTAAGTGATACTGTACCATGCAAAATGTTAGCCTAATCCTTAAACGATCTTGTATTTTCTAGTTCCTCTCTCTCAGAAAGCGCATTCTTGGGATGTTCCTCTTGGAACCCAGCTGCCATATTGTGAAGAGTCCACTTATAGGCACACTGGTCACCAGTTACAGGTGATCTCAAAGCTGAAGCTAGCCTCAGCTTCCAAACAAGTGAATGAGCCCAATCAAGCTTCCAAATGACTACAACCTCATCCAGCATCATTGAAGCTGGAGAACTGTCCTGCTAAGCCTAATTAACCCACAGAATCATGAGAGACAATAAAATAGTTATTTTAAGCCACTCAGCTTTGCATATATTTGTTAAGCAACAAAATGTAATCAGAATATGTTGCCACAGTATTCTAGGATCTTCCACACTTCATTTGCTACCAATGATGAAATCTTAACTGTTAGCCACCTGGTGGGTGATCTGGCTCCAAAATTCCACACTTAAAGTTCCGCTTTCTTGTTCCACTTGGCACCAACTCTCTGAAATCAGGTCCCCTGAGAAACATTAGTTAAGATAGAGAAGACAGGCATATGCATATGAAAAGGTGTTGAGGAATAATCAGAAACAGTACCTGTGAGGGCGTACAGGAAAGACTGGGCAGAAGGAAAGGTTGAACTGCAATCCTAGAGGTCCCAGCCAGTCTCACAGAGAGCTCTGGAGATGGGAAGGACCTTAGGAGTTGTCCTGAATTGAAGCAAGGAGTCTGGGATCAGTTATTGAATGTAGGTTGCCCCCAGAAAGGAGGCTAACTTTGAATGAAATATCCATGACAGTGTACTATAGCATCCCATATACTGCCATTTTAACTATTTCGTGATTTTTTTCCCCTCTACCTTTTGTCTATCAAACTTTGTCCTATTTCCTCTTCCTCCACCTTGTTGTTGGAAAGCTATACACTTTCTACTCTTCTCATTTTTATTCTTATATTTTTGAGATGTATACTTAACCCTATAACTTTCTGTCAATGTCCATGTTTAATCAGAATATCTCTAGCTACAAGGGACAGGATTTGTAGCCTACTTTTATTTGTTTTCTGTTTTGGACTTTTCTTCTCTACCACTTTTCACAATTCTAGACTGATACTTCTGCTTTATTATGTTACGTGCTAATAATTTTTAAACTTTATTTTTTCTATTTTAATAGTTTAATTTTGTTTACCCTGAACACTACAGATTTAATTTTTTTCTTGTCTAGCTATTACTAACATACAGAAATGCAATTTTTATACTGAATTTTTCATACTGACTTTGCATTTAGTAACTATAAACTCATTAATTTTTGGAATTCATTTTAGATTCTTTTTGTATTTTCAACATAAGCAATTACATTTTCTGTGAATAATGACAGATGTTTTCTTTTCAATACTATTCCTTTTAGGTTTTTGTTTTTGTTTTTGTTTCGTATCTTGCCTTATTACATTGGATAAGGCTTCCTGTACAATATTGAGTAAAAGTGAAAGTAGTGACAGAGAGTAAGTTTGTATAGTTTCTGATTTCAGAGGGAAGTTTTTCAGCATCTCTCCATTAAATGTGAATTTTTTTGCAGACTCTATTCTGGTTTTTAAAGTGGCTTTTGTGTTTTCAATCATTAATGGACTTGACATTTATCATTTTTTTCTGCCTCTATTGAGAAGATCATATAATTTGTTCTTCCTCTTTTTGCTAATGTAGGTAAAATACATGATTGATTTTGAAACATTAAGTTAATCTTGAATTCTTAGGATAAACCCAATTGAGTCATAATATAGTATAATTTATATATTTTGCTTAATTAAAAAATTTTAGCTTATAAATAATATTTGCCTGAAAATTTTCTTCCTTGTAACCTACTTGTTTTTTTTTTTTTTTTTGAGATGGAGTCTTGCTCTTTCGCTCAGGCTGGAGTACAGTGGTGCGATCTCGGCTCACTGCAACCTCTGCCTCCCGGGTTCAAGTGATTCTACTGTCTCAGCCTCCCTAGTAGCTGGCATTACAGGTGCACACCACCATGTCCAGCTAATTTTTCTATTTTAGTAGAGACAGGGTTTCACCATTTTGGCCAGGCTGGTCTTGAACTCCTCACTTCAGGTGATCCGCCCTCCTTGGCGTACCAAAGTGCTAGGATTACAGGCGCCCTGCCGTAACCTATTTGTTGTAAACCAGCTTATTCTGACTTCTAAGGACAAGTTAAGAATTGTTCTCTTTTTTAAATCTCTCGAAGTTTGTATAAGACTGGTGTTCTTTCTTAAAATGTAGAATTTTCAGGTGAAGCCATCTGGGTCTGGAGCTTCTCTCTCTCTTTCTCTCTCTCTCTCTCTGTGTGTGTGTTGGTTTTCAATTAGAGATTCCACTTCTTTAGTAGGTATAGAGCTATCCAAGGTTTGTGGTGTTTAATTTTTTTGCATCAGTTTTGGTGAATGGTGTTTTTCTAAGAAAGATTTCATTCAAAATTTTATAATATTCTTTTATTACTTTTAGAATTTATCAAACTTGTTGTGATTTCCCCTGCTTTAATCCTGATCATGGTTACTTGTATCTCTTTCTCTATTAATCTATTTGGGAGTTCATCAATTTATTGGTCCTTTTAAGGAACAGACTTTGGACTGAGTATTTCTATGGTATATTTGTTTTTTATTTCATTAATTTGCCTTCTTGTGTTTTTAGTTTATTTCCCCCTATTGAATATGTTTTCTCTTTTTTTAAATTTATCATTTTTATATTTGTGTGGTATTGTTTTTTTCTCCAACTACATTCAAATTTTCTCTTTGTCTTTTGATTCCAGTAGATTGATTATAATATGCCTAGATGATATGTGTGTAGACAAACATATCTCACACACACACACACACACACATTTGATGTTTATCCTCCTTGCAGTTCTCTAAGTTTCTTGAATCCGTGGTTTGGTGTATGTTACTGATTTTGAAAAATTCATAGCCATTATTCAAATTTTTTTGTCGTATCCTTTCTTTCTTTGTTTTTTAAATTTTAAGTTCAGTGGTACATCTGTAGGTTGGTTACATAGGTAAACTTGAGTCATGGGGGTTTGTTGTATAGATTATTTCATCACCCAGGTATTAAGCCTAGTACCCATTATTGGTTTTTCCTGATAGTCTCCTTTCTCCCAACCTCTAGCCTCAAGTAGGCCCCAGTGTGTGTTGATTCTCTCCATGTGTCCATGAGTTCTCATCATTTAGCTCCCACTTATAAGTGAGAATATATGGTATTTGATTTTCTGTTCCTGTGTTAGTTTGATAAGAATAATGGCCTCCAGTTCCTTCCTTACATCATATACAAAAATTAAGTCAAGATGAATTAAAGACTTAAATGTAAAACTCAAAACTATAAAAACCTTGGAAGACAACCTAGGCACGTGCAAAGATTTCATGATGAAGACACCAAACACAATTGCAACAAAAGCAGCAATTGACAAATGGTATCTAATTAAAGAGCTGCTGCACAGCAAAATAAACTATCAACAGAGTAAACAGACAATCTACAGAATGGGAGAAAATTTCCGTCCTATTCTTTTTCTGGAATTCCACGTAGGCATATGTGAGACTGCATGGAATTTTTAAGATTGTTCCATTGGTCTTGGGTGCTCTGTGTTTCTATCTGGGTGTTTTCAATTGACCTATCTTTAAGTTCAATGAATCTTTCCCAGGCTGTGCCACATTTGCTGATGAGTGTGTTGAAGGCACTCTTCATTTATGTTACTGTAGGGGGTTTTGTTCCTTGAAATTTCATTTGATTCTTTTAGTTCTCATCTCCTTGTTGAAATTTTCCACTTATCTCATGTCTTCACTTTTTCCATTACCGTTGTTAACATCATAGTCATAGTTATTTTTAAATTGCTGTCAGATAATTCTAACATCTCTGTCACATCTGAGTCCAGTTCAGTTGATCGCTTTGTTTCTTACCAGTATGTTGTTTATTTCTTGCCATTTTGTTTGCTTATAATTTTGCGTTTAATGTGTGCATCGTGTGTTGGAAAGTGGAAATAGTAGTTTTCATGCCTGTAAGTAAGCATGCCTTCCCTTATGCTAGGCATTTTTTGTGGAGGTTTGGGTTAATCTACTGAGGATATTGTTTGGATTTGCAGTTTATTCATGCTATGCTTATTCTTGGTGTACCACATGCTTCAGATTTCTCTAACCACATCTTTAGTTTTGGGTGGGGCCTGGTTTTCCTGAGCAGGTTCCTCTATCTGGTCCACACTCAGCTTTAGTTCTCTTATTTGCATTATGCTGTTGAGAGGGTCTGTCTCCCCGTTCTTACAACTTCCTAGCAGCACCCCACTGTTACTTTTTATCTGATGCGTGTTAGCTTGGTACTAGGGAGCAGAGGGGACAGTCTCTGTTGTTTTGATTAAACTTCAGTCTTAGGGGGCCCTATATACATGGGTCTTGGGAATGTGACCTTCTCAGAACTCTTGCCTTTTCACCATCTGTAGTTCTGTGCTCAGCACATATGCCTGCCTCTCCCTCCAGGAAAAGGGGATTTTTCCCTGTTCCCTTCCCCCAGCTGCACTGCCTTTGTCCCAGTGCCTAAAGGTGACAATGCTTGTTGCCAAAACCACTTGTATATGAAGGCTTCTATTTATCAGGGGAGATAAGAGAGAAGTTCTTGGCTGGTTTTGTACCCCCTCACAGTAGCTACCATTCTCCTCCAGGTCTGCACCATGAAGCATGCTTTCTCAGGACTCTCACCCATCCTTTTTTTGTATGCCCAGTAGAGTCCGTCCAGAAAAGACTGCAAGAAGATGTGAACTCCCCCTATGTGTGGGAGTATGTGGCTCCCAGGGGCTCTGCATTCTCCTGTGAACGCACACTCAACACTCCCTGATATGGTTAGTCTTTGTGTCCCCACCCAAATCTCATCTTGAATTATAGTCTTCATATCAAGGGAGAGACAAGGTGGAGGTAATTGATTCATGAGGGGCAGTTCTCCCATGCTGTTCGTGTGATAGTGAGTGAGTTCTCACAAGATCTGATGATTTTTAAAGGGGCTCTGCCACCTTCACTCAGCACTTCTCCTTCCTTCTGCCTTGTGAAGAAGGTGCCTTGCTTCCTCTTTGCCTTCCACCCTGATTGTAAGTTTCCTGAGGCCTCCCCAGCCACGCGCAACTGTGAGTCAATTAAACCTCCTTCCTTTATAAATTACCCAGTCTCAGGCAGTTATTTATAGCAATATGAAAACAAACTGATACACCTCCCCAATTTATTAACTCTTCTAACCAAATTCTAACTGGTCTCTGGCTGTGTTTGTTCCTGGTTAGCAAGTGCCATCTTTCCTCACAGACATCTTTTTCTCCTTAGATTTTAGACTAGTTGGTTTTCCTGTGACTTCACTTCTCTGAAGTTTTCAAGAAAATCTTGACCTTGCATTTTTTGTTGT
Organism: Homo sapiens; assembly: GCF_000001405.40. NCBI lineage: Eukaryota > Metazoa > Chordata > Mammalia > Primates > Hominidae > Homo > Homo sapiens. Next base: position 111,215,466 of record NC_000005.10, read on the forward strand.
TTTTGTAAGGGTGGAAAATATTGTTCTTTCCAATTCTCTATATCTTGAGGAGACACTAGAAGTCTTTTAATCATATTTTTAGTTTTCTTCTTATTGATTTCTAAGGGTTTGTATATTCTGGATGCATATTATTTGTCAAATATTTGTATTGAAAGAACTTACTCTCAGCTCGTGGCTTCTGTTTTTACTTTTTTGATTGTGTCTCTTGCTGTACAGAAGTTTCTAAACTTGACAAACGCAATTTTAAAATCTTTTTCTTTTATATTTAGAGCTCATTGTGTCTTGTCTAAGATATTTTTATATACTGTAATTTCCTGGAGATATTCTTTAATGTCTTTTTTAGAAATGCTATGATAGTTTTAGCTTCTGTATAAAAAGTTTATTTTAAATTAAGTTAATCTTTGTGGTATAAGAAAAAGATTGTAGTTCATTTGTTACTATGTGTTTATTTAATTATTTCAGTACCACTTACTGTAAAAACTTACCTTTGCCTATTTAATTGCTTTGATACTTTTTTCAAAATTTAATCGACCACATGTATATGATTCTATTTCTGTACTCTATTCTTTACCATTGACCCCTTTTTTTCTTGTTATACTAATATCACAATGTCTTTATTTCTGTCTGTTTATAGTAAGTTTTAAGGTCAGATAGAGTTCTCCAACTTTGTTCTTCTCAGGACTGTTTTGGTATCCCAGATGTTTTGTATTTCTTTACACATGTTAGCATACATTTTTCATTTTCTACAAACAAAGCCTATTAAGATTAGTCTGCATACCAGTTAGGGAGAGAATTGTTATGTTAATAATACTGAGTCTTCCAGTCAATGAGCATGATATATCTCTCCACTTAGATTTTTTTCAACTTTTATTTTGCATTCAGAGGGTACACGTGCAGGTTTGTTACATGGGTATACTGCGTGATGCTGAGGTTTGAGGCATGGTTGACACCATCATGCAGGTAGTGAGCATAGTACCCAATAGGTAGTTTTTCATCCCATCCACCTCTTCCTCCCTCCCTCTTCTAGTAGTTTCCAGTGTCTGTTGTTCCCACCTTTATGTCCATGTTTACTCAGTGTTTAGCTCCCACTTATAAGTGAGAACACGTGATATTTGGTTTTCTGCTTCTGTGTTAATTCACTTAGGATAATGGCCTCCAACTACATCCATGTTGCTGCAAAGGACGTGATTTTATTATTTTTTATGGCTGTGTAGTATTCCAAGGTGTATATGTACCACATTTTCTTTATCCAGTTCACCATTGATGAGTACCTAGGTTGATTCTGCCTTTGCTATCATGAATAGTGCTGCAATTAACATACAAGTGTAAGTGTCTTTTTGGCAGAACGATTTATTTTTCTTTGAGTATATACCCAGTAATGGGATTGCTGGGCCAAATGGTAGTTCTAAGTTCTTTGAGAAATCTCCAAACTGCTTTCTACAGTGGCTGAACTAATTTGCATTTCCACTAACAATGTATAAGTGTTCCCTTTTCTCTGCGGCTTCACCAGCATCTGTTATTTTTTGACTTTTTAGTAATTGTCATTCTGACTGGTATGAGATTATTTCTCTTTGTAGTTTTGATTTGCAAAAATTTCACTTAGCAATATCTGGTAATTTTAACTGTAGATGATTTGGACATCTTCTGTTGAATTGATTCCTAAGTATTTTATGCTTTTTATTCTATTGTAAATGAAATGGTATTAGTGAATTTTCCTATCATTTCCTATTAGTATTTGTTTTATATTGTGATTGTTTTATATTGACCTTGTATATTGTGACCTTGACAAATTCACTGATCAATTGTAGTAGTCTAAACCAACTTTTAGAATTTTCTATATAATAGTCAAGTCATCGGTACATGACAACAATTTAACTTCTTTCTTTCCAATATTAATAACTTCTAATTTTACCTAAGTTAGAGCACTGGCTGTGCCTTTAATTTTAATTGTTTTTATTAAGATGTAACTTAGGTACAATAAAATTTATCAATTTAAAAAGTATAATTCAGAGTTTTGACAAATGAATAAAATCCTGTAATCACCACCATAACCATGATATAAAACCTTTCCATCACTCCCCAAATCCCTTAGAGTCTTTTGCATTTGATTCCCTCCCACTTTAGCCCTGGAGAACTACTGATCTGCATTCTGTCACTTCAGTTTTGCCTTTCCTTGAATATCATATAGAGGGAATTATTTGTAGTATTTTGTGTTATATATATAACCCTCCTTGGGTTATTTATTTTGTTCAGTGAAAAATCCACCAATAGTTGTATGGCTAGGGGCAAAATAGACATAAACCTATTTCTCAACATTCTGGGAGCGTGTGCCCTCAGGGGTCTCGCTACTTATCGTGCAGAGTTTCACTTAATCTCTCTTTTCAATATGGCCTCAGCTGTATCTTCTGACCTAAAACATATTTCGTTCCTTGTTCAACATTTACAAAATTAAATATATTATCTTCTTCTAGGCTTTGGTAGGAGTGTTTTTTGGCTGTGAATTGTTAGAAGAGGTAATCCAGGAAGCCTAAAAGCTTTAATTTAAAAAAAGAATTTGTTATGAATACATAATATTTGCACTTATTTATGGGATACATGTGATATTTTTATACAAACATACAGTGTGCAGTGATCAAATCAGGGTAACTGGAATATCCATCCCTTCAAGCATTTATCACTTCCTTGTTGTTAGAAACATTCCAATTCCACTCTTAGTTATATTGAAATATGTAATAAGTTACTGTTAACTATAGTTGCCCTATTATGCTACTGAACATTAGATCTTATTCCCTGTATCTAACTGTATTTTTGTGCTCATTAACTATCCCCTATTTATCCCCTCCTTGCTATTACCCTTCCCGTCCTCTGATAGCCATCATTCTACTCTCTATCTCTAAGAGTTCAATATTTTTCTTAGCTTCCACATATGAGTGAGAACATGCAATATTTGTCTTTCTGTGCCTGGCTTATTTCACTTAATGTCCTCCAGTTTCATCTGTGTTGTTGCAAATGACAAGATTTCATTCTTTTTATGGCTGAATAATATTTCCTTGTGTATACATACTACATTTTCTTTATCCATTCATCCACTGATGGATACTCAGGTTGATTCTTTATCATGGCTGCTATAAATATGAGAGTGCAGATGTATCTTTGATATACTGATTTCCTTTCTTTTGGATATATACTTAGCAGTGGGATTGTGGACCACATGTTAGTTCTATTTTTAATTTATTTATTGTTTTGAGGAACCTCCATTCTGTTCTTCACAGTGACTGTACTAATTTATATTCCCACCAACAGTGTACGAGGGTTCCCTTTTCTCCACATTCTCACCAACATTCATTATTGCCTGTCTTTCTGATAAAAGTCATTTATTAGAAAGATTGTATCTCATTAGAAGCTTTGGGTCACTGAGCCTGTTTAATGGTAGGTTTCACTCTAAGGTGATTTTCTGATAAAAGTCATTTATCAGAAAGACAGGGGTGAGATATTTCCTTGTTTTGATTTGCATTTCTTTGATGAATAGAAATTTCTTTATATAGTTGTTGGCTATTTGTATGTTTCTTTTGAGAAATGTCTGTTGAGATCTTTTGCCCATTTTTCAATCTGATTTTTTTTCCTGTAGAGTTGTTTGAGTTTCTTATATATTCTGGTTATTAAACCCTTGTCAGATGGATAGTTCGCAAATATTTTCTCCCATTCTGTGGGTTGTCTCTTCAGTTTTTTTGATTGTTTCCTTTGCTGTGTGCAGAAACTTTAGCTCGATGTGATTCAATTTGTCCATTTTGCTTTGGTTGCCTGTTCTTTTGAGACCTTACTCAAGAAATCTTTCCCAGACCTATGAAATGGAGTGTTTCCCCAATATTCTCTTCTAGTAGTTTCATAGTTTCAGGTATTAGATTGAAGTATTTAATCCACTTTGACTTGATTTTTGTATCGTGAGAGAGAGGGTCTAGATTCAGTCTTCTGCAAATGGACATCCAGTTTTCCAAGCACTATTTATTGAAGAGACTGTCCTTTCCCTAATGTATGTTCTGGGTGCCTTTCTCAAAAATGATTTGACTGTAAATGCATGAATTTATTTCTCGGTGCTTTCTTCTGTCCTACTGGCCTATATATTCGTTTTGATGCCAGTATCATGCTCTTTTGGTTACTTTACCTTTGTATTATAATTTGAAACCAGGTAATATGACACCTCCAGCTTCCCCCTGCCCTGGCCTCCCCTCAGGATTGCTTTGTCTATTTGGCTTCTTTTGTGGTTTTACATAAATTTTAGCATTATTTTTCCTATTTCTGTGAAGAATGTCATTGGCATTTTGATAGACATTGCATTGAATGTGTAGATTGCTTCGGGTGGTGTGGGCATTTTAAAAATATTGTTTCTTCCAATCCATAAACATAAAATATCTTTGCATTTTTTTGTGTCCTCTTCCATTTCTTTCATGAATGTTTTACGGTTTTCATTGTAGACATCTTTCACTTCTTTGGTTAAGTTTATCCGTAGATATTTTGTTTTATTTGTAGCTATTGTAAATGGGATTACTTTTTCATTTTCTATTTCAGAAATGCTACTGTTTTCATATGTTGATTTTGTATCCTGCAACTTTACTGGACTGATCAATTCTAATAGTTTTTTTTTTTTTTTTTTTTTTGGTGGAGTCTTTAGGCTTTTTTAAATATAAGATCACATCATCTGCAAGCAAGGACAATTTGACTTCTTCCTTTCTAATTTGGATGAAGGGGCCTAATAACTTTTTATAAAATTTTTTAACCAATGTTTTGTTCTCTGTTCTATGCCTCACCTTGAGAACTATCTGGTACTCTAACTTCTGAACATGTCTTGATTTTATAGTAGGGATTAGATTTCTTCTTATTGGCTTTTCCCATTGCAAATCTAGGTTTCTGATTTATTAACTCCTCTGTTACTGTTTGTTTACGTGTTCAAGATTCAGTTGACATCACTTCTCTCTTTCTTTTTGTGGGATGATAACCCTGTTCCTTTTCTGGTCATTTCAGTTGAGTTTTGATAAGAAGTAATGGTACATTTTGTATATTTAATTCCTGTTTCATCTATTTTAATATTTATTAATTTTTATCTATGTCTCAAATGAAAGTAAGCTGCATGGATTATACAAAATATCCTGTTTTTAAACTTCAATTAATAGCATTTTTACAAAAGTCAATTATGAAAAGCATAGATGTCAAATGACTAAAATTATGCTGAATATAAAATGAATTCTATAATCACCTCTGTACCATGAAATGGCTTTCTTGCACCATTGTTACCTAAAGTAGCAGGAGAAAAAAGGCTTACCATCTCCTTTAATGTAACATGCTTGCTTTGGGCTTATGTTGTAAAAGAATTGCTAAGAACAGACAAGCATTTACATGCAGTGCTGCTGCTGCTGGACTTGCCTCAAAGAAGTGAGAATAAAAATGGCCTAGCAACTATTTCATGCCCATTTGTCCACTGGTCAGTGCAAGCCAAGGGAAACTTACTGAGTCAAAGCTAGAATTTAGAGAGCTTTATTATCTTGCTTTGCTTGTGAACTTGATTTTTCAACACGATTAGTGAATCTATTCTCTGAAAAGTAACATCACGTGGGCATTTTCAGTCTTTCACCAAACAAGCTAGTATGTAAGTGAATTTGTATGAATTTGCATATACTTGTTATTTGTTAGAGCATTTGTACATTGAGTTTGTGCTCATCATTATAAAATTATCATGAGGAATAGTTTTTGTACAGTCATGTGTCACACAACATTTTGGTCAACAATGGGCTGCATGTGTAACGGTGGTCCCACAAGACTAATAGAGTTGAAAAATTTCTGTCACCTAGTGACATCATAGCCTAATCTTACAGTGTAATACATTACTCATGTGTTTATGGTGATGCCACTGTAAACAAACCTACTGTGCTGCCAGTCATATAAAAGTATAGTGTATACAATTATGTATAGTACATTATACTTTATAATGGTAATAAATGACTATGTTACTAGTTTATACTATGTTACCAGTAAATACTAGTATAGTATTTACTACACTATACATTTTATTGTTATTTTAGAGTTTTCTCCTCTAGCTATAAAAAAAGTTAACTGTAAAACAGCTTCAGGCAGGTCCTTCGGGAGGTATTCCAGAATAAGGCATTGTCATCATAGAAGATGACAGCTCCATGCATGTCATTGCCCCTAAAGCCCTTCCAGCTTTCAGTGGGACAAGATGTGGAGGCGGAAGACATGATATCGATGCCTGTCTCTGTGTAGGCCTAGGCTAGTGTGTGTGTATGTTTTAGTTTTTAACAAAGTTCAAAAAGTTAAAAAAGTTGTTTTAAAAAGAAGAAAGCTTATAGAATAAGGATACATAGAAAACATTTTTGTGCAGCTTTACAATATATTTTGTATAAAATACCTTGTATTTGTGTTTCAGCTAAGCATTACTATAAAGGAGTCAAAAAGTTTTAAAACATTAAAAAGTTTATAAAGTAAAAGTTACAGTAAACTAAGGTTAATTTACCATTGAAGAAAGAAACTATTCTAAATAAATTTAGTGTAGCCTAAGCATACAGTATGTATAAAGTCTAAGTAGTGTAATGTCCTAGGCCTTCATATCCACTCACCACTTACTCACTCACACGGAGCAACTTTTAGTCCTGCAAGCTGCATTCATGGTAAGTGCCCTATACAGGTGTACCATTTTTTACCTTTTATACCATATTTTTATTGTACCTTTCCTATGTTTAGATATGTTTAAATACACAAATACTTATTGTTGTGTTACAGTTGCCTACAGCAGAGTTCCCAACCCCCAGGCCATGGGCTGGTCTGTGGCCTGTTAGGAACTGGGCCACACAGCAGGAGGTGAGCTGCAGGCAAGCAAGCAAAGCTTCATCTATATTTACAGGGGCTCTCCATCTCCCACATTACTGCCTGAACTCTGCCTCCTGTCAGATCAGTGGTAGCATTAGATTCCCGTAAGAGCATGAACCCTATTGTGAACTGCACATGCAAGGGATCTAGGTTGTGCACTCCTTATAAGAATCTACTGCCTGATGATCTATCACTGTCTCCCATCACCCCCAGATAGGACCGTCTAGTTGTAGGAAAACAAGCTCAGGTCTTCCACTGATTCTATATTACGGTGAGTTGTATAATTATTTCACTATGTATTGCAATGTAATAATAATAGAATTAAAGTGCACAATAAATGTAATGCACTTGAATCATCCCAGAACCATCTTCCCCACCCCCTGTCTGTGGAAAAAATTATCTTCCAAGAAACTGGTCCCTGGTGCCGAAAAGGTTGGGGACCGCTGGCCTGTAGTATTCAGTATAGTAAAATGCTGTACAGGTTTGAAGCCTAGGAGCAATTGACTATTCCATCCAGCATAGCTGTGTAGTAAGCTATACTATCTGGTTGTGTACAAGTACACCCTATGATGTTCTTACAACTGCATCGCCTAAGGATGCATCTCTTCAACTTCTCACCGTGGTTGAGGGATGCATGACTATATATATTTTCAATTTCCAATCAGCTAGGAATCACATTCCTGTAACTACTTGATTGGATATTTTTGGTTGTTTGTTCACCAGTATAGCAGGCAGGCTTTTAAGAATAATAAATCCATAAATTAGATTAAAATATTGGACCATATTAATGGTTGGTGCTATCAGGAATGGAGACTTACTAGGAAGAGTTTAGCGCATGTTGGAGGAAACTCAGGAAAAAAAAAAGGCCAAAAGTAACACCTGTGAAGTAAGGTGAAAGCGCCTGGAGCTATTTAGCCAGAAATGAGTTGTGGTATAATAACTGTCATAGATATGTATCAGAACATGACTAATTGTTGTTCGTCTTTGCTGAAATCTGAAAAGAAAAAAGTTCAAGGGTAGTTTAAGTGATGTATGTTTAATACTGAGAAGAAGAGCCATGACAGCTGATGGACAGGACATAAGAATGCTTATCATGGGATACATCTCTTGGGAAGAGAAAAAGGGCTTTTACATGTAGCAGTCTTCCCTGTCATGAATGAGGACAGGTCCTGCCTTAAGGCAGAGGGTTTACTAGTTGGCTTCCACAAGGCCCTTCTAGAACTGTAATTCTGAGCCACTTCAGATGCTGAGATTGAACTCGACACAGCCAAGTATCTCCTCTTTTAGGAGCTCCAGCAGTGCCGAGGAGGCAGTGCCACCAGCAGCGACGACAGCATTTATTCCAACTGAAGACTTCACTCAAAGGTGAGTCAGGTCAGTGTGGACCTGGGCGCTTCCTTTTCCTCCAGCTCTCACTGGGTCCAGGCACAGGAGCCCTGAGGGATCGGCGACCACAGTACTCCCTCCCCGGCCACCAATATAAGCTTTGACAGAGGATGGCTGGTTAGCTGGTGTTAGGTGGGAGGGACTCGCCACGGAGACGCGCTCAAGGAGGGATGAGTTGCGCCACCACCACCTAGGTCCCTCTCTCGCTATCCGGCGGGGCCGCCCGGACCCAGGTGCTGCCAGGGTACGCCTGGCGCCCGCCATCCCAGAGCAGCGTCCCGCTGCGCACGGTCTCCCTCCAGCTCCGGTCCCCGCGGGAGGGCGCGTGGGATGATGCGCGGGTCCTTGTGCCTTCCCCAAGCTCCAGCATCCGGAGCCGCCCTAGCCGGCACCGCGGCAGCCACAGCCTGGGAGAGAGAAAGGAAAGAGGGAGGGCGGCGGGAAAGGCTCGGCGCGGGAGGAGGGCGGGTGAGGAGGGAAGGAGCGAGGGGGAGGGAGCCTCTCTCCTCAGCGGTGCAGCTAGTCTCCCTCCAGCGGGCGGCGACTCCGGGTTCCCCCTCGCGCCCTCTCGCAGAGGCTCGCCCCCTTCCCCGCCCACCGTCCCTGCGAGCGCGGGCGGCGGCGGTGGGCGTGTGCGCGCGTGAAGGACGCCGCCTCTCTCTCGCTCCTGCGTTCGCAGGCGGCGGCTGGCGGCCGGCTTCTCGCTCGGGCAGCGGCGGCGGCGGCGGCGGCGGCTTCCGGAGTCCCGCTGCGAAGATGCTCAAAGTCACGGTGCCCTCCTGCTCCGCCTCGTCCTGCTCTTCGGTCACCGCCAGTGCGGCCCCGGGGACCGCGAGCCTCGTCCCGGATTACTGGATCGACGGCTCCAACAGGGATGCGCTGAGCGATTTCTTCGAGGTGGAGTCGGAGCTGGGACGGTAAGGCGCGGGCTCCGGCTGGGGAAGCCCGCGGCGTGCACTGGGGGTTGTCCCTCTCGCAGCGACGGCTCGGAGGGTGCGGGAGCCTGCCTTCGTGCCCTTCGATTTCTCCCTACCTAGTTAGTGTCTTGAGAGAGAGCTAACCTTCATTCAGGTGCGGCTCGAGTCCTTCCCACCCCACCAGAGCGCCTAGGCCGGTGCAGCTGTAGGATCAGCCCGACTCCCTCCCACCTTCCCTCCTTCTCGCAGGCTGCCACTTCCCTTGGGTGACAGCTCCCACCGCACGTGGGCCCTGCTTTCCCAATTGATATCTTTGCTCACGATTATAGCTTGCCAGAGGGTCCTGTTTGTCTAGTTATTGTTTAGGGTGGGGGCCGGAGGGTGCCCCTCCAAATCAAGACAGAATTATTAAGTTAGATTCCTCCTCCTTCCCCTCGTCAAGCTCTCCAAAGCAAGTGACACGAGAAATTAAACTTAAATACTAGCTTCCCTGCAGAGTCTGCTCAGGAGTGAAGGGAGAAATGAATCATTTAAGAGAGTTGAAGGCAGAATAATGAACTAGTGTGGCTTTAAAGAGAAAGCAGCATATGGGATCCAGGCAGTGGTAATTAGTGAGAATGCTGCTGCTTCCCTTCTTTCATGGGCTGGAGTGATTTATTTAAATTATATATGCAACAGACCATCTCCCTAGGATTGCAGATATGTCCCCTATCCCTCCTCTGAAGATCCAAACAGGTAGCAGTTTGGCCTTCTGCATGATTCCATATGCTTTCGTATTTGTATCCATTGAAAATTATAGTTTTCTTTCCCTTACTTCCTTTTTTTTTGTCTTTTCTCTCTGTTATCCATAGGTAAGGAGATTTATTTTCAACACTTATTTTAGATCCAGGCTCTTTAGTATAGGGAATCTGAAGATGTAATTTCAACGGTTGACAAGTTGCAGCTTCTGTACTTACTACTCCTTTGCAATTTCATTTTTCATTCTCTTTTTGCTGGAAATAGTATTGCTAACAGCCTTTTTATTTTTTCAAGTCATTGGAGGATCCAGAGCAGGATTCTGGATGTTGGTATTTAGTGGGAAGATGTAATGATCACTGCCCACTCTCCCCCCACTTTGCTAGTACTATTGAAGGCTCATTGAATATAGATGTGTAAAATAGGCAAACTTCTGAATGAAAATTCAGTGATTTGTCACTGTTAAAAATGTTTTGAAGTATTTGAGCACTGAATAATGTATACATAAACATCCATTTTTGATCAAGTTTTTCAGTATTCATCTGAAGATCTATTATATATATAGGTGGAAATGAAAGGACAATGATGTCGATTTTTGTAAGGTCCAAAACATGCCTGTTATTAATTGTATGATGCGTGACAGTGGAACCATGTAAACCTCTGAGTAAAGGGATGATCTACTTAAAATTGTTTACTGGGTGTTTTATAAACTACTGTGTAGTAGAGGAAGTGCCTGATGCTGCTGCAGGGACTGTCCCAGTAGCACATCTGTTTTCAGAGTAACATTAACCCTAGATGCCTCAAATAGGCTGACTTATCCACACACGTTGTCTTTATGAATAAGCTTCATCGTCATGAAACTCAAGAAATTCACTTTAATTTGAAAAATGGGAAAAAAATAAACTGCCAATTGTATACCCCTATGAGATGGTAGCCTGCATAGGAAAAAACTGAGAAATTTGAAGTTTGGGTTTTTTATTTTTCAGTTCAGAATTACGTGTTGCAGTAAATTTTGGAGGACAAATATTAATCGGTTATACAGAAGCTTCTCAACTTATGATGGTGTTATGTCCCAATAAGCCCACTGTAGTTGAAAATATCAGAAGTTGAAAATGCATTTACTACACCTGTGCTAACAAACGTTGTAGCTTAGCCTAGCCTACCTGAAACATGCTCAGAACACTTAATATTAGCCTACATTTGGGCAAAATCATCTAACATAAAGCCTATTTTATAATAACTGTTAAATACCGTGTACAGATGGGATTTTGTAGACATGGTGAGATATGAAACACAAAACACAATATTCAAAAAACACTGACAACAGAGAACACTCTAGAGTTCCGGTTGTTTACCCTCCTGTGGTTAACTGGGAGCTGTGGCTAATGGCCGGTGCCCAGCATCAGAGAGAGTATCCTACCATGTATAGTTCAGGAAAAGATCAAAATTTGAAGTACGATTTCTACTGAATGCTATCACTTTCCCACCATCATAAAAGTCGAAAAATTGTAAGTTAAGCCCATCCTATTGGAGACCCTCTGTCTATACATTGCTAAGATTCTCGCTCTATTATCTAGTCTTATGATTACTGTAAAAGATCACAGAGTTAAACTACATTGAGGAACAATAAAAGCTAAAATGTCTTACTTAGGCTCTGTTTGTCAGCAGTAAAGCGTATTGTTAGGTAAGTTTTCTGTACATGGCAGCATTCGTGGGGTGCATGCTTACTCTGGCTGAGACTTTGAGAAGTATCATTTTCATTATCAGAAATTTTTAAGTAAATAAACTTAAAACATCAACTACTATTCTAGATATAATTATTAAGAATCGATAGAGCCAGAGAATGCAACAGAATGATGATCGTAGATATTGGCTGAGTGACTAAAATCTTCTTTCTTCCTACACTAGAGATCAAGTTGAACTCAGGTCATCAGTTTCAAGCCTTTACTCTCAGCTTTGGACCAAATCCACCTGCTAGTGTGACTCTAATTCATTAGTAATGCAGTTGTCATTAATATACTAAGAGAACAGTGCTTCTGGTGTTACGTGTTGCTGTTGTGGTTAGCTCTAGAAAGTAGACAGTCTCCACCAGAATTAGTGATTTGTTGGCTCCTCCATTACAGTTGTCTGTTGTAAAGTAGTGACTCCTGATTGCAAGAAGATTGGACGGTGACCACTGGGGCGATACACCCTGAGGATGTGTTTGGGAACTCAAGGGGAGCTAAACTCCCAAGGCTATATCCACCTGAAGCCCCTGGATAGTGCTGGCGAAGGCAGGTGCTGGCAGCACTGATCCACATGGAGCCATTGAGACCAAGACAGATGTGCTCACTTTCTTTTGGCAGGGAGGGCATAGAGTATAGGGGTTACGGGTGAATTAAAAGTATCAGGCAAAGTAATTTTCCTAAAATCACATTTGAAGACACTGTTTTGTTCATAGAGTTTTTCAAAAAGTTTACAAAAATCATGACACACACACATTCAACTCTACTTAAAAATACGAATTGGCCATGATCCTATTCAGGGCTCCAGATCCTCGAGAGCAGTTGGTCTTTTGCCCAGTGATTTGAGAAACTGGCATTTTAAAGGCTTTTCTGAGGGAGAAGGGAGCTGCCTCTGGTCCAGATCCCGCCCAGTGGTTTGGCACATGGAATGACAGGAAATGGCCCAGCCTGCTTGGTGGTGCAGATTTCGTCTGTGCATGCAAACCCATGTCCTGTTTTCAGTTGTCTCACCTTTAGTTTCTCACTGTTGTTCCATGTTGAAAGAAAAGATGATAAGAAAACCAGATGTATTCCCAGACATACAAATCCAAGGAAACCAAACCAAATGAAAGATAATTAGAACAAGAGAAGAATGTGTTAAACTATTTTGGAACCTTTTTTTTCTTTAAATTTAGTTCCCATTCCACTTACTGTAGTTTCTTTAGGCTAGGCACTTTGCATACTCCTCCCCACTGCAATGTAATTTTAAATAATACATTTATGTGTCACATTTATGTAAACACAATTATGTGTATACATTTATAATTTTAAATACATTTATTTGTCAACTCAATTAAACTAATTATATAGGATCCCTTGCTATATGTATTATTGTTTAGGAACCAAATAGATTTCCATAGTAAGGGGTGTGTGTGTGTGTGTGTGTGTGTGTGTGTGTGTGTGTATAAAACAGAAACAATTTCATAAAACAGTGTTTATTCTTATTACCAGCAATGCACTTTAATATTTTCTATTATATGCTGTTTGATTTCATCTATTTTGTTAAAAAAACTTGGCTGAACCCATGTGATTTCACATCCCACTAATGTGTTGTGATTCAGTTTGAAAAGTGCTGTTGTAGGCCATAAATCTGTGTGTGATAGATTAAGCTATGAGGCAGAGTCTTTTAAAGAAATTCCCTGCAGACCAATTGGCAACATTGGGTGGTATCCTTTTGGCACAGCCCTGTAGAGAAAAAGGCTCCTATCTTTGCCTCCAGGTCATTACTGATTTTTCCCCTTCTAAACATTTTGGAAAAACTCTGGTGTCTCCCTAAGGTCTGCTGGGCACACAGTAATTTGAACTGGCTAAGAGTGCCAGGGGCTGTGTTGGGAAGGAACTCAGAGACTGAGAAGTGGTATATTCTACATGGTAACATGTATTCTGGCTCCAGGTCACAGTGAGCAAATGCTTTCTATAAGGAAACACGAAAGCGTGCATTTTCTAAGAGAAGGGCTTCAGCCAATGTTCTTGGCTTGTCTTAGTGCTCTTGGCTCTGGTTGATATAACAAGATGTCTTAGACTGGGTGGCTTAAACAATAAATATGCATTTCTCACAGCTCTGGAGGCTAGGAAGTCCAAGATCAGGGTCCCAGCCAATGCATTTCCTCAGTTAGGACTCTCTGTTTTGCAGATGGCTGCCTTCTCGCTGTGTCGTCACAAGGCAGAGAGGAAGAGAGAAAGAGAGGGGAAGAGAGAAAGAAACCAAGCTCTCTGGTGCCTCTTCTTACAAGTGCACTGATCCCACGATGAGGGGTTTAGCTGCATAACCTCATACTAAACATAATTACCTTCCAAAAGCCCCACCTATAAATACCATCATATTGGAGTTGGAATAAGGCTTCAACATGTGAATTTTGAGGGGACACAATTCAGTCCACAGCATGGCTGCTGAAGAAACAGATTCTCCTTTTTTTTGGTCAACCAATTTCCTAAACCATTCTCGTGACCAGAGCTTCTTAGATCCTTGATTTTTTCCGACACCATGCTTTAGGGCCCCATGGCCTATCTGGGTAGGTATACTGCTGGCTTCTGATCTCCTGCTACACACACTGCACTTAGAAGCTCCAGCTCTTGGGGGATGGTAGGTTTTTTTATCTTACTAGGAATTAAAAATATACTTGTGCCAACCCTGTCTTGTTCTCTGTGCATCTGATTCTTTTCTCAGGCAGTTGACTCAGGAGCAAGGTGGGATTGCAAGTGGGAGAATAAAAACTGGGGCTTCATAGGGTCTTCCCAGGAACACTGACTGTAAGCTTCCAGAAGGCAGAGTCTGTGGGTTTGGCTGGTTCACTATTATGTGCTCATGTCTAGCAGAGCACTTAGTACTTAACAGGTACTCAACAAATGATTTTAAAGAGGGTGAATCAATGATAATGAAATGGGCCGGGTGCAGCATGTGTACCCGCTTCCTCTTCTTTGAGGTCTTGGTCCTGATGTCGTAGTGATATTGATTCTAGTGACCCTAGGATAAGGAGAATACTGTAACCCTTTTCTCTTCTCCCTAAAACTTGCCTGACAATAACCCTAATCTCAATCAGCATTGGTTTTCTTTCTTCAGTGTGAGTATTGGTAGCTGCCACCTCTGTAGCTTGCTGTTGTTAAAAATAATGTCACTTTTCTGTTGGCAGAGTGTTTTGTGGCTCTGAAATGAAAGGGATTCAGTTTCACCTTCACTGTCACTTTACCACAGGTGTATCAGAATTAGGAGTTAAATCAAGTTGGACTAAAAGGCATGAAATGCCTCCAAGCTATACCATCCACTAAAGTTAATGCATAGTAAATGCTAAATTTGGAAATATACTCACTGTAAAAACCTTAAAATCAAGTGAAGGCTACGATAACATCATTGCTTTAAGAGCACACTACTTTTCCATGTTTAAATACTGTCACAAGGTTAAAAATAACTCCAGATTTTGGGGGAAAAAAAAAAAAAAGACACAGGTGCCATCTGCTTCTAAACTGTTCTGGAGAACTTGAAAGAGAGAGAGAAAAAGAACACTAACCACAAAATAGCTTCAAAGAACTTTCTTGTAAACACTTTACCCTCAGACATATATGTGTGGGTTATGTGTTTGCAGTAATACATTTAAGAACAAAGTAGTGTTAGCCAAGTGAAGTGTTTCAACTACTAGTTATTTTTTGTTAATATTTTTTTTCTTTTTTTCCTCTTTTTTTTTAAAAAAAATAAAGGGTTTTTTAAAAACTCTTTTGGGAAAGCTACGTATCTAATAAACAGAATATTGATTTTGTAAAATTTCAAGGTCAAATTCATACTGCAAAATATGGTGTTTGAGGCAAGGAACCATGTAATTCAGGACAAAGAGGAACTTTTCATGAAGTTGATAGCAGCTAGAGTCAAGGTTTTACTCAAATTATATTGATCTTTACCTCAGTTTTCTTGATCTATTTGTAGTACAGGATTATCTGAAGATTTCATGACTCCAATGGTTTAATTAGGAAGTTAGGTCTAAATATCGAAGGCATAGTATTAGCACATAAAGGATGTGGACCCTTCAATACAGTTTGTCAGAGATTTTCCTCAGTCATTATCTTGTCAGTGGTAAAGATCAAATAAAGAAAAGAACAGTGTCTGGAGAGACAGTGATTCATAGTGATGGGTAAAGGGTAATGCAAGTAGACCTTCCTCTTTTCTCTTAGACTAGGGTTTCTCAATCTAGGCACTATAGACTTCTGGCCCAGGAAATTCCTTGTTGTGGGGGCTGTCCTGTGCACTGTAGGATGTTTAACAGTGTCCCTGGCCTCTACCTACTAGCTGCCAGTAGTGACACCCTTATAAGTTGTTAAACCAAAACTGTCTCTAAACATTGTCAAATGTGTCCCCTCTCTCCTCTTGAGAATCATGTCTTGAAGCTAGTGTTTTACACATTTTCTTTCAGTTATGTAGATAGTGAACAACAACAAGGAGATTGATAGATTATGTTAATTTGGCTTTACTGAGTATCTGCTACAACCAAATGTTTCTCCCATTTCTATGTATTACCATAAGATTTCTGTTTTATGTGTATTCCACTTCTGCTATTTGCTTAATATTTTTATTTAAATTACCTTATTTTGTTAACCTAAATTTATTTACCAAGAATACAATTTTCACTAAATTGAAAACTGTGAATAAAAGCAAATTGTATATGCCATAAATAGAAACAAATTGTAAAAATAAATTGTAATGGAAACATAACATTTTTAGTAAATTATAGCTAGACTTGTCCACATGCAGAAGGCTGTAACTCTGAGGACTGATTTCTTCCTTAAAAAAGAGATGATCAAAGATTAGCAGAGTTAAAACCAGAGTAGCACAAATTGAAGTTTTCTTCTTGATGTAATCAGAATCATTGAAAAGTAATTGAAAAGAAAAGGATGTTCTCGCTCTCTCTTTTATTCCTTGTTATTTAATTCCATGCGTTTGTGCTACCTAAAGTCCTCTTGTTTATAAGTCTAAGCTTTTCAATAATTCTGACCTAGACGATGTATGCTGGCAGTGTGCATGTGGTGGGGTAAGGGCCTAGAGTGTAAATGAGCATGATAAATCAATATTTGGCCTCCAAGTGCATAGGGTACTACTAATAAGGCACCAACAATATATTTAATAAAAGATAAATTAATGAATAAGTAAAATGAATAAAACTTATTAGAAATCTAAGAACAATAGCCATCTTCATGACAGAGTTGTGACAGAGAGGACTGGGGTGTCTTTATGGGGGAGGGGTAGACTCTGAAATTTGGCAGGATTTTAATAGGTAGAGCACTGGCAAACAGCATGTCAGGCAGATGGTACATTCTAAGAAGAGGCAAAAAAAGGACAGAAAAATTCAGGATATACATTTTTGTTTTGCAAAATTTATAAAGCATGAACATTGCAATGGCAGATTGGGTCAGCAGGGTAAGTTGATGTCAGACCAAAGACAACCTGTTTAAAAAAAACAAAAAGAGTAGGCTTGTGTCACTTGAAAACCACTTTGTAGATAAAGTAACCATTGTGAGAGAAAAACGTCAGCTATAGAAGCAGCTGGGTCTTGGGCTGAGGTTGTGGGACTCAGAATTTGCCACTACCTATAATGTAGATCAAACATGGGGCTAGATAAGAGAAAACTGATGATGTAAATTTTTTTTTTTTTTTAAGGAAAAAACAATCCCATAGCCTATGACTAGGTAAGAAAGGAGAAATGTTGGACTTAGATTGGTTACCTAGACCAGGTAAAGAGTGAGTAAAAAGAGACAGTAAGTATTTTAGGCTTGAAGGCCATTCAGTCTCTGATGCAGCTCTACCCTCTGCCATGGTTGAGAGAAAGCAGGCATAGACAACATACAGACAATAGCACATTACTGTGTTCCAGTGACATGTCATTTATGACAGTAAAATTTGACTTTCATATAATTTTCACATCACAAAATAGTATTCTTCTTTTGATTTTTAAAAATGCAAAAATTGTTTTTAGATTGCAGACTCTAGAAAATCAAACGGCTCCTAGGTCTGGTCTGTGGTTTGCTAACCTAGACCAGTCAAGCTAAACTTCTGCTCCTCCCCAGTTGCATGAGAATTTCAGGTTAAAATGATATCAAATCTTAACTTATTCAAGGAACTACCTTTAGTCTCTCTTTCACTTTGAAAATGTCAACTTTTTATTAGTTTTCCACGTGGGCACAAGCTTTAAATGCATACTCATCTTTTATCAAAATCTACTGAAACTGCTACAGTTACAGTTCTTACCAATGTAACATGTTGGCTAGTTCCATTTCTCTCTTTCTTCCTCCTATTTCTTTTTGTCTGATACTGATTATATGACTGATGTTTACTTCACATAATGTTTGTGAAAATGAAGAGCCTTTATTCGAAGGGCGTGAAAGTTAAATTTCCATACCGTGAACAATGTTCATATCAAAAGACTATTTATTGGCGGGTAATTTGTTTTGTACATAATAACTAAATAGGTTTCAAATTGATAATTCCTCTATTATATTTAGAGTGACAATAATATGCTAAATAAATTACTGATGAAAGATTTTCCTCTAACTAGTAAAGTTGAATTAATTTTTCCATTTGCTAGTATTAGCTGTGTGTTGAATAATCCTTCTATATGCTATGCAGATGTCTCAGGTGGATAATTAAGGTCATTTAAATGAGGAACCTGTTTAAGCAATCTTTTGAAAACTTAAAATTACTCCTTTTTTATATATTGAATAGAGTTAAATTAAATCAGCCACTCATATTTCGACTATAGCAGAGGTCTATAAGGTGGGATGCCCGTAGCCAGGGTATGTGTAATACAATGAGGTGCTAGAAGAAAGTATTAGAGAATCTGTTTTGGTTTCTTTTTTTAATTTTTGTCTTTAATTTTTATTTTTGGATGTTTTAAAAAGCACATTAATGTTGGTTAAGTAACACATATATACCATTAATAGGTACGTTAGTGTACACAGTTTGGAAGCATGTGCTCAAAAAACATTTTATTGGATGGTGACTGGGTCAAAGAATGGTAGTCATAAGTGGATACTGAATAAACTTCTTTATATTTAAATAACATTCTACTTTATGAAAAGTGAGTTTAAAGCAAATATACAGATAAATATGCAAACAAAAAATCATATTGCAAGGTGTGTCTTTGTGCAGAAAGGGGAAGTGGGTACATACGTGCAACTGTTATGCATCTCAAGACTACTTGATGAACGGTTTTGATAAGAACTTACTGCCATTGTAACCAAAACAGTCACATAGAAGAAAACAGAATGAGAGTAAAGGAATACAGATTGCACATCAAGCAGAGGGTGAACTTAACTTTGGCTTCAACAACAAAGTTTCAGTGGTCATGGAGTTGAGAGGGAAAAAGAGTAGAGAAATAGGGTTTGTTTGCAAGAATCTCAATTTTAATATAACTAATGCACTTCGTGGCAAATTTTGCCAACTGCTGGCTTAGGCAGCTAAAGGCACTGACCTAAAGTGTTTTGTGGACAGTACTTGAAGAGTTGTGGGCATTAGTGCCAGGATGCTGAGCTTAACCCTGTTAGCAAATGTGTTGTTACCACTTGCTTGTTAAGTCATGTTTCAGGGTAGTATGGCTCAAAAATTTACCAGGTACCGAAATATTTCATGGAAAAAAATAAAGAAGGCTAGATTTGAGACCACCATCTGATTGGAATAGTCTCTGAAAAAAGATAATGGATAGGACACGTTCTTACCTGTTTTCTTTACAAGTTTGTAGTAGCATGCTTTGTTAAAAGTGCACTTTCTTTGATATATGTCATGCCTGTAGACAGAACTTGACTAATATTATAAACTGGAACATAGAAGTGGAGAAGATAACAGATCTATAATTGTGCTCACACATGTCTTGTTACCTACAATGAAGTATTTGAATGATGTCTCCCTATTTTAGGTCTTTATGGACTGTTTAATAGAGACCTTCACTTGCATTTTACTTTTCATTGCTCAGAATGTTGCACTGTTAGTTTGGTTTGCCTTACTTTTACTGATTTGAAGGGACAATTCATGACTACTTTAATTTAGTAAGCAGCTGCCTTCCACTTAGGACTCTAACAGACACACAAAGTTGTTCTTTAGTTGCGAAAACTGCTCTAAGATTAGTGTTTACCTGGATTTTCATATTTGCTGCTTATTCATTCAAATAAGTCATTTTTATTCAAAGCTCTCCGTCAGGGCAACCACTGAGAAAATAAGACTATGCTATTAAATGTGACCAAATTCAAAATATGTAATTCAATAAATCAGCCTGGCCTAGAGTGTTCAGTTCTAATAGGCCTCTAAAGGGTTCTTCTTGACTGGAAACATTTTAGTGACTCCTGAGGGACCCTGGGCTCTTCCTCTCTTTTTCCCCTCAATGTGAACATGTACACTAATAACAATGTTCAATGAGGTAAACTCGTGAGCTCTCTGAGTGCAACCTGTAACTGGAGGCAAACTAAGAACGTAATAAACAGAGCTTATCATATGTATGTGTGACACACCAATGAAGTGGGAACCTGAGAAAATTTTCAGGATGATCTCCAGAAAACCAGTGCAGTTCTTTAAAATATTGACCTACTGAGGAAATGGAATGTCAGGACTGAGCTAAGGGCTGTTGGGATTGGGGGAAGTGGTTGGCCTAAGGATCTGGCTTGGGCCAGGCAAGGGCAGCAGAGCGTTGGTCCGAGCCTGAGCCAAGTAGTGGAGGGGAGTGATCCTCGGGGAGCCACCTCTAAGGGGAGAGGTGGGTGAGGCAGCTACTCAGGGTGGCTCTGAGGCGGGGAGCACCAAGCAGGCCATTCTGGACAGCTGGATTGGTGAAGATGAAGGTCTGCTGAGCAAGGCAGGGGCTAAGACAGGAACAGGCAGGACACAATTGTTACTTGACGGCCCTGCCTCTTTGGGCATAAAGCCCCGCACCTCACTCAGCTTCATTTGTAAAGTGAAGATTGTGGTAGTGTGTTCTCCACGTCATTTCTGTGACAATCAAATGAGATCACAAATGTGAAACACTGAGCTCCATACCCAGCACATAAACTTAATATTATTCCCCACACAGGCCACAAGGTGGGAAGTAGGAGATAATGACTCCCACTTGTGTATTGATAGGATAAATACCTTACTTAGTTCAGTTTATACAGCCTTGTTAGCAATCTGAGCTCAACTTCCAGGCCAGCCTCCTTCCCCACCACTTCTCTTCTGTAATTACCATCATGGGATATTTACTAGGAGCTTGGTGTGATTATACTGTCTTTAAGTACGTTGCTAGTTAGTTCGAGAATACTACCAGGTGTTTATCACCAGCACCAATTCACAAGGATGAGCCTGAGGCTCAGAATGGTGAAGCACCTTGTCTAAGCTCACACAGCCAGGTGGAGAGGAGCAGAGCTGAGATTCAAGCCCTGGTTTGTCAGACTTCAGCACTCATGCTCTTTTGCTCTACCTGCCTTGGCTGCACAGATGCCTCAGTGATCTTCATATCTCTGTGGTGTTAAGCATGAAACTCTCTTGGCCTGAAATGTGCCTCTCCTATGAATCCCTCCAGGACAGTCATCCACCTCAGGTAGAAAGTTTCTGCCCTTTCCCCACTCACACCATTTCATAATTCCCCATCTCCAGTGTTTATGGTCTTACAGGTGAATGCTTTGTCGTCTTCACCACCAGAACATCTGCTTATTGGGCAGAGGAACCCCATATCTTATCCCTCTTTTATTCCTACTACTAGGCCCATCCCTCAGCCTAATGCCTGCCTCCCCTTAAGTGTTTCTGGAACATTATGTGAATGAACAAATGTCAGAGGAATTAGGCAAATAGCTGCAAGAAAATCAGCGGTACTTAAAACTGTCTTTCTTCAGGATGTTTTTTTCTATACGAACCCACTTCTAAACTAGCACACCGAAATTACTTGTTCAGTACGTGTCTCCCTCTCATTAGAATGTAAGCTCTTGAGGCTCTGGTTTCTGTCCCTTTGTTCCCTGCTGTGTCCCCAGAATCTTAGCACAATGCCTAGTTTATAGTGAACACTCATTACATATTTGCTGAGTAATATATCAGTTGCACCCATGGGGTTTCCACAATTGAAACTCCTTTTGAACCCAGGGAGCTCTGGTCTTTTGTCAGTCATCTCTATCTTAAAGAGCCCCCATCTCTAAGTGATCAGGGATACTGTCACCTTCTGTGAGGAGATTATCTACCTCTAAGATCCCTTCTAGTCCCAACCATGTGTGCACCTGCGTTTTCTTCCAGTTGAATTCTCTGGGCGATCACCTTAGTTCTTTATGTTGTTTAGGAGACAGAGCAGCTTTTGAAGTAAGTAGGGCTCTAAGCCTGAAAGGCTTTCTAAGTGTGTTGGAGGATCCTCACATAAATTTTATTCTCATTTTGTGCTTTCTAAATGCATCACCTTTAAAAAATGTACCTATTGTTACATTCACTCATTTGTACTTCCTGCTGTAGACTATACAAATGCTAGCACTAGTTGTAGATATCTAGGACAAGATTTAGAAGAAAGTATGTTTCCTGGCTTCCTCTACCCCTCTAGTTTTGCTTTTAGAAAAGAATCATTCTTTTTAAAAAGCTTGACTTATGACCTATTTGTGGCTATGTAACCAGTTAGCAATGTCCTGTCACATGGTTGGGTAACATATCCCCTGACTTGACCATAGGAGGGGAAGGAAGACCTAAGGAGAGGGTCTTGAAGGAGATAAGAGCATAAATAGTCTGTTCCATGTCTATCTATATTTGGGGATATTATTTAAAAGCCATCTACTGAAATGCTTAATCATCGATCAAAAAGAAATGCAGCTTGACATAACTTCCAAGTAGGGTTATTAACTTTACATTCCTGATGTTTATGCACTGTCAAAGTAATTATTCTGGAAATGTGTACCTTCCCATCTTTCTTTTGACAACCAGAGGCCAGGGGAGCGTGGTGAAAGGAAACTGTGGGTGGGAAGCAGAGAGGCAGACACAGGGCTGAGGGGCAGAAGGGAGGCCACTCCTTACCAGCTTTACTTCTTGTTTTCTGAGTCCAGTTACCCCTAGGCCCAGAGCACTTCTCCGTCCCCTCCTGATTTCTCCCTGTTTCCTTCATCTCTCCAGAGCCTAGGTACCAGTCATTTCCTTGTATCTGCCCATCTTATGGAATGAATGTTTATTCCTCCAAAGGCATGTATTGAGACCCTAACTCCCAATACGATGGGGTTTGGAGATGTGCCTTCGGCAGAAAATTAGGTTTAGGTGAGGTGATGAGGCATTAGTGCTCTTATTAAAAGAGTTGTGAGAGCTTGCTCGCTCGCTGTCTCTCATCACTGACCATGGAGGACACAGCAAGAAGTCTGCAAGCCTGGAAGAGAGTTCTCATCAGAACCCGACCACACTGGCACCCGATTGCAGACTTCCAGCCCTCAGAACTGTGAAAAAAATGTTTTTTTTTTTTAAGTTAAGCCACCCCAGTCTGTGGCACTTTGTTACCAGCCAGAGCAGAGAAAGACAGCCCTGTACCCTTTTCCCCCATTTGGCACCTGTCTGACGTCGCAGTTTGAGGAGTGATCTGCTCTTCTTTCTCAGATGCCTGACATTTCCTCCCAGATACTGGGTAAAGGAGGCCAGAACCCCACTTCACAAGGAGTAAAGCTCCTTACTTGTTTTATCTAGGATGGCTAAAGCTGACTCTCAGAGGCTCTTCTTTTTTTTTTTTTTTTTTTTTTTTTTTTAACAGGAGGTGGGCTCCCTAGCATGCCTCCACCTTGCCAGACCCTAGACTGGGACAATTCTTCTGTGGCTACATCCCCACTTCCACTCGTGCCTTCCAGGCACTAGCACCTTGGATCCCACTGTGCATCCGTACCTGTTGGCTTTCCAAGTGTCAATGCCTGCCAGCTCCTGGTACATTATTTCCTCAGCAGCTGGCACGGGATTTTTTGTTGCCAACTAGAAGCTCAGCTATTAAAAAATAAAACTTGGCGCATCTTGAGTATCATATGTTTTCATCAGGACTTGGATCTGTATTCTGGCACAGCTCACACGATCACTTTGGGGACCTCTCTCAGGACTAGGAACCCAGTATTCCTCTGGGTCTTTGACCGTGTTTTCACCTTATTCTGAATATATTCTCAAACCTTGAAAAACCTATGATGCTTACGATTAATTCGAGGTCTGTTTTACTTGTGTTTTGCTTGGTTTTATTGGATTTTTTTTAACCTTGTCAGTGTTTCTTTAGCACTAGGTTGCTTTCTCTGGCTGTTATTGTCAGTTTTCTATCTTAAATTATAAATTCCCGAGAATAAGATTCATGTTTCTCAGGTTAATGAATAGCTAACACACAACACTGAAATGGGGACCTTTACTGCATGTCTTTGCATGAACATGAGGTTATCCAAGAAGGGAGATTTTTATTTGCAGGGATTGTTAAATATTAAGATAAATGAAAAGGACAAGTTTTGGAGTTAGAAAGACCTGCAATAGAGTCCCAGTTCGGCCACTCATGAAGTGTGTCATTTTAGACAAATTTTCATTGAGCCTCAGCTTCTCCACCCATAAGAAGAGATAATAATGATTAAATGAGGTCAGTGCATTCATTATACACGGTAAGTGTCCAGTAAGCATTAGATATTATCGATATTAATTCTGGAATAGCTGTCTGTAAAGGTGGAGGGATTCTAGGTGATTGGATAGCACACTTTCTCAAAAATGTCATAAGATTCTAAAATTCTGGAAATGCGTTGGCAGGAGGCCTTAGTAATTCTCTGCTACTGCTTGCAGCTTCTGAGTAAGCTTTCTGAGCATCTAAGCTTCCCCTTTACCCAGGGGTAGTACATGGTGCAATATTTGTAAATATTTGACTACTGTTTTTTGATATTTCATGTATTGAAAAGAAGGTGTAGTATAACCGTAAGATTTTCCACATCTGCAGACAAAAGGAAAGTTGGGGTAGTTTAAAATAACTGCTGCATGTGGTTCTTTCTGTATAATTTTTAGTTTTTTTTCTTCTAAAAGGGTGTTAGAAAATATTAATCTTTTTGTTGCTTTGAGGTCTTATTTACACTAACTTTACCTCTTCTTCATAGATTAATTTTTCATTCTAAATGTTGCATTCTTCACCGGGAAGTTAAATAACCAAACCCAGAATCACTGCAACTTACCTGTGATTTAGAAATAGAGTTCTGGAAATCATTTAACAATCTAAAAAAAAAAAAACCCATAAGTAGTAAGGAATATTTGAAAGCAGTCTATTAGTTTGTGCACGCTGATAAAACAATACATCACATGGAAGAGACTTATATTTAAATGATGTTACTATTAGCCATACCTAAAAAATGTATTTCTCTAACGTGATACCTAAGTTGTAAAAGAAAGTTTGATTTCCAGTTTCATCTTACATTTCTTTTATAGCTGCTTTTAATTGTCCTACCCTCTCTTCTGGCGAAGGAACTTCATTGCAGTACTTAAGAAAACAAATTAATAACCTTGAAGAAAGCTGTTAATGAGATACTCATAACTAAGGAAAAAAGTGGGGGGATAGAAATTAGATGACCTAGGAGACACCTTACTTGAGTGTCATTTAGGTAAGGGTCATTCATTCTGGAAGGCCTCTCGGTAAAGGAGGAGGGATTACAAATGATTGGATATCACAGCCTTTCAAGTTGTTCTCTGATTCTGAGATTTCAGAAATGTTTTGGCTATAGGGCAATGCTAAGAGTCAAAAGCAGGGCTGCAGCCCACATTAAATAACCCTATGACTTTAGTAGATATTAATAGAACCCCCAGTGGCAACGATGGTGGTACAAAGATACATTCCAACTCTGGTACCTAGTAGCTGTTTATTGTTAATGAATCTTTTAAATTGTAACAAGCCCCATTTTCTCCTCTGTAGAATGAAAATACTAGTGCCTTTTTTCACAGGATTATTGCAAAGATTAAAAAAGGTAAATTCTTTGACTGTAGTTAAGTGTAAAAGCTATGCACACACTGCAAATTTTTATTTGAATAATAATAATTATGACTTTTTTTTTTTTTTACTATTAACTAAACTGCAGATTTTATTTGAATTTCACCAGCTTTTCTACTGATGTCCTCTTTCTCTTCTAGGGTCCAGTCTAGGCAAATATATTGCATTTAATTACCATGTCTTCCTTGCTCAGTTTCTTAGTCTTTGCCTGTTTTTCATTACCTTGAAAGTCTTGAGCAATACTGGACAAGTATCCTGTGGAATACCCACCCCCAGCCCCTATGCCCCCAGTCTGGATTTGTCTGTCATTTCTCATGATTAACTGGGGAAGAATACCACAAAAATGAAGTGCCCTCCTTGTGACATCGTATCAGATGTTGCACGATGTCATGTGACATCTCTATGGATGTCAACCTCTGTCACTTTCCAGGTTTCTCCACTGTACAGTTACTATTTACCTCTTTTCTTACTCTATCTAGTCTTTGGAACTTGGTGACTAAGTCTAGCTCACCCTTGGGGAAAAAGGGGTTAAACTTCACTGCCCAGAGTGGAGAATATCTACATAAATTGCTTATCGTTCTGTAAGGAATATTTCTGAGGTATTATTTTATAACTGATAAATTCTTATATATATAAAATAATGATTGAATGTCTTAAGTCATTTTTGAAAAATCTTGTGAAAATATACTACTGCCAGTAAATCATGCAATTGGGAATGTACTAACCAGTGAGAAGCTTTGAATCTAATAGGAGAAGCTGTCCCTGGAATCTTGCTGTTACAGAGCGGAGCACATTGGAGCTGAGGGCTCAAAGGGAGGGCCTGAAGTCAGGTCTGTTTCATCTTGACAGAGGTAGATCAGCTCTAGGCAATAACTGATTTCTGTGTATGTCTTGTTGGTGAATAATTCATGGCAGGAACAGCCCTTATTTAAGATGGACTGTTGGAACTTCCCACTGGAAGACCACGCAGGCAACTTTGACACAGGCTATTCGAAACTAACTCCATCTTCCACTCACCCCCAAACAACAGCCACAAGAAAACCTGGTGTCCTGCTTGTGTAGCCCACCTCAGTACATGTTACCCCCATTTGCTTTGCTCCTTACCTAGAAATCCAGCGGTATTCTGGATTTCTCCTTCACCCCTTCCCCTAATAAGACATATTCTCCCACTTAATACATGTATAACCCTGGGCAAGTCACTTATCCTTTCTGAGTCTTTGAAGGGGTATAATAATAATCTCATAAGGTTATTATGAAGATTAAATGAAACAGTGTATCATAAAGTTCCTTGGCATCGTACCTAGTATATTTCACACATTCAATAAAGGTTAATAGGTATGATTTATATCTCTTAAATATACTTTAAATCCGTTCCCTCCTCTGTGTGGCCACTGATCTTTTTCATTTACATCATTTGGAACTCTTTCCTAGGTTATTGCACTGGTATTTAAATCTTGTCTCTAATCTTATTGCATCCCATCTGCTTGTAAGATGACCTTTCTAAGGCCAAGTTTGATAATGTCACTCCCCTGCCTAAAATCCTTTAACATCTTCCATCCCATCCAGGATGTGAAAGTCCTTTGCATGAACAGCAGGTCTTTTCAGAACAGCCGTTGCGCTTGCCGTCTTACGCCCACCACTCCTGCGTTCTCACCTGGGCTCCAGCCCTACAGCTATTTTTCCTCACCCAGGATGTGTCATGCTGTCCTGTGTTCTTGTGCAGCACCTCCATGGTGCACCTTCCCAAACCGCGCCCCCTCACTCCACGCCCCCTCTTTCTACACCCCTCTTCCATATTTTGTAAACACCTTTTCTGATTCAGGATAGTGCAGGTGTCATCTCGGGAAGCCCTGCTTGGCTCAGATGCAGGCAGCCTGATGCTCTCTCTGCCTCTACTTTTTAGTGCACTGTGGCGAGGTCCTGTCTGCCTCTACACCTGGATTGGGAGCTCCTCTAAGACTTTTTAGTTCCCATGTACCTCCACAGTTCCGGGCAGATGTTTAAAACATTATTCAATGACTTGTAGTAAAGCACAGTAAGGCAGATTTCACTCAGGACCATTGAATAGGGACCACTGCAATGGGGTCCTGCAGTGGGGAAGAGAAAGATTGGGCTTAACTCCAAAGACAGCAAGGGCAAGTGGGATTTTATAGCCAAGGGGCAAGGACAGTGGATGGAAAATTACTAAGAGGAAACATCGGTGATATGGGGAACCTGTGGTTCTTCCTGAAGATAGCCAGGGTGATCAGGCATCACCTGGGGAAGAGTGAAGGATGAGGAACTTGATCAGACTCTGAGTGTAATCAGACATTGAGAGTAGTGGGTTATTGCCAGATTGACTTAGCAAGGTTCTTATGAAAACTGTATTGTACAAGGAAGCACACAGATGGGCGTAGCAGAAGGCTCAGGAGCCTGACTAAAGTTTTGTCAAGCAAAGAATCTTTGTCACACAGGGTAGACTAAAAAAATGTTTACTGCCTGCCAGTTATAGGTTCTATCATGACTGAGTTAACCTAACTGGAAATTTTACTAGCCCTATCATGGGAAAGGCTCCAATTTCCCTCTCTGCCAATATCTTCTTGTTTTTTGTCTGTTTGTTTTTGCACCTTCTGAAGCCTATTGAGAGGATGAGGAAGGATTCAGGCAAGTATCTCTGGGAGTCTCCTAGCCGGCGGTTCTTTCCTGTGTTTACAAAGGGGCACTGCTGGGGAATGTCAAGCCTCGTAATGTAAAAAATACTGAAGATATTGTGACTGTATCTTGTGCCTATAGCTGCACGAATGCAACATGCATTCATCTTCACCATTCTTAAGATTCTGACTTAGATTTTTTCAGGAACTTAGAGCTGGATAGAACTTTAAAATTCAACCAGTCCAGTGTTTTGTTTGTTTGTTTTTGTTTTTTTAATACAGATGAAGAAACCGGAGCACAGAGAAGTCACCTGTCTTTTCCAGCCCTTCAAAACTAGTTAGTAGTAGAAATGGAACCAGAACCTTGGTCTTCTGCACTTTTGTCTCTGACGTACTTCCTTTCTTCACAAGTGCCATTTACAGAAAGCTGGGCTTAAACCATTCCCAGCTATTCCTCCTACAGCTTTCCTGAATTATTTCAGAATACAAAATTCTGTATCTCCAAGAAACTATTACAGATTTAGATTTAAAAATATGCACTATTTTCTACCTTGTATGTTTTGCTTACTATTTTTTTTTGCAGAGGATATGTCTTAAAAATTGAAATGCATCAAAAATTATTAAACATTGCAGAATATTTTATACTTGTCTTCATTCCCATTTTGGAGAGTGTTCACCTTGTAAAAAATCTTTGTCCTCAAATGTATTGGAATCACAGTTAAGAATTCTAGCCTTGATGTTGGTTTGCATTGTCTTCTGGTCTATGAGTGATTTGGGGCTGAGATATTCTTTGTCATACCTCTTTGAAGATACTAGTTAAATATGCTAGTGTCCCACTCACTTTTAAAAGCTGACCTATATTAAAATATAACATAAAATAGTCTGGGCGCAGTGGCACACGCCTGTAATCTCAGCACTTTGGGAGGCTGAGGCAGGCGGATGTCGAGGTCAGGAGATCAAGACTATCTTGGCCAACATGGCGAAACCCCATCTCTATTAAAAATACAAAAATTAGCCGGGCATGGTGGTGCGTGCCTGTAGTCCCAGCTACTTGGGGGGCTGAGGCAAGAGAATTGCTTGAACCCGGGAAGTGGAGGCTGCAGTTAGCCGAGATCGCACCACTGCATTCCAGCCTGGGTGACAGAGCGAGATTCTGTCTCAAAAAATTAAAAATAAAATAAATAAATAAATAATATAACATAACATAAAATAAATCCTTTTTTGTTTCTAACTTTCTGACTCTTTCTAACTCCAGGAAAAGTGAACGTTTGAGCAGATGGATTGATGAATATATTGCTAGAATATTTAGCAGAAATGAATATGATGAATATATTGATGGATTGATGAATATATTACTAGAATATTTAGCAAAACTCACATGGAGGTAGTACTTTTATGGGGCTTGCACATGTTACAGGACTAAGCTTACTTTTTACTTTTTTACAGTTGGGGACATATTGATTCCATAAGTTATTTACAAGAGAAATATCTTTGATATTTATTCTTAATTTCAATTAATACTGCCAGCACCCAATTTGCATTAAATACATATTCTTCTCTTTTCTTCTTTACCCCAGTCAGTAATTTCACTGACTATGGTGATAGGCTGTCAAGTAAAGCTTTAAGTTTCTTTAACTGATAAGAAAAATTATTTTAATTTATTGTTGATAATAATAGCAGAAATTTTTATTATTGGTAAAAGGGAAAATTGCAAGTGTTGTCTTTTATTCACATGCCTATATCTAAGCTTGCACTGAAAAATGTGGATACTAATACATTTTCTGCCATATCTTTTCTTCCTTTCTTGGTCTACTTTCTCTGACATGAGTTACAACTACCATGTTCATATTTCTCTCAAACAGCTCTACTTTGACCCCTTCAATTTGGTTTTTTATTCTCATAATTCCATTAAATAGCAGCAAATGAGTTTCACTTGACTTCTCCAACTGATTCCCTGATCTAATATTTTAAACCTGTTAACTGTGTGTAAATTTGTTGATAATACAGATTGCCTTAACTTTTTGAAAGTGGTAAGATGACTGCTGTGTGTGCCATAAAATGCTGCGCATTCATGGACAAATTTTCTGATATAAACAAAACTTAACACAAAACTGTTGGGTGTGTACGTCATAATCATGTGAACAAACCTATCAGCCACAGGAGTAAATGGTTCTCACAAATGACTGCAGTTTGTATAACTTGTGTTCAGCCAAAGCATGTTTCTATTTTTATTCTTCTATAACCATTTATAGAAAGCATTGATGTTAACATTATTTTTCTGCCAGCCACCATATAGAGCAGGGATTTCTAACTTTAATCCATAGATCTTCCTGTGACTAGGTTTTGGGACTATATGAAGCTTCTGAAATTGAAAGCTATATTTTATGTGTGGACGTGTTTTTCTGAAGCAAGTCACCACAGCTTTCATCGAATTCTCGAGATGTTTAAGGAGCACTGATGTTTGAGGTTTGTTCACATAAATGTATTTGTACATATTCTCAGAATAGCTGGAAAGCACAAAGCTTGTGCTCACCTATTCATTTAACACACTTTTTCTTTCGCCACTGCCCTGCCCAGTCTGTCTACCCCCAAGAAGGGCTTTCTGTATTCTTATATTCCCAGTTTTTACTGCTTCTATGTTCCCTTTTATCAGTTAGGATGCTTTAATGTACAAATGTAATTTAATAAGTAAATACTGAAGCACCAAAAGAAACCTAGCTGAGATCATCTTAACCAATGGAATAGATTTATTGGCTCAAGTCACTAAAGTCCAGAACTTTTTCAGGTTTTACATGCAGTTCGACTTGGTACAGATTTATTTCTCTGCATTTATTTTAGCTTTGCTCTCCCAGGTGTGTTGGTTTTGTTTTCATACCAGCTTCCCTCATGGTAGCAAAATGCAGCATTTAAGTCCTCCTACTGGCAGCCAACCATCATCATCCAGGACAGTAAGGATCTTTACATCCTCCTATTGTTTAATGAAGCAGAATCCACCATCCTGGCCAGGGGGATGTCTGTACACTAATTGACCTAGGCCCAGATTACCACCACACCTAAACAAACCAGAGACAGCAGGGATGAGGTTACAATTGTTGGTTTATGTCATTCAGGGTCTACTTTTAGGACTTTGGCAACCCCAACTTTTGTGAGTGTGTGTGCATGCTGTTAGAAAACATGCTGAGCAGCAACCAATAATGTTTACTATATCCCTTAAATTAAGTGGGGTTCCAGCATACAGCTCCTGGTATCTCATTATAGTTATGATGTGCTGCAGAAGATAGGATTTTATTGCTGTAGAAGATGGGAATTTATTGTGTTTCCTGAAGAAGGTTATGGAAAACATTAGTTCCTCGGGATGTTTTATCAATCAGAGTTTAGTAGAGAAAAACAGAACCAATAAAATACATATATATATTATGCCCAGCTCATAGTACACACCTGTTAAATATCAGCTACTACTGATATGTATAGTATATGTATGTATGTATGTAGTGTATGTGTACATATGTAAAAATAGTAGGATATAGCCTAGCAAATTACATACACACACATTGATTCATTTATTTTTATTTATAAATATTTTCTATTTATATTAAATATAAATTATTTTTATATTTTATATTTATAGCTATATAAATTTATAAAGAAATTTGTAAATAATATTTTTAATAAACTTATAAATGGAACTTATTTTATATTTATATATAAATTTATGTATATTTATACTTATAGATACATAAATTTATAAATTTCATAAAATTTAAGAATGGTTTTAAATTTGTAAATTGATTATAAATATAACCTTATAAATATTATTTTATTTATAAATAAATGAATATATTTATTTTTTTCAAGGAATTGGGAAGGCTAGCAAGTCAGAAATCTGCAGGATAGGCCAGTACAATCGAAAGTCTGGAGCGGGAACTAATACTATAGCTTTGAGGTAGAATTTCCCTTTCTTCAGGTAAACCTCAGTTTTGCTCCTAAGGACTTTCAACTGGTTGGATGAGGCCACCCCAGATAATGGAGGATAATCTACTTTAGTGTTGTCTAATTGTAGCCGTTAACTGTATTTATAAAATAACTTCATAGCAATATCAAGACTAGTGTTTTAATTGAATAATGTGCTACTATAGTTTAGAAAAATTTACACATAAAACTATCACAGATGTTAATAATTATAAGGCCAAAGAAGTACTGCGAGGTTAAATTTGAGAAATGGTAGATTAAGGATTGCTCTAGAATTTTCCAGTCTTTAATGTGCTCAGGGGCATTGTGGTTTTTAACTGTTTCTCATACTTATTTGATCAAGGACTTTTTGTTCCCCTGCAGATTATCTCACTGGACTAGTGTTTTACAGAATACATTTTGGAGGGGCTTTACTATAATTCGGTTCTATTTTACTTGTTTGTATGTTTCTGTTGTTTGTGTTCTTAAATGTATTTATGTCTGTTTCTGTTCTGTTAAACTGTAAGCTCCTTTGGAATCATATCTTCTGTCTTCTTCACAAAGTGGAAATTTAATAAATGTTGACTGAGAGATATTTTTAAATAACTAAATGGTTATTAACTCTTGGGTTAATGATTTTAATATTTGTTCAGAGCTATCACTTTCTCTTGGCAGAAATTAAATTGTAATAGCTTTTAAATGTTTGCTGGTCTTTGGAGATTTTCTTACTGTGGGGAACCAGCCAGTAAGATCGAGCAGGTTCTATGTCCTGGGCATGATAAGCCTCATCTTAGCACTTACTTTTTAATGTGACAGGCTATAATTTTGTGTCACTTAAGAAATTATTTAAATCCAGAGAAAACAAGTCATGAAAAAAAAAAACAGGACAAGTGAAGGTCCTGAAAGCGAATCTGGTTTTATTTGTTTTGTTTTACTGTTTTCTCACAGTATCTAGCACATTGCTTTAGTCTCAGTGCTGCTTGGTATATGTTGTGCCTGATTCTTAGAGGAGATTAAATATTTCCTCTGGACACCACTTAAATCCCTTCTTATTGTGATGATATATTATCAGATCAAACAGAGATGAGGTTTGCTCTTCTGTAATATATCAGTAATGTCATATGGTCTAGAGTCTAGATGTGATTTAGAGTCCTCTCCAGAGACTATGACCAGTAATCAAATCATGTTGTGGTTAGATCCATTAGCCAGGAAAGGCGTGGAGCATGAAAGACAGATCTGATTGTCACCCATAGGTCCCTGAACTGTATCCTGGATCTCTGTTAAATCCTCTGAGCTACTTCCTATTGCGGGGGCGGTGTGTGGGGGGGTCACCTTAATCTGTTTGCATGGATGTTTTTAATGTGTTTGAAAAAACAAATCAAAATTTGAAGTTCAGTTTAATTAGAAAAGCACTGGCTCAATCTGAAGCGATTATTGTTTTAAAATAACCATTTTGATTGAATTCAACCAGATTATTTAAAAACCAGTTTGTGTGTGCAAGCATGAAAAAGTGGGCATATTAGTTTCCTATTCCTTTCCTCATTGTTCAAGAAAGAGAGGATTTAAAGCCTTCTCTTCATCAAATAATTGGGTAAAACCCAGCCCTGTAAAACTTGAAAGTTTCCTTCCTTCCAAGAACATAGATGATCTGGAAATTATCTGTTCTACTTGAGACAATGGCCTGAAAACTGAAAAAGATTATAAAATATAACTGAAACTGAAAATGTTAAAAAATATAATCTAAATGTTCTAGATGTTATATATTGTATGTATAATATAGTATTTGAATATAATTATATGTATTTTAAATAAATATACATTTATACATGTAAATCTAAATAATTATAATAAATTATTTTTGAGTATAGAAGTTTTGAAAATGTTAGATAAACAAAAGGCTGACTATGAAAATGACTTTCAATCCCATTACCCAGAAATGGTTACTATTCATTTTATTCTTGGTTCTTTTATATTTGTGTGTATATATATATATATATGTGTGTGTGTGTGTATATATATGTGTGTGTGTGTGTGTGTGTGTGTGTGTGTGTGTGTGTATTTGCTTTCACCTAATTATCTCCCATACATTTTATTTTAGGGCTATAGGTTAATGTTTTATTAGTTTAAGAATATATTCATTGTTGATTGCTTTCTCAATATGCTTTTATATAATTTATATAAAACATAAAAACATATTTAACATATTTTTCCACTGAGTACACAAAATTGCATACAGGAGGAGCAGCTGATATTTAACAGGTGTGTACTATGAGCTGGGCACATTATTTTTACTGCCCTCAATTCTCACAATAACCTGCTAGATAGGTATTATTAACCTTAGGAAACAGAGGCCTGGGGAGAACAGTAACCTGGCCATTTCATACAGGCAGGAAGTGCCCTACCCCAGGACTACCTGATTATCTGTCTGACTCCAAAGCTTATACTCTGTCTTATGGTCTCTTCTGAAGTGAATTTTCTGTCAAATTTACTATGTCCTAGACAAAATATCTAAGATAAAATGAAACTAAATTATGAGCAAATTGGCCATGCACACAAATTTGGTGTTCAGAACTTGACAGAGGTAATGCATAGTGCTTTTACATTTCAGACAGAGTACATGAATACACCATCAGGCAGCTACAGAGAGCTTAGGGAGAGAATCATGTTGCTTTCTCTTACCTGATTGAAGGCATGGTGTACTTCTTTAAAGAAGGAAGATATTCTCTACTGACTCTTCTTAAAAATCAGCTTTGTTTCTGATAATGGGCTCAAAATATCAGAGGACCCAAATTGGGGACTTTGAGGCTAGCTGGTAACATGTATTTTGCTACCCATTTTCAATGCCTATGGGCTCATTATATGTGGACTTTGTATTTCTAGAAGAATGCTGACATACTAAAGGTACAACTCCACTTCCCAGTATACTGTTTCTCCTTCTTAGAATGTCTTCATCCCTGTAGTATCCATTTTTCTTTCTCATATCTGCTTTATTCTTTGTCTTTTCTATTCTTACCTAGATCCTGTTTTACCATCTTTCTTCTTCCTCTCTCAGTTTTCCATTCTCCATCACCACTATGATCTTTTCTGACATCCATTTATCCTCTACATTTCCTGCGAGGCAACATCCAATTCTGAGCCCCTACCCTTCAGTTTTCTCATATTTTAAAAAAGTTTATGTAGAGATGGAATCTCCCTGTGTTGCCAGGGTGGTCTTGAACTCCTGGCCTCAAGCCACCCTCTTATCTCAGCCTCCCACCTCAGCCTCCCAAAGCATTGGGATTACAGGGACGAGCCACTGCACCCAGCCATTATTTATGTAGTACTTCTTAGCCTCTCCATGAATGTGACTTTCCAGCCCAACAGCTGCCTTGGCTTTGTAAATCCTTGGACATTCTTTGCTATGGCTTGCTATGCTTAAATAAAACTGGCTTCAAAAGTGGGAGACATTGCTGTATCTGTTAGAGTTGCGTAGCTGTATTTTGTGTTATCCACTCCTGTAAGGTATTGCACTTTCATGAAGTGATTGTTCTGTGACTAGTGGAAAGGCTCTTGGGTTGTAAGTAGTCTGGTTACATTTTACTCCTCCACAGTCTGTTGTGCTCTACACAAGGGCTTTTGACCAAAAGAATGATATCCACTTCATTCTTCATTGACTAAGACACTTCATTTCAGAGGAAGAGATTTCTTTTTGAATTCTTTCTCTGAGGATCATGTAAGCCAGCAGAGGCCTTGTCTATATGGGTGTCCAGGTTGGTCTTAGAAATATACAAGTGTATTGGTAGTCAGAACCTAAAAAAACTCCAAGACAGTCAGAGAAGAGAACTTCCTAACAAGACATGTCCAGTGTGTTTACCATGTTCACTGCATCACAAAGCTGGAAGGAAGGCAGAGCTGGGCCAGTTACAGCCTTATCTTCATTAAGTTCTTTCTCAAATAAAAAACAAATACAGCTATATGGATTTAATTTGAGAAGGCCTTTCTGTGAGTCTTCTTATGTCTATGCTTTTCCTTTGCTTCTTATTTTTTTCTTTCTCCTTAGTCTTTCCCTCCCTTTAAAGGCTTCTAAATATTAAATTGAAATACATGAGAATGTGATACAGAGCTGTGATGGCAGGGAAAGTTCAATATGTATTCACTAATGAAGGTTTCCTGGTACACAAGGTACATTGAGGAAATCCATGTTTTTCCATCTCACGTAATGTTATGTGTATGTGACTTTGTGGTATTGTGTTTGGGGTTCACTGACTTTTTTTTTTAACCAGTGTTTATATCTTATTGCTACTAATGAACTCAGATAGATTTGGTGGAAGAAGGCAGAAAATAATTATGAGTCCACACTTGTGCGTCTCTGTACATTTTCTTTATGCTTGTGTTACTTCTGGAGTCGTGTTAGCATAACAGAAAGCATCTGGGCTAGGGCAGAGTTATGGGATGCCAAGGCATAGTCATAGTTACAGGGTGCCAAGACACTGTCGTATTCATGGCAGCTCTGGGAATTACCCCTAAGTCTGTCGTCATACACTTTCCAAGAATGGATCTAGTTGGAGAAGTATTTTAAACCTCGTCAGAGTCACTTGTCTTGGCTTCTTCAGCTGACTTGAGTGGGGACTCTGATTGTTGGCTGCTGTAGTATCATCCGTGCCTAGAGATACAGGGCTCTTGCTGTAAATAGGATGGCATAACCATAAACCATGGGGTGAGTACCTTCTTATACATTTTTGTTTAGTATGGAGAAGTGTGGAGGAACACAAAGAAAACTGCATTCTTCCTTGGGCTTTTATGATATGACCAGCATTTTCTTACATATTTTCTATAGATCCTTTCTCCTAACCACCTTTAAATTTAAACATACTTTTGGGGAACTTGTGGTTGCTGGTAGAGTTAGTGTAAAAAATATCCTATGAGTCTTATAGGTCCCAAAAGGACTTACACGTAATACTCAGTTTAAGAACTCTACAATGATATTCTTAGCAGTAAGCTGGTAACTAACATAGTAATAATAATACTACAAAACAAGTTAATCATAATGTAATGTTAACCAAAAGAACTTGTAAGAAAAACTTTGACTCTATTATTTGTGACTCACTACATTTTTCCTGGAGAAATTATTTTATCCGTGATCCTACAGATTTTCAAAATAAGGGCTAGATAAGGAATGTGTCTGTAATTAATGACAGTTTTTGGTAGGGGTGAAAACAGCATTGTATAGACTAGAAAAATAATTCTAGTAGTCTACAGATTTTCACCAATCTGACAAATACTTAGCAATAGCAAGTGATGCTACTTCTATTGATGACAGCTGTGCATGGACAATGCAGAAAGAGATAGAGGGCTCAGGCTGTCAGTCATGTTTGCATTTGTCTTTGCTTTCTTATTTTTGTCAAACTTGCTTTCTTATCTACAGAGAACTTGTTTCTTGTAGGTTACTTGGCTTCCGCTGATTAAATAACTGGAGCAACACAGACACATGTACATACACACATTTATGTTCTCATTGGTAATGGCTTAGTTTTTGATGTGGAGGTGGGTTAATTTGACAAATGTCTGCATGGATGGTAATTTAGTGCACCTTTCCTGTCCCATCATTTTTGCCTTTCATCTTCCTCTAAAAGGACCTTCGGGTTCTGGCAGCTGCCCATGGAGAAGACTCAGAGCTGTGTGCTGATGGTGCTTTTCTAGGCAGACCTCTCAAGCCAGCAGCAGGTGCCGGCTGCCCTGCTTGCCCCGGAACCTGGGAGGAGAGACATTTCCAGTTCCGGACAGGGTTGGGCTGTTCTGCTGCAACAGATGGTCAGCATTTGGTTTTCTCAGTCATGTCACCTGGGGAACTCCAATACTGTTTTATGTTCTGTTTCTTACTTTTCATTTAAAAAGAAGCAGAAAGAGAAGCACCATGCCATATCAAAATAGCTGACAGCTTCCATGTTGAGAAAAATGAAAGACAATTTTTTGAAGAGAACAGAAATGAACAAATGTACATGGTGCATTTGCTAAAATGCTTAGCTACAATTTTATGATGTTGACTTTATTCCATTTTGTGAAAAACAGAAAAGATTAGCTACTGAGAGGTTATTGAGTATATTATATACAGGCTTTTCTTTCATTTTTCAATAGTAAGTGAGACAAAAATTTCCATTTTAATTTTCTAATTTGATATTCATATATGCACATGGATATTTCTTCATCTGAGATAAGACTGTCATTATCAGCTTCATTTGGTTACATAATGACAAGTCAACTCACTATTTAAACCATTCCCAAATAAATTTCAATTATTTAAATTATAAATTATCTGTAATGTTATATATAAGCATTTTCTTTTCACCTGGAAAAAGCATTTCAGAAATCTTTTTGTGTGCAGAAATAAAACTCTGGTAAAACTACCATAGTTTAAGATCTGAATATTGAATCTGGTTTATGAAAAATAGAAGCTCAGAATAAATTATCATTGTCTTGATTATTCCCGCACATGGATGTGGAAGTGACTCAAATTTTACTCTTAAAAGGTCTGTTTTGGAACTTGAGGGCAAGGGCCTTTGTTCTGCCTTCTAGGGTATAACCAGCTCTGCTCCTGCTTCATTAATGTCTATAAGTTTGTTACAAAGACAGAAACTGACAGGAAATGAATTTAGGGTAGGGGGCACTGACACCCAAAGGGAAGTCACTGTGGACAAGACCCTCTGGGAGGCTGGCAGAGATTGCTGCCACGTGGCCATGGCAGTGTGCGCTGTGAGATGATCCCAGATGTCTGCACAGAATCCCTTCCTGGAGGTGGAGAGGGTTGACACCCTTGTAAAACACAGGGAACAGACCTGCTAACCTCATTTAATGCCTTCACACTCTGTAATGCCAGAAACTAATATTAATATCAAAATACAAGTTTTAAAGTGTGTCAGAGATGATGTTCATGCAGAATGTGAAGAAATTAACATATTGAGAAGGAAACTGAAGAACCAAGGGGTCAGTTTCTCTCAGCATTCACAGAAATCT
Source organism: Homo sapiens (assembly GCF_000001405.40). Taxonomy (NCBI): domain Eukaryota; kingdom Metazoa; phylum Chordata; class Mammalia; order Primates; family Hominidae; genus Homo; species Homo sapiens. The sequence continues at coordinate 111,254,639 of NC_000005.10, forward strand.
TCCTGCACATCCCATCTACTCCTGAGTATGTACATTTCCACCTGATTGCCAGCTCCCCCAGGCGAAGGAGTTGTTTCTGCTAATCCCCCATCAATGCATCATGCACACCGCTCTACATCATTAGGCACCTGCCTTTCTGTGAGTGATGGTGATAAAAATGAAACTAGCCAAGTATGTGTGGATCATTGGGTAAAAAGGGTACTGCAGTCAGGTTCTCGGGATTTCCCTGGGGACTTTTGTGGTTTGGAGGAGCTGTTTCTGTAGTCTGTGCAAATACTGTGATGAGGCCCACATCAGATGCTGGGGGGAAATGTGAAGCACCTCATGGCAGTAGCATCACAGTGAGCTCATTGATGAAAAAAGAACCCAACAAAATCCCAGTACTCCTAAAGCTATACTTTGTCCAACTTTTACTTAGTACTTAAAAAAAAAAAAGAATGGTTTTATGTGGTGTTTAAACTGGGCTGTGTATCAAAATTCCCTGGTGTAATTGAAGTACATTTCTGATGGACATTGTTTGAAGGTCTAATTTTGTAGTTGCATGTTGTCTGAACTACTGTTGATGGCCATGAAGCCCTGGTTCCTGAGCCTTATAAATAACTTTGGTCTGCCCATCCTGTGCCATCATCACTTCCATTGGATCTGCTCACTTTGGTGAGCTATGAATGGAAAAACTCTTCCCAAGTATCAAGCAATTATATTTCTCCTTACAAACAGAAAGTGTTTTCAGTGATCTTTATGATAATCTGAGTGGGTTTTCTTGGATTCATGCCCAGCAAGTTTATTTTTGTGTGTAGTAGGCTGATTTTCTGATTTTTCTGTACATTTCTTTGTAGAGTTTACCGAACTGTTTATCTTTGCTGACAACTTCAGCTAGGTCAGAGTTTGTGTAAATTCAGTGAAGCTTTAAAAAAGCCATGATCTAAAGTTCCCTAAGATCTTTATTGCTGACTTTTAGAGTCATGATTTTGTCACAACCTTAGCTGAGCCTGTCTCGGGAATGGAAACAGCAGCTGAATTGTGTGTTTGCATACCCGAAGCCCCAGACCATTCTTGCAAAGCCTCCATTATTTGTCTTTGTAGTCTCAGAAGCTTTGCATTTATGGATTCATTGTATCATCATTTTATGGCTATTTGGAGTCTCTGATGATGTTCTAATTAAATGCCCATTTCCTGCTCACCACTGTTTTATACCGCTTAAAATGCCAACTTCTCCCAGTGTATTTTTGGATATGTGAGTAATGGGTTGAATCAATAGTGTTATTGGAAATTAACTGTTTTTAAGGCTAATGATGTAAAGATTAAAAACATTTCCCCAAGGTCAGTTTCCTTATATTTAGAATGCATACACACACACATATATATAGCTGTATGTATTTTGATATAGACTAATCGATCACAGAATTCAACTGGATATCTCACAAAAATGATCCTGTCTTACATCCATACCATGGCTGCTACTCAGTAATAAAAAGCAAAAAATGATTGGTACATGAAATAACTTGGATGGACTCAAGGGCCATATGTTAGTGAAAAAAGCCAATCTCAAAAGGTGTGATTCTGCTTATATAACACTTTCAAAATGACCAAATTATAGAGGTAGAGAACAAATTAGTCGTTGCCAGGGATTAGGTATGGTGGTGCTATGGTGGGGTGGAATTGGGTGTGATCACAAAGAGGAACATGAGTGATACTATTGTGGGGATGTAATAGTTTTGTATCTTGGTTGTGTTGGTGGTCAGATTAATCAACATGTGAGAAAATGGCATAGAGTTACACACACACATTGCACAAATGTCAGTTTCCTGGTTTTAATATTACTATGATTATGTAAAATATAACCTTTGGGGGAACTGAGTGAAGGGCATGTAGGACTTCTTTATACTAGTTTTGAGACTTCTTGTGAATCTAGAATTATTTCAAAATATTTTATTTGAAATGGGCCAATAGTTTTAGAGAGCCCTAATAAAAATGAGCCTTTTCTTACCAATCAATATCGGTAATAAATGCAGTAATTGACTCTCAGAGCTAGAAAAGACATATAGTATTCACACATAAGTACCAGAATAATGTGGCAGCCCAAGTCTTTTTTTAAAGCTGTTTATAGCTTCTAATCTTGGCAGCAGCTTATTATTTTTGAAAATGTATTAACTACCATGGGCACACTTGTAAAGTGATATTCATTGCTCACAACAGTATCTTTGGTCTTCTGTATTTTGAAAGTTTACCACTTTGGACAGTAAGAGTCATGCCAGCAACATTCCAGCAGTCCTTCAGACAAATCCGTTAAAAAAATAGACATGGCTTTTAAGCAGAAAATTGAAACTGGATCTTTTCTTTACACCTTATACAAAAATTAACTCAAGATGGATTAAAGACTTAAATGTAAAACCCAAAACTGTAAAAACCCTAGAAGAAAATCTAGGTGATACTATTCAGGACATAGGCATGGGCAAAGATTTCATGACAAAAACATCAAAAGCAGTTGCAACAAAAGCAAAGATTGACAAATGGGATCTAATTAAACTAAAGATCTTCTACACAGCAAAAGAATCTGTTATCAGAGTGAACAGACAACCTACAGAATGGAAGAAAATTTTTACCATCTATCCACCTGACAAAGGTCTAATATCCACAATGTACAAGGAACTTAAACAAATTTACAAGAAAAAAACAACCCCATTAAAAAGTGGGCGAAGGACATGAACAGACACTTCTGAAAAGAAGACATTTAGTGGTGACAAACATATTTTAAAAAGCTCAATATCACTGATCATTAGATAAATGCAGTTCAAGACCACATTGAGATATCATCTCACACCAGTCAGAATGACAGTTATTAAAAAGTCAAGAAACAACAGATGCTGGTGAGGCTGTGGAGAAATAGGAATGCTTTTACACTGTTGGTGGGAATGTAAATTGGTTCAACCATTGTGGAAGACAGTGTGGCAATTCCTCAAAGACCTGCAACCAGAAATACCATTAGACTCAGAAATCCCATTACTGGATATATACCCAAAGGAATATAAATCATTCTGTTAGAAAGATACATGCACACGTATATTCATTGCAGCACTATTCACAGTAGCAAAGACATGGAATCAACCCAGATGCCCATCAGTGATAGACTGGCTAAAGAAAATGTGGTACATATATACCAAGGAATACTATGCAGCCATAAAAAGGAACAAGATCATGTCCTTCGCAGGACATGGATGGACCTGGAAGCCATTATCCTAAGCAAACTAACACAGAAACAGAAAAACCAAACACTGCACGTTCTCACTCATGTGGGAGCTGAACATTGAGAACACATGGACAATGAGATACCATCTCAGGGGAACAACACACACTGGGGCCTAGCACGGGGAGGGTGTCGGGGGAGGGAGAGTATCAGGATAAATAGTTAATGCATGCAGGCTTAACACCTAGGTGATAAGCTGATAGGTGCAGCAAACCACCATGGTACATGTTTACCTATGTAACAAACCCACACACTCTGCAGTGTATGGAACTTAAAATCCTGGAACTTAAAAATAGACATGGCTTTATTGGACATTCCAATAGTACCTAGTCTGAATGTCTTTTTTTAACAGATTTAATGAGATATCATTGATGTAAAAATTATATAAGATATATTTAAGATGTACAGCTTGATGTTTTGATATATGTATACTTCAGAAAATACCGCATTCAGGCTGACTAACATACCTATTTGTATTAGTTTGTTTTCACACTGCTGATAAAGACACACCCAAAACTGGGAACAAAAAAGAAGTTTAATTGGATTTACAGTTCCACATGGCTGGGGAGGCCTCAGAATCATGGTGGGAGGTGAAAGGCCCTTCTTACCTGGCAGTGGCAAGAGAAAAATGAGGAAGAAGCAAAGGCAGAAATCCCTGATAAGCCCATCAGATCTCGTGAGACTGATTCACTATCATGAGAATAGCACAGGAAAGACCAGCCCCCATGATTCAGTTACCAACCCCCTGCCCAGGTCCCTCCCACAACACATGGGAATTCTGGGAGATACAATTCAAGTTGAGATTTGGGTGGGGACACAGCCAAATCATATCACCATTACCTCTACAGAGTTATCAGCGTGTGTGTGTGTGTGTGTGTGTGTGTGTGTGTGTGTGTGTGTGCAGTCTTAGCCTTGTTGGTCTTGTGTTATATGAACTTGTTTACTTTCTGTTTAACACTTAAGAAAAATCCAAAAAGATACGGGTCTCTAATTTAGCTAAGAAAAGTAAACAACTCAATCTATGTATGTCAAAGAGAACCTAGGAAAAACCCTTAAGGAAGTAAATCTCAACATACGGTATGAAATTTATGTAAAACTGTCAGCCCCAAATCCAGGGAAGAAAGAGATTTATGCTAATTTGTCAAGTGGTAACTCATTTTGGGATTATGCTATTTGTACCTTTTCCAATTCTACTCTCACCCTTCTCCCAATGAAATAAAAGGACACATAGTCATAGAGCAAGAACCCATAAAAAGAGGCAGAGTTTGTTTTCTTTATCTTCCCTAAACATACAGAATATATGCTTCTTGGAGGGTAAATACATTTAATGTTAATCTCTGTATCTCTCACTCCCATACCTTGGCTTTTGCCATAGAATTTAATATTTAACTACTGACAACTTAAGAGTCTCTAAATAAATGGAAAATGAATTTTCAATAAAACTGAGAGCAGTCAGAGAAAAGTTGTAGCAATGATAAAAAACAATAGTTTTCTCAGTGTAATTTGATTTGAAGTATAGAGAAGAAGAAATGATTTTAACCCAAGTTCCCTGAAAGATATTTGCACTGAACTCATGATATTCACGGAAAAAATACGAAAGCAAAGGATTTGGGCAAGTTTCCAACAGCTCATTGGAAATGATCAGGAATTTACTGTCTTTGGAGGATGGGTTGTAGGTATATATGCAGCACCCTGAATTCTTTTATCCAGGCAATAACGGTGACCCCACATTTATTGCTCCAAGTCATTGGTGTCCTTTGAAAAAATGCCAAACTTATATGTGGTATCTCCTACATGTTCTGGTTTGAATTAAGAAAATGTGACTTACAAAAAGTTCCCCTGTATAAAACTAATTAAAAGTATTACAAAAGGACCCTTCATATTAACAAATGATTTCCTGTGACTCATTTAAGAGTGAATTCCTGTAGGGTGTGAAAGTGGATTTTTATAGATCATTAACAACCTGACAGGTTCTGGGAGCAGAAAAATATAAAACATATGTGTTAGGAAAAATGCCAGTTGAAGATCAATCAAAAGTGACATCGAGTGTTTCTGAACGCTTTAGAAGAATCAAGCAGAAAGTAATTTATAAAGCATTTCTTAAGAACATATCGATTAAATACACTTGTACAATAAATTCTTTGGTAAGTTCTATAAATTCTTTTAATGTCATAAATAATAGCCGAAAAGAATTTTGAAAGACAAAATAAATGTTTCTCTTGTTCCCTTGATGATTCACATTCCTGAAGGTCATGTCTGTTCACTTGTGTTCCCCCATCCTGATCTCTCATTGTCTTGACTGTCTGGGTCAATCTTGATTCTGTCTCATCAGGTCACTAAAGCTGCTAACAGTAAGATCTCCTTACTGTTGAATATTGGCCAAATTCAACAGAAACATTTTCAGTCCTTACATTAGTCAATATCTTTCTGGCATTTCATAGTCTTCATTATACAAACCTTCTGAAATTCATTCCTTTGGCCCCACCTACACCATGTCCGCTGGTAAAATCTCCTGCATACCTCATTGATCCTCCTCTGCCTTCTTCACTGGTTTCTCTTTCTTCACCTGCTGGCTAGGTGTGGGCTTTCTCCAAGGCTCTCCCCTCAGCCTCTTGTCTCTTGTCTTCCTATATTTTCAGTTATAACCCAGTGTTCTTGTCTTAAATATGCATCTGCAGTCCCTAGCTTTCTTCTGAGCTGTAGGCCTGATTTTTGAATCTGAATATTTTATCCTCCTCCAGAAACACTGCCTCTCTTCCTGTCTTTTCTTACACTTCCAGTCTCTCAAGGAGGTAGCCTCAATCTTTTATTAGGTTTTGTTCGTTCCTTATCTTCCAGTTTACTCCCTTATTTCCTAACCATTAAAGATTCCTCAGATCCTGCACCTTATCTATACCCCTACTGCTGCTATCTTCATTGAAACCGTCAACCTTTCTCAGTTATATTATTTCTGGAATAACCTAATATGTGTCCTGGTCCCTAATTTCATCTCCTTAACATTCATCCTCCTCATTGATTATCTTTTATCCTCAAAATTACCTTTATAATTAAAATCTGGTTGTCTCAGTCATAGTTCTTAAGACAGTTTACAATCTGCTCTCACCCTACCTTTCAAAATATGTAAATAGGCTGCCATTCCAACAGTCACCTTAATTTTTGAGGCCCCCATCCTAAAATAGATTGTCTTTATTCCTAGAATGCCCTTTCTCATATCTTGTCCAACCACTTTATCCTTAAAGACACAATTTGGATGTCATACACAGTGAAGATTTCCCTGATTATTCCCAAACTCAGTTATTGCCTTTTTTCCACAGTACTTTCCATACTCCTATTACCATTGATAACATTACATTATTTCCACAATATTGGACCCCATTAGGATGTTGAGAGCCTCTGTCGTCTTCCATCTTTGTAGCTCTAACACTTAGCACAATGTCTGGTGCATAATATGCACTAGTTATTGTTTGCTAAGCGTAGCACACATTACCCAGCTGCACCAGTCTAGGAATATAGCTGTCACCCTATAGCAGCTGGGCTCTACTCCTTCCTCTAGGTATTTCCCTTCCGGATCTCTGAGGTTTCGAGGATAGCCTCATGTAATCACAAACAACCATAGCAATAATTATCTTCAGTTTCCTCACCTCAATATCCTTATAGTTTCCTTCTCTGACCCTAATAGTTTTTTTTTTTTTTTCCAGGTCACCACAATGACTTTTTCTGCTTCCAAAGTTGGAAAAGAGCCATCTTTTTAAAAATTTTAGTGTCACGTTTATCATGCAAAAGTTGGAGAGAATGCCCTCCATCCCTACTTCTGTTGTATTCTCTAATGACTTATGCATTGATTACAAGCAGAATTTGCCTCTTACCCCTTCAGGTATGGGGCCCTGCCTATGACTCACTGTTCCTTACTGCTTCTCTCCCCTTGTGAACCAGTTTAGGCTCTCTGGGGCTGGGATATGTGCCAATCTGGGGACTATGATCTTCTTAAAAGTATTTTTTTTTCCTCTTTACATGCTTAGCCATTGTCCAGAGGCAAAACTTGTGCAGCAAGCCTTCTCTTTTCTTTGGGGTACACAGCCTGGGATATTAAGGAGAAGTCCTTATCTTTGAGAGTTTAATACTTTTGAGGTCTTAGGTCTGCAGAGTCATCCTTGTGTTCGTTCACTAGCACCTTACATGGGTTTCTGAGCCCCTCACTCTGCTGACATACCTTCACAGGCAGTAGAGACACAGTTTAAGGTCCTCATTCTGGCACTTGATGTGTAAAAGAAAAATTGCACTAGACTAGCTAAACGGGCAAAAAAAAAAAAAAAAGACATTCAAGAAAATTGCAATAGAGGAGAAGGATTGAACTCAACTCCACTAAACCAAAGGGGGAGGAGTTTCTAAGCACTGGGGTGAGCTGGTGGAAAATTGCGGGAGGATGTTAGTGGAGGGCTGATCAACATGATTGGGCCACTGGTGCTTATTGAAGTTAGGCTCCCACTCTCCTACAGAGGCTGAGAGGGTACTATCTTTCTTGATTACATGTCAAAAGGGATGGCTCCCAGGTTCTTGAGAAAGACATTCCTGGGTTGTAGAATATTTATGTCTTAAAGTAGCAGAGCAAGAATTTATAATGGAAAGTTTTCTAAAGGAAACACATTTTAAAAAGGAGGTCAGAGGCCTTAGGAAGAAGCCTGTCTAAAGTTGAATCAATCTGAGGGGGATTTTATGGCCATCTTTTCCAGATGCATAAATATAAACTAAAAAGTAAATAATGACCCACTTTACTTGCTTTCATGTGGCTTTTTATATTCCATCAATAACAATGAAATCGGTTATGCAATAGGGCAGTTGTTATTATTAAGGAAATTTATACATAGATTGTAATAATATGCTAAAATTGTGAACAATTTGTCTCCCAGGTTCTGTCCTTTTGAACAAAAACGGAAATACACTTCAAAATAAATGCTTTGCAATTACTACTTTTCTTTCTTCTGACTTACTATTTATTAAAGGTGAATGTATTTATCACACAGACAGATACTTTGGTTTGATTGGTTTGTATCATTGCTTTCTCTTTGTCATAGAAGTATCCCTTAGAGTGAGTCTTTTGGCAACATATAAAGTGATAATTTAACCCCCTGGCTGAGTTGTTTCTAATATAAGTGAATCATACTAAGCCAGAGGGCAGATAGCTGAAGAGAAAGGAAGTAGTAAGACAGCGAAAAGAGATCATAGTTCATGTCCCCATTTTTCTAAAGGGAACACTTTCAATGATAAATCTTGACTATGTCAGGTGATTTTCCTTTTTTCACTCTGTGGAAAGGTGTTTCATCAGTTTTCCATACCTATTATGTGAAATATATTTCATAAATACAGCTGGTGATCTTCAGGCAGTACTGGAACTTTTATGTTATATACATCATAATTATTGTTAATGGTAAAGTTGGATGGAATGAGGAAAATGAAGGAAAGATAGGAATTGGGTCAGGGCTCTGACTGAGTGGCCAGTGAAGGCTGTTAAGGGACAATAAATAATTTGAGCTCTTTGGGAAATACTGTTATTTACTTCTCTACTTTTATTTCCAGATTTCTTCACAACTCCATTTCTTTTCTGTTATTACTCCCACAGCAGTCTACTTCTTCCAAACCTTATCATCATTGCCATGTCCATTTCATCTCTACCCTAATCCAGTTCAACACCCTACATCTCAAATGGCCTATTGAAATAATCTCTTTATTGGACATCCTGCTATAATCCATTTTTAATATAAACTTTAAAAAATGTAAACCAGTCCAAATTGTTCTGATTGATAGCTGTATAACCCTCCCATAGCTTTCCAGTATGCTCAGAATAAATTCCAAACTCTTAACTGTGGCTCTCAAAACCCCCAAAATAGGCTCTAGACTCTGTAAAGGGCGGAAGCAGTGTGGATTCTGTACTTAGTGTATTCTGATAGCCACGTGTCACTATGTACTTTTTCTTTGTGTCTTCACGTCTCCTCCTGTTGCATTTTAAAGCACTTTCATAGTATGTGGTTTTGCCTAATAAAGCATTCTCATAGAAAAAAAAAGCCACCTCACCTCTTCCCATTCTTCCCCTGGTTTATGAGTTCCCAGGAACATTGTCCTTTCTGTCTTTTGAAACTGCCAAGCTTACTACTTTCCTAGGGCATTTGCCCTTATTGTTCTCTCTCCGTGGACAGTTTTGCTACCCAATTTTTGAATGACTGGCTCTCTTTTTTAAATGTAGTTTGGTGTGATGTTGACTTGGTTTGGTGGGAGTTGTGGGTGGAGTTGTGTTGTTGTCTGTGGTCCTGCTGCAAGATGGTGGCAGGTGTTGCACAGGTGCCTTGGGGATTGTCAGCTTTGTTGGTGTGATTTGCAGTTATCTTGGTGCAGCAGTGGCTCTGTTCCATGTGCAGTGGTTACCAGTCGCTCCAGGGGTTTGGTGTGCCGATGGTGATGTCAGCTGCCTGGGTGGTTGATGTATAAACAACTGGTGGAGGACCTAGTAGTTTCCCAACGATGCATAGATGCATAAAACTTCCCAGCAGGTAAAGAACTCCTTGCATGGTTCTTGAATGCATGAAGGGTATGTTGGTTTGAAGTTTCTCCAATTTCCTATCAGATACCCTAAGCCTTTATTCAGTGTCGTTTGTCAGTGCTTTGAGAGTCTTATTCACTGCACTAAATCTATTGTCCATGTGGTGTTTGAAGTCATTGATGTGATTCAGTACTGAGGAAAATTCACTGCCGATATCCGTTTCAGCTTGCTGTCCTCTCTTGTCACTGGTGATACTTTAAGAGTCATTTTCTCTGTTGAAATGGCTGCAGAGATTGAGCCCTCTTCTTTCATGGCAAGGTTCCAAGGATGGAACCAGGATCTCTTTTGGCAGGTACTCAAGCAGCATAGGTGGTGTTTTGCAGTCTTGGCCCTTTGGACATGGCAATTCCCCTGTTTCCCTGAGGTCTGATGTTGTTTGCTTGATGCTGATACTAGCAATCTGCTGATTGACATGGTGTCAGATCCCTCTGTAAGTTTCCATGACTGGCTTTCTTGCCGTTGACCTTTCAGTACAAATGTCCCCTCATCCATGAGGATCCCCACACTATCCAATATACGGTTAGTCCCCTTCCTCCGAGACACCCTCTATCACCACCTTCCAGTTTTGTTTTTTTGATGACTTCAGGTAATTATAACTACAGGTATCATGTTCATTCGTTTTGCTTGCCCATTGTCATGAGAATGTAAGCCCCATGAAGGCAAGGATCTTGCCTATTATATACTCTGCTATAACCCAAGCACCAAAACACCCCCTGAAACACTGATATGCTTCATAAGTATTTCAGTGAAGTAATTAATGAATTTACTAAATAATATTATTTATTGATATCCTACTATCTGCCAGGTGAAATGCAACATTGTCTTGGGAACCAAACGTGAATGTGGTGTGGTTTTATACTTCATGTAGCCTACTGGCTGGCTATTATCTTTATCTGGTCATCTGGCTACTAAACCATCTTTTAGGATTTAAATTTAACTTTTGTCTGAAGTATCAAGATAAGTTGATATTTTAGCATATTCGCGGGTAGTCGGATTCTTTGGTTCTGTAACTGTACTCTATATATACTCCCTAAGAACCTCTAAAATTTAGCTTCTCTCATTTTACATATATTATTTTTCACTTTATTAAGGCTTTATCCAGCAGGTACCAGATTCAAGGCTTTTTATAGCTCATTATAAGGTATGCACATGAGAGTAAGATATTTACCCAATCTTCAAGGAATGCAAAATTTAGTAGATGAGATAAACTCTATTCTGGTAAACATGAAATAAGGCTGTATTTTGAAAATTCTATAAAAGAGGCAGAATGAGTAATAGAGGGATCCAGAGAAGGAAGCTGTCACACAGAAGTGAGATGAATAGGAAATGCTTCATTAAAAGATTTACTTTTTCTTGGGCTTTAATAATCACCAAGACCTTGACATGTGGAGATACAGAAGAAAGGGAAAGGGAAGGAAATGAGTTTTCCAGTTGAGCTGCAGCATCAGCATAAAGTTTTGGAAAGGATCTATGTCATGGAGGGCTTTGAAATTTCCTTGGTAGGTGGTGGGAGCCATTGGAGTTTTACTGCGACCAACATTAGCACAGCATTTCTTCAGAGAGAGAAATTTAGACATCTTTTGGTAGATGAATTGGTGTAAGGGCAAACTGGAGACAGGAAGATCAATCAATTAGCAATCTTTTCTGAGATGACAGCCTAGATAGGACAGAATAAGGGTTTGAAAAGTAGAATAGAAGGTTTCCTAAATAAATATATTCACACACACACACACACACACACACACACACACACACACACACACACACAGAAAGAGAGAGAGAGAGACGTTTGCCCATGAGAACATTTCCCTTATTATATTTATTCTGAACTGCAGTTGCTTCCCTCTTCAACCCAGCCCTTTTCACTTTCACATTCATGAATTCTTTCTTTATATAAGCTACACTTTGGGGAATAGATTTTTTGCTTTTTGGTGTATTTTACTATTCTCAGGTATTTAAAAGCATTTTTAAGATATCTATGAATTCTCAAAATGCCCACATTTCTGGCACAGTTGAAATAGCGAGACTTGAGTTTAGACACCAGTGGTCTCCTTATTATGAATTACTGTCCTGCTATTTATTAGTCTTTCTCAATAGATTGACATAGTTGGCCATTTTTCTCTGTAAACTCTTTCACTCCTACCTGTTCCCACCAACACATGTATAGACATGCATACCCCAGATTGACTCATACTCGTTTTGGAGATGTTTTGCCATACAAATAAAATGTCTAAGCCCTGTGGCATATGGTTTATAGATCTCACTCAAATATTTTGATTGGCCCTATGCCATAGCTCTAGCTAGGGGTGCCAAAGTGCTAAATCTATTGGTTGTGTTTCAGTCCTTACCTTATTTGAATTCTTAGTAATATTTGATGTCAATGACCACACCCTCCTTGAGATACTGTTCTCCATTGGTTTCTATGCTATAACAGCCTCTCTGTTTTCTTTTCCCTTGCCTCTCAGTCGATTTCTTCTCTACTGGTATAGTCTCTACTTGGCCAGTAAATATCAACATTTTCCAGAGTCTAGGTCCTCTTCTCTTCTAATTCTGCCTACTTTCCAGCTGTTGCCTTCATTCCACATCTTTGGTCAGTAGGAGCCTCTTCAGGTTGGTCCCTGAATCCTATTAATATGATTCTGGTAGTCTCTGAGAGCTTCCTTGTTGTCTATTTTAAGATACTCTGAGGTTGTCTGTACATTTTCTGCCCTAAATAGGGAATAAGCCATTTCTCCAAAAAGTCTTCATTTCTTTTAGTTGGAAATGGTATTTCAAGATCGTAATTTGGGCCCTAGAGGTGCTTACTGTGACAGGATTTGTCATTGTTTCCAGGCTTTCCTATTATGTATATATTATATTAACAATAATACTTGTAATTTAAATTCAGAACTATGTGTTTTTGTTTCATTTCTTGTGTATTACATCTGTGTTTTCCTTCTACATTAAGAATTTTCATTCTGGGCCGGGCGCGGTGGCTCACGCCTGTAATCCCAGCACTTTGGGAGGCCGAGGCGGGCGGATCACGAGGTCAGGAGATCGAGACCACGGTGAAACCCCGTCTCTACTAAAAATACAAAAAATTAGCGGGGCGCAGTGGCGGGCGCCTGTAGTCCCAGCTACTCGGGAGGCTGAGGCAGGAGAATGGCGTGAACCCGGAAGGCGGAGCTTGCAGTGAGCGGAGATCGTGCCACAGCACTCCCGCCTGGGCGACAGAACGAGACTCCGTCTCAAAAAAAAAAAAAAAAAAAAAAAAAGAATCTTCATTCTGAAGGACACAGGGGATGATAGAATTAGAATATCCCACGTTACAAACACAATAGCTCAGATTAATAACACTAATATGATCACCACGGCTTTTGATTCAGTAAATATTAGTGAGAATGCTGATGAACATATAGTGTGCATAGTGTAATTGATTTGGAAAGTTACAGAACTCTGTATTATTTATTTGTCTGGGTAGCAAACGGTACTGATTAGTTGAAGTGATTTTTTTCTCACTATGCCTTTCTCTATACTTGAGGCTGTCAGTGTTTTCCATGAGAAGCCTATTGGGAGTTCCACTCAACAGGCAGATTGGCATCATTAGGCCCAGTGTATTCACTGTGAAGAGCTGCCTGGTGGAAGCTTGAGGTAGGCCCTCTACTACTCATTATTTTTACTACTGTAGATCCATGGACACATTAGATCCATTGGGGATGAGCGATTCTCCTTTTATATATTTACTTCCAGTGAATATGGTACTGATTTTCTGTTTCCTGCTAAAATATACATTTATGGTGAATCCCTTGAAAGCCACTTTGAGATGATCATAATTCTTATTCAAATAAGAATTGAGGTGTGTTTGTGAGAGAATTGGGATAGAAATGGGGGTTAATGCATTCATTTTGGAATAGCACATGTAAGTGTTCATCTCTTTGGAGGAAAAGTGAAGCTGAAACAAATTTTCATGGGAATAATGGAAACACTGGAGCTTTTATTTTGGCAAGCCCCTTGAATTTCCAGCCAAGGAATGATCCCCACTTAGTTATATGTGTAAACTGCTACTTTGTACAAGGAAATCTAAACATTTGCAGGGAGTTAATGGGAAAAAGTAAATAGAAAGTCTTTTGAACTTTTGTGCAGCAAGTTTTGAGGAAGCTAAACTCAAGTCTAACTCTGGAAACTAAGTAGATGGAGAGAAAAATGATAGTGGGGATCATATTATAAATATTTATGATGTAATATAATAGCTGAGAAGGCTGATGTGTGGTATGTGACATGTCAAAGATAATTTGTTTCCACTCTATTTTAAAGAGACATCTAACTTAGTATTCCTTTCTATCTCCTTCTATACCTGGTAAGGATTAAATATTAAAAAATGATATGTATTGTAGGAAAAATGGGATTAAGGGAACATAAAGATCTATTGAAAAGGAAAGATTATAGAAGCTAAATACATACAACTTGTATTATATCAATTTAAGAAAGGATGTGACCTACAAATAATGAAAAGCAGCAAAAAATAAATATGAAAGCAGGGAAGACTTTTTGGTGATGTAGGGATATATGACTAGAAGGAATAAAAAGAAATCAAGGCATAGAAAATTTGGTTTAAAAGTATTTTGATACCAATAATGATAACTTGGAAGAAATGCTTTTATAGTTTTGTGCATGGAAACTGTAAACATGCCCATCATGTACGTATTTGCCAAGAAAATGGAGGTACCTACTGTTCTGTATGTGAGCTGATCTTCTGCAATGAGTAGTGGGGGTTTGTGAAGGGTCTGATTGGAGAGAATTGAGAAGGCAAACCTTTTTGACTTGACAATTTATGGTATCACATTATCTTCTAACTTCAGTAACCTATTTTGGATACCTTGGTCTTTTCCAAATGAATATTCAGTCTTTTATATGTCTCCCTTTCCCGTTCCTCTTCAAGTGACATCTGGTTGTGTGGGGGAAAGGGCCTTCCTCCATGAACTCTTAGCAGGAGAAATAGTGGCCACATAACCAGTCCACATCATCTGGACCTTCCTGGGTCCTTGCTGTGCAGTGGCTGGTCTGTTTTTGGAAATAGTGGCTGCTGAGATAGATTTTAAACTGCAGGCCGTGACCTGCAGTTTGGGTACCATGCAAGCACTTACGGCTGACATCCCTGGTCCCAGCAGTTTGCCTGCATACTCAGCTTATTTTATCTCACATCCAGCCCTGTTAGCACCTTCTCTCGTCCCTGGGACATATAGAAACCTGTGGACTCCCTGCAGTCCCTAAAGAGAGCATAGGGAGCCAGAAGGTCTAACTCAGCTCACCCATTGAGCCACCTTCTTGTACTTGTGGGTCTGCTGTTTGGCATACAAGGCTGTCCATGGGCATGTAAAGCACTTCCTCAGCCAACACACAGGGAAGCGTGCCACTAACCAGTCTGTCCCGTGTTTTTTAGAGCTCCCCACATCCAATTGGATGTTTTCATAATGTCATGCTCCTCCCAACAGTGGGAAAGTAAGGGACCTATGCATCTGACCTTTTGATCTTGCCTGTGTCTCTCCTCTACTCCTGCAATCACCAGGACCAGATATGGCAGCGTTTCATTTCCTCCTCCAGTTCTACAAGGGCTTCCTGTGTCATGTCCTTCTTCATCCCAAAGAGCTTTCTCTCTCCGCTTCCATGGTGTTATACTGTCAGAATATCTGCTGGAAATCATGATTTTCTGAGGAGAAGTGAAAACACATCTAGGCAATATTTAAAACATGTTAACTCTGTTACAAAAATAAAAGTTAGTTGATATAAGTTCTGTTCTAAAAGGTTACGTAAAACCCCTCCTCATTAAGGCTTTCACCATCCTATCTGCTACTCTTCCTTTTCCTGTCCATTTCTTAATTCACCATCACTCCCTCTCACACATTCAACAACTAAGCACCTAGGTCACATTTTCTTTCTCCCTCTAGTTGCTGCCATGCCCCTGGCCTCTGGAACCTTCAACTCCCTTGTCCCTGGTGACTTTCACCTAATTACACAATAGCTACACACCTGATACTATTAACACTGACATCCCAACCTTGGATCACAACCTCTCCTTTCAGCTTTCTGACATGATTACTGTCAAAACAACCTTTCTTCTTCAGCCTTTGGCTCCTCAATTTTTTTCTTACCTATCAGCTTACCCCTATTCCCTTCCTTTCTCACTCCTCTTAAATTCCATGAACCACACCTTCCATACTCTATTGAAAGTATTCCCCAATTCTATTCTTCATGTCACCAGCCTGACAAAACTTCAATTTGGATCAGTCTAGTTCAATATCTTTACCATGTATTTCTGAGTGCCAGGCACTAGAACCTAGCATGTAGTAATTATCTAATATTTGCCGAATGAGTGTATTAGACCATTCTCACACTGCTATAAAGTTATATCCAAGATGGAGTAATTTATAAAGGAAGGAGGTTTAATTGACTCAGTTTCACATGGCTGGGGAAGCCTCCGGAAACTTACAATCATGGCAGAAGGGGAAACTGGCACCTTCTTCACAAGGCGGCAGGAAGGGAGAGTGTGAAGGAGGAACTGTCAGACACTCATAAAACCATCAGATCACGTGAGAACTCACTCACTATCACAAGAACAGCATGGGGGAAACCACCTCCATGATCCAATCACCTCCTACCAGGTCCCTCCCTTGACACTTGGGGATAATGGGGATTACAATTCGAGATGAGATTTGGGTGGGGACACAGAGCCAAACCATATCAATGAGTATGTCAGTGGAACACGTATCTGGTAATATTTAAGATCATAGAATTTGGATAAGCCATTTATGACATTTTAAACTGTGAGACCTTGGGCATGCTCATGAACTCTCTCTGGGTTCTGGTTTCTTCAACATTAAGATAAAGGATAACAATAGTCTCTACCTTACATAAGAATTCAAGGGCATGTGAGAGTAAATCACTTGATGGAGGGCTGGAACATGGTGCGCTTCAAGGCATATTAGCTAATGTGTAGTTGCTGAAGCAAAATTGAATGCACACCTACATTTTCACCATGATTCTTCTACTATATTGTGTCACTACTCAAAAAAAATAGCTGCAATTGGATTGGCTAGTGGGAGGAGATGGGAGCAAGGAGCTGGAAGTCAGATGGATGTGAGACTGCAACAAGCATTAGGTGGGAGCATCTCTTAGAAGTTAATAAAATGATCATAGTATTATTACTATGCAAGTAAATTCATAGAAAAGTATAGAATTACCAAATATTTGGCAAGACCACATCTTAGATTTTTCATAGGCTTGTACTTCATCTTTGCTTGGTTTTTTACCTTGTCTTAATCACCATTCTTCCTGCTCTTGTTTAGTTCCTAAGTTTTCTTTCCAGGACACTGGTCCTCTAAGTGTGCCATAAAAGTTCATATATACTGTGTATTCAAAGCTTCAGCAAAGGTAGAGAACAAAATGGACACTATTATCCAGATGTCATTGGTGTCTCCCTCCAACACTTTTCTCTCCCGCGATTCTTGAATAGTCTTTTTAAATATTCTGAGAAGTATTATCTGAGTATCTCCCAACCCACCAACCCTTAGAGAGCATGGAATATATCTTTTTTCCCTTTGTTACTGGTATGAATCATGGTGTCTGGCCCACAGACAGCCCTCTGTGTGTGTGTGTTTGTGTGTGTGTTTGTGTGTGTGTGTGTGGTTATTGAATAAAATTAAAAGATGAGTAATTTGCCATGAAGGTCAGAGAGGTGTTATGGAAATTTTTGTTCCAACTTATGATTTCTCGGGTTTAATTCTGCCAAAGAGTTCACTAGCCAAATCTTTCTTTGTGTCTTTTACAAGTATTTTATGGATGAGTGTTGCTTTCTTTTTTCCATTGTCTCTCTTTACCATCTCTGTTGTGCTACAGAAAGGAGAACCACCATATACATGCCAATAATGGTGTTAAGCATTTTAATATATATATAAAGTGCAGATTTCCCAAGGACATTATACTCTTAAGTGGCAGGAACCTAGATTTGAGCCTAGAGCTGAGCAATATATTTTGGAGCTATAATCTTGAGAAACTACAGCTTACATACATTCACATAAAACTTAAACGGGATTTAACATATTCATATCATGTACTATGGCAGTGTCTGTGAATTAGAAATTAGGTAATGTTACATATTTGACTTTTTGTAATTAAGATAATTACTTGGAAGCATTGTAAATAAAATTATTCAAGTATTTCAACAAAGTTGCAAAATGTCTGAATGCCATTTTAGAGGAACTAAAAAATTCCTCTGAGAATAGACGCTTTGATAGAAAGGAGGGAGCACCAATATTTCTGCAGTCTTGTACATCACTTCTCTGTATAATCCTTGTCTCTATACAGAGTGTTTATGAACTACTTAGCAATAAGAAAATGAATTTGCTAGGACTATCGATACCCAGTCGTCAGATTATTTACATTATTTTCCACTCTGATACACTCAGATATAATTTAGGGGACTATGCCTTCAACTTAATTATCAGTATCCCTCTAAAATATTGCATTTCCAGGAAGGTACACAAGTGCCATATCTATTTCTGTGCTTCCCTGAGTCAGGAGTTGTTGTAAAGGGATGCCTCACTGATTCACTTTTCTGTAAGTCTGGAAATTGTTGTCATGTTGGACACATTATTGTGTCAAAAATTATACAACTGTTATCTCTGCACCAATAGTCACTGATGATTTTAGTTATGATTTCTCATTAATTACTTTCTATATTTGTTACCATCTCATGCTAATGGCCCAGCCACAAACATTTATGATACAGTATTTATATATTTAGATATAAATGCATAAATTTGCTATGTATTTTTATATAAATGCATAAATATATATAAGCACATACACACACATTCACAAAGACAGATACAGTTGTCTAGAAAAAGGCAATCTTTTTGGGTAATTATACTCATGAACAATTTATATGCAGATTGTAAGATTCCAAAGTGTTCATCTGGAAGAGAGTATAGTAACAATACCCAGTCTTTTATGTATACAAAAGTTGCTGGATGGTTAAAGATGATCTTTATTTTTTAGTCTAATTTTTAATTTAATAATACATGTATTCATTCTCATAATAAAGAAATTTAAAAGTGTATAGATTTACCAAAATTCCTCTTGACTGCTTTTCTCTGTCCCAGAGTTTTTTCCAGAGGAACTAATGTTTCCTCTTTGAAATGTTATCCGTCAGCTTTAAAAAATGCATTTATATATATATATATATATATATATATATATATATATATATACACACACATACATACACACACACACGCTCACACACACATACACACACACATATATACACACACATACATATATATGTATACACATAGAACATTTTATGTTTGTCTTGTGTGTGTGTCTTTTTAATATAAAAGGTGTTAACAGCTATGTATTGTTCTGCAAATTTGTTAGTCTGTGTGTCCTGCAGGCTCTTTATATCAGGGCATATATACTTACATTATTAATTTTAATAGCTATATGTTATCCAGTAGACTTAGAATAAAATCCCAAATTCTTACTTGATGGCATCTATGGAGTATGGCCACCTCATCTCTCATTGCATCCTCCTCCTTACCCACTCCTTTCTGCTCACACTGGCTGTGTCTTGATGTTTCTGGAACACGTGGAACACAAACCCACCTGTCTCCTTGACTGAGAAGCTCCAGTCCTCAATATTTTCTTGCCTCATTTCCTTACTTTATTCAAGTCTCTACTCAAATACAGCCTCATCAGAAGTTCCTTGATGTTCCTCTCCAATTCCTATATCCTCCCATTCATTCTCCCTCTCTGTTTCCCCTTAACTTGTTTTATTTTTCTTTATATTTATCACTACCTGACATGTAATAGATTTATTTCTTCATTGTCTGTCTTCCTCCCCTAGAATGAAAGGTTTATTTTCGGAATTTGTTTGCTAATACATCCCCAAGGCCTTAGAACAGTGAATGGCACATAATTGGTGTTCAATAAATATTTGTGAATGAGTGACAAGTATGAAACTTTAGTTTGTTAAACCATTTTCTTTCTGATGGACATTTGTTTCCAAGTTACACTATGACAATGCCACAGTGAACATCTTCTTATATGTCTACATGCATACATATATATCTCCAGGGTGGATTTGGATAAGAAAAATTTTTGGATCAATGTGTATGCACATTTAAAATTTTAATAGGACAGAAAAAAATAGCCCTTCAAAGAGGTTATACCAATTTATTCCCTTCAACAGGGGAGTACCCATTTCCTTACATCCTTGCTAACATTACATGTGAAATAACTTTTTTAATGTGAGTCTGTGGGAAAATCTGAAGTTTGTTATAAAAGAAAAAGGAGAAAGTACTATTGAGTAGGCAACTATCAGTTTCTTCCTTAAAATGTGTCCATTTCATTTTAAGTGTTATACCACTCTTTTTTTTAAAAAAAATTATAAGCCTATGTAATGAAAAAGTCCAGTATATTGTTATATCTAACTAATTTTCCCCAGTAAATATGATGGTTGCTCTTGACTTTTTTCTTAATGTTATTTTATTTTTATTTGACAAATAATTGTATATATTTGTGAGGCACAATGTAATGTTATGATACATGTATACATTGTAGAATGATTAAATCAGACTAACATATCCATCACCTCACATACTTATCAGTTCTTTCTTGTGAGAACATTTAAAATCTACCTTCTTAGCAGTTTTGAAATATACAATACATTACTATTAACTGTGGTCACTATGCTGTGCAGTTCTTGCAGCTTCCATTTATTGAGTCAAGAATGTTTCTTACTTTGTATTCTCAGCATGCTATGAGTTATATTCTCCCGAGAACAAGACCAGAATCTTAGAACACTTTAATTTCTTCTTCTTTTTTTTTGACACTTCTCCTGTTGATAGCACCTGTGATTTAAATTCTAAATTGTTACTGGAATTTAAAAAATTACAATGCATACTTATTGGTACTTTATCATACATCTTACTGTTTCTTTGCTCACCATTACATCTTTGCTTGGTCTTCCTCTTGTATTCATTTTTTTATTATACTTTAATACCTCCTGTAGTGATTCTTTCAGATAGTGTCTGACAGTAATAGACTTAGAATCCCACATACTTGAAAATGTCTTTATTTTGCTTTTAAAATATGAATTATAGCTTGGGAGTAAAGCATTTTCGGTTTTGGAGGATGAAAAGAAGTTGGTTAATGGGTACAAAAATATGGTTAGATAGAAGGAAAAAGTTTTAATATTCGATAGTGCAGTAGGGAAATTATAGTTAATAGTTTATTGCATATTTCAAAATAACTAGAAGAGAAAAACTGTATTTTTTCCAACACATAAAAGATTAATGTTTGATGTGATAGATATCCCAATTACCCTGACTTCATCATTACACATTATATACATGTATAAAAAGAGTCACATATACCCCCAAAATAGGTACAACTCTGATATATCAATTTTAAAAAAAGAAAAGAGAATTTTAAGTTCAAAGTGGTATATTTCAGGACCTTAAATATATAGTCCCACCATCTTCTTGTATCAAATATTATTGACAATTCAGTTTAATTCTAATATTAACTGATCTGTGTCTGCTTATTTTCCTCTAAAATCCCTCATTCCTTTGATTGTGAGGGCTAATGCTTTTATTTAGGTTTGAGAAATATTCAGTTATAATTTACTGAAGCATTCCCTCCAGTCTGCTGTATCTATTCTCTGTTTTGTGAACTACTATTATTACTTATGTGTTTAAGGATTTCTACCTATCCTCTAGGTCTGTCTGTTTTTCTTTTAAACTCTCTTTTCTCCCCTTTTTTGGAGCACACTGGTATTCAACCACCCATAGCCTGTGGGCCACCTCTACTCCTCTAATTGGCAGTGTACCCTACTCCCCCAAAATCTTGCAGCTATCTTGGGGCTGTTCGCCACTGTTTTTATTTAAAATTGTTTTTAGCCTTTTGGCATTCTGTCATTTAAATAATTTTTGCTGGGCATGGTGACATGTGTCTGTAGTCCCAGCTACTGGGGAGGCTGAGTCCAGCAGGATCATTTGAGCCCAGGAGTTCAAGTTCAGCCTGAGCAACATAACAAGACCCCATCTGTAAAAATATGTATTTATATATTAAGTCAAAATCTAAAAAAGTTTTTTTTATACTTTCTTGTTCACTTAGGTCATGCCTTGTTTTCCACTAGCTTTGTGAATTTCTTTATATTTCAAACATGTTTCTGTTGTTTGTATGGGTTTGGGGTGGGATAGGGGTGCTTCTATGAATTCTTACTCTGTCATTTTGATCCCATCTCTTGCTTAAAGAGTTAGAAAATAGTAAAAATTTATCATAATAATTATTAAACATTAGAGTTGTTAAGACTGAAGAATCCTTACCAAAAATTTTTAAAAATATGATCTTGACCATCTTTCCATTATCATTTACTATGATCCTTTTTGATCACAAAAGTTTGGCCCCTTTTAACCTTCAAAGGCAATAAGCAATTTGATCTTAAAATTGCTGTTCCTTTGCCACAGATAGTATCTTGCTAGACTGAAATTAGACGTTTTAAATGAAAATCTCCCCACTTGACTGAATTTCCATTTCTCAGGAGGTGTGTCCACATAGCCCAAAATGTACTATTGAAAAAGTTATCTTTTACCTAATTTTCATTAAGATGTTAACACATGGATGATAAATTTTGAGAAATTAGATTTTACAGACAGAACGCATGAAGCTCCATGAATACTGGAAGTATTTGAATCCTTGAGATGTCAACTGTGGTTTTGGAGGCCACAGGCTTTCAACCACTTACACTGGAGTCTAGTAGGAGCTGGAATAAGTCTTTGGCTTGATCTTGTAGCAGTTGGCTAAAAAATATCCATTGAATTAAACAGAGGAATGTGGGCATGTTATGTCATAAAGCATTAGAAGCATAATATATCACAGAAACTCCCTGAAACTGATTTTCTGGGATTAAAAGCAATGTTTCATTCGGCCAGTTGCTTGTTGCAATTTCAACAGACTAGAAGCTATCTTATTTTTATTTTCCTTTTTACCTCTTTTTCAAAGTTCCCCATAGTAAGAGTTACAGTTACTTCAGTTTTGGTAGGAGATCATAAATTCCAGCAGCCCTGAAAGGATGGAGATAGTCAATGTTACTTTGCAACCAATATAGTTTTTAGATGTTAAAAAATAAATTATGAATTTTAAAAGGCTGGCCATGAAACTCAGTCGTGTTTTTTTTCTTTAAGTTTATGATACACAATTTTTTGTGTATCTCAGTGGCTTCTAGACTGCATGTACCATTTCATATGTTTTATAATATCACTGCTTCTATTGATGTTTAAGGGACCAAATGATTTTATAAACTGCTTCTTAATGGTGAGAATCTAGGATGTGTTATAAGGATTTATTGGTATATAAATATAAAAACTGTGATCCTGGAAAATTTTTAAATTCAGTACTGTCATAAGTAATGTTTGATCATTTCTCAGGCATGGGTAATAATTATTTAAAAATTTCAGGATGCAGTGTAACTTGGAGAAAGAAGAAAAGTTAGTATTTGGTAAAACTATGCCATTGTAGAATTTGAAGAATCAACTTATTCTGTTACTTTATGTTTCAGAAGCTGTAATAATGTTTTTAGGGCATTCCTCTGTATGCGTTAGTTCTCTTAACTGAGATTATAATGTCCATAAAGGCAAGGGTTTTCCTTTTGCTGCCCTCCTACAGGAATAATTCTAGTGCTTTGCACAATGCTCAGTGAAGAAATGCTTGGTAGTGTTAGAGTCACTGCATAGCCCTGGACACGTGGGAGTGCCTACCTTTGTGTTGGAAATGGACATTGACTCAAATCCCTGTAAATGTTGCATTTCACAGATTTATGCAATAGTCAGTTTCATTATGAAATTAGGAGAATCAGGCTTGTTTGTTTTTTTTACAGTGCAGCTTAAATAGTTCAAAATAATTTGGGAAAAGTCACTCACAATTATAGAAACCTTTATCTTAATGGAAGAAATAAAAGACAACATATATACTACATTATATTATAAACAAAGAGCCTGTTAGGTTCATGTGAATAAACTAATACTTAAAATTTGTAGCTAAATATAAAAACATTTACGGAGTAAATGCAATGCACCAGGTAGTGTGTGCAGTTCAAAAGTACCAGGTGAGAAGAAATCCCTGATATAAAGAAGTTCAAAATCTAATGTAGTAGTTTTTATTTGGCAATTGAGTCTGTTACAGTGAATCTGATATAATTGTTATTTTCTAAGCAAGGCTTACCAGGCATCTTAAACTGGGTTTTTGCCTCCTGCAAAGAAACCACTCCATCCTTTGCTTTCCAAAGAAATGAGAGAGGGAGAAAAAAGGGATGGTTTCAGTGATAACAAGACTTTTTAAAATATAAATATATAGCGGATCTCTTTTAGTGGGAAAACTAACCCTGGAGAGCTCTAGAAAGGATTGTAAAATGCCTTAAGATTGGTTCACACTAACCCAATGGCGGTAGGGTACCGCAATACAACCTCTGGGGCAACCGTTAGAGACTATGATGGTGTATGGCTCAAGGGCGCCCCCTGGAGCACGGCCTTAGTATGAGTGGCAACCCTTGGAATTTTGCAACACAGGGCCTGCTCAGCGAGGTGTCCTTGTGTAATTAACGAAAATAAGTCTAGTTTGGACCCATTATTTCTTTTATTTGTAGCAAATTTGGTCGTAGGCTTGAACTTATTGTATACACTGACCTGAGAAGTCGGGATAGAATGATGAATATTACTGGAGGAAAGGAGTGAGGCCAGGCCAAAGTTCAAAGGGACCTGGGTTTCCGGCCCTGTGACTGTAGTTCAATTTGAGAAACCCTGACTGAGCTATTTGGAAGGATGAGCTCTGTCATCATAGCAACACTGGGACCCTTCTGCAGATCTCAGCTGTCTCTGTCAGTCAGCTCCAGCCCTGAGCCATCAAATCCATGTATGAGAAAGCTAGATGCTACATACTCAAAGATGTACCAACCAAGCGCAGATGTGCCAGAGGGAGTGGGGAGTAAAATTTTCTCAGAGAGTGATCTTTTTCCTTCATATGATAGAATTACTGATTATAGAACACAATTATTCTACTTTGTGTCAGGGTACAGTTAATTCAGCAAATCCTAACTCCTATTGCTAATTTATTTCTTATCTTTAAGACTTTTGAATCATTTTATTTTTTATGCCAAAAGTATGGTACTCATTATATTGCTTTTTATTTGGCAGTGCACTACACAGTGTGTGTATGTGTGTATGTGCCTGCTGTGTATGTGTGTGTATATTTACCCATAGTTTTTGAGTGCTCTGAGGGCAGGAATTGAATAATATTTATCCTTGTGTCCTTTGTGCCTGCCCCTGGGTTTGATGCTTAGTTAGGCAATCCACAAATGCTGTTTGCAATGTTGAAACTTAGGAATGGCTAAATTTAGTGGGTGGTAGGATCATTCCTGATGAGCTTTCATTGGGCGAATTGAGGGACATGGTCATTTGGAAGAAGGAAGCATTATACAGCCGGTATTCACAGCAGTATTGAGGTCAGAAGATGTCCGAAACACCTGTCAATTTCATGTGTGTATTATAGTTTGTAAGTAAAAACATTGGAAGGCAGTTTTCATGAAAAGAACGTGAATATCTTCTAAAATGTGTTTTTATTTATCTGATTGTGATTTACTAATGGAATAAGAATATTCCCCAGGCATCACAGTAAGAGGGATTATTTTGAAACAGAACAAGCTTTTAAATGAATCTTCTAATTAGAAAAATATCAGGCTATAGTGATAACATCTTACTTTTAAAAATCAGCTTTAGCGAATTACAGATTTTTATATAAAGAACATTCCGAAGGCACTGGACAAACATTGTGCTGTAGAAGGCAGACAAAAATGCAATGGCTCAAATTTTTTTACATTATTTTTTGGGACTCAAAGTAACTCTTCCAGTTACATAACCTAGTGATTAATTAGGTTTTAAGTGACCTACCAGAGGTCTTATCTTTAATATCTATGTTGCTGCTTCTCTATCATGCTGCCTTAATACGATTAAAATATATGCAGATGATAAAGAACTTGGCACAAAAATGAGCACTCCAAAATTCTAAATACAGTTGTTTCTATAGGAAAGCCAACTGTTCTGTTAAAAATCTAGGCTAGCTGACCTAGATCTCCAAACTGAAAGGTTTGCTGAGACACGTGCAGCCGTGTAAATCTCTGAGATGTGGGTTATTTAAACAGATGGTAACTGTGACACAGTGAGCTCTACATGCAAATTGGCAGAGACCAGGACCAGAAAGGAAGCAGGCTAGAGAGAAAACATAATCTCACTGTGGACCTCTGAGAATTTTAATTAAAACGCAGAACAAAATTCAGAGTGCTTGGATATACTTCTTCAGAATATTAATGGAATATTAGCATTGGTTGGATGGTTGCTATGATACCAACAGTGAGAAAAGCAGGGGAGTTTTTGGAATCTTCTTTAGATTTTGCTGAGTTTCTGGGTGTGATTTGGCCCTGCCAGTTAGATACACTCAAATAACATCTGGAGGAGAAAGGAAGGTCACGGCAATATTTCTGCTGTGGTGTTGATATTGCCAAATCAAGTTGTGGAAAGTTCTATTTCTCTGTTTTCTATAACAGTATTCTACAGGCAAGGCCCTAGTTTGCTAGGTGTCAAGAGACTATTAAAGCAGAGGTGTTGGTGGCTTCCAGACTCGTGGATCTAGAAATCCAAAAATTTCTGATGGTGACATGCTGGACAGTTCTGTGGTGCTGTTTTGGGCTTTGCTCCTGGGGGCTTATCCTAAAGCCTGCTACTGTAGTTCTGCCAGTGATTTTGCACTCCTGCTTTCCTGTATTAGCTTTATAGCTTAATATAACTAGAATAATGTTTTTCTTGCAACCCACTTGTAAGTGATATAGTACATGGAATAAAATATTCTAGCCTAGATATTGCTTGCCTCCCATCCCCTCTCCCTTAATCTATGGTATACATAGTCTTTGTTTCCATGCTGAATTGTAAAGCACACATATCATTCCTCTCTCTCTAGAAGGAAGAGAATAGCATTTCAGGAGAAAGGGGTTAAGCCTCTTTACTGCATAATCCAGAGAGATCTTTTTGGCCTCTCTGGGTTATGTAATGAGAAGATTATCAAGAGATATAAGGATAAACATTTGATTTAAGAAGTCAAGTTCATGAGAGTTTGAAGCCATTTTTATAAATTACATATATCAAGATAGAAGATGAAAGAATGGGCTGCGTCTCATGGAAAATTATCTAAAATTGACAAGAAATTTTCTGGAATTGGCCGGGCGCGGTGGCTCACGCCTGTAATCCCAGCACTTTGGGAGGCCGAGGCGGGCGGATCACGAGGTCAGGAGATCGAGACCATCCTGGCTAACACGGTGAAACCCCGTCTCTACTAAAAATACAAAAAATTAGCCGGGCGAGGTGGCGGGCGCCTGTAGTCCCAGCTACTCGGGAGGCTGAGGCAGGAGAATGGCGTGAACCCCAGGGGGCGGAGGCTGCAGTGAGCCGAGATTGCGCCACTGCACTCCAGCCTGGGCGACAGCGAGACTCCGTCTCAAAAAAAAAAAAAAGAAATTTTCTGGAATTAGGGCAATGACTTCCTAATTTATTGCATTTTTTC
The DNA here is from genome assembly GCF_000001405.40 of Homo sapiens. Classification (NCBI taxonomy): domain Eukaryota; kingdom Metazoa; phylum Chordata; class Mammalia; order Primates; family Hominidae; genus Homo; species Homo sapiens. Next base: position 111,282,121 of record NC_000005.10, read on the forward strand.
TTCATTGCATTGTTTTTCCTCAAAGAGAAAGTCAAAAGACAAAGCAAATATGGGGCTGTTTGGCTAATACTACTGGGCCACTCTGATAGATGCTTGATTCTTTTATCTAACATTTAAAATACAAGTGTATATGCAGTTCCCTACTGTTATTTTACTCTTAAATTAGGTGGCTGATGGGGAAATTGAAAAAGTTTCAGCTAGAAAATTAAGAAAAGGACTGACAGTCCCATTAACTACTGGTAATTAACTACTGGGTAATATTTGTATATATTGCTCTTGGCCAATTTTTCTAGTATACATTGCTTGAAAAAATATCAGTACTGTAAGGATATATTTCTCATTTTAAAAGTAGAACTTTTTGCGTGAATCAGTTAAATCACATTTTTCTATGACCCTTAATTCCGAATTTTTTACCTCCTCCTGGATCAAATTAATTTCTGTAATTAGCTTTGTGTGTTTTCTTTCAGTTTATTTTTTATATTTTGACTTGCTAGTATATGTAGCCACCAGAATACAGGTTACCATTCTTACTTAAGTTCTTCCTATATAAATAAGATCACACTGTATGCATATTTTTGCAACCTACTTTTTTTCAACAATATGTTTGTAAGATCTATCCTTGTACAGTGCTCCTCAGTTCATGATGGACTTTTGTCCCAATAAACCCATCACAAATTGAAAGTACAATAAGTCAAAAGCACATTTAATATGCCTAAGCTATGGGACATCATAGCTAAGCCTAGCCTGCCTTAAATGTGCTCAGAACACTTACATTAGCCCACAATTGGGCAAAATCACCTGGCAGCACATCACACTGCAGAGTATCAGTTGTTTATCCTTGTGATCATGTGGCTGACTGGGAGCTGTAGTTCTCTGCTGCTGCCCAGCATCACAGGTTGTACCACTTGTCGCTAGCCTGGGAAAAGATTGAGATAAAAAATTCAAAATACAGTCTCTACCTAAGGTGTATTGATTTCACAACATCATAAAGTCAAAATTGTGTAAGTCGAGGAACGATTGTAAACCAGGGACTGTCTAGATTTGCATAAAGATCTATCATATTTGACTCTTTAGTATTTTTGTATCACTGAGATAGAAAACAAAAACCATTACCAGTTAAACTGACACCCTTATTGGAAGCTCTTTTAGACTTATATGTAGATCTTAAGTCATTTATTTATGACTGTTATACTCTGTGCATATAGAAAGGAAAACATAAGAAAAATTAATTAAGATATTCTAAAACCTCTTCACAGTCAGAGTTAAATTCTTTAATCACTGCTTGATTCAGTTATGGATGCTTGTGTTTTTCCAAACAGTACCATACTCTGTGCCGTCAAAAGTATCAATGAATGAGCAGTTCTTTAAAGAATGCTCCACTATTATCCCCAATAATGTCTTCCAAGCTGCTGATAGCCATTGTGGCAGTCTTGAGGCTCACACTTTCTTGATCTGTCTAGAGGTGTGAATGGAAGGTTTCAAATAACAATCAGAATTCATATTCATTTTTCAAATAACTCTTAAATGGTTTGTTGCATGCAATCTTACAGGGTTGTAGTTGTCCAAGTGTGCCATCAACAATAACCTTTTTTTTCATTCTTAATCAGTGGCAACAGAGGCATTCCTACTGTCTATTCAACAGCAAGTATATGATGCTATCAATTTAAAACATACCATGGAATTGATGAGCTAAAGTAGTTCATTCATTGTAACTGATTAATAGTATTCTGTTTAAAATAGTAACATATTTTAATGATCTATTTCCATCCTCATGAGCATTTAGGTTGTCTCCTTTTTCTTTGCTATTCCATTTCACTTGAAAAATCATTTTATGTGAATTGTGTCCTAAAGTTTTAAAATAGGTAATTTGTGAGGCTTTCATAAAATAGGTCTGACATTTTAAATATGGTGAAACTTTATTACGTAATTAAAACAAATCACTAAATTAATAACAAGGTAACTGTGAGGTAAAAATTATAGTATCCCTTCTTTAAATCTGCTATCACAAATTATTTAAATGACACCCTTTATATCTCCCTTATTAACTCTATTGGCCAGAAAATTTTAAATATCTAGATTGCTAGAAGGTGATCATAGGCAACAAATACTTTATATTTGGCTTTGACATTTTTTTTAAGTTATGTATCCATGTGGATTTGTCAAATAAACATTAATATATTCAATCAAAAGACCTTTATTGGTAGTCTGATATTGCAAGGCATTGTATTGGGTAATATGAGAAACATAAAGATGAACTAACGAGAAACTAAAAAGTTATCTGGTCTCTGCATCATGGCTTTCCTCAGAATCTTTCCCTATTTCTTACATATCACTTCATATTTGGATTCTGCTAACCTTTGAGGGCTGACTTGTACAAACTTGGTCCCAGACACAGATAGAAGCCTTGTCTGGCTCTGGGCGGATCACCAGCCTCAGATAGTCTCTCTTGCTCTACCTCCCCACCTCCCTCTGATGAGGATGCTTAGTTTAGAGCTGCAAGAACTTCCCTGGAGCACAGCAGAACTGTTGAAGTTTAAAGGCCCGTAATAGGCAAAAGAGTCCAAAGGAAGGGAGAGCTATCCGAGAGCGTTATTGCTTCTTTTTCCTGATGTTATTTTTGCTAATTTGGAAGTTAAACATACTAGTGCCTTTCCAGTATTTCTGATCCCCATGGATAATAAGCAAGTGTGTAGTGAGATTTTTATTTCCCATCTAACTTGATTTTTTTTGTTCCTGATTTATTTATCTTTTTCTAAATCATGAAAAAGAGATATCTCCTTCTAAAATTATGACAAACTCACTTTTTCACAAAATTGCCCATGGAACCTAACTGTAAATCAGCAGAAGCTATTGCTATGTCATATGCTACACATCCTGGAAATACTGGATGATTTCTAATTTTTTAACATTTCATGCATGGCGCATATGGAATGTCTGTCACTAAAATAAGAACTATATCACATACTGTTCTTTTGGCTGGAGCATAAAAATAAAGCCCTACTCCAAGGAGTCGAAACAAATGAAAATTGTCTTAAAGTGATCATGGTACACTAGAAGGAAAACAGTACTCTGCAGAATATGCAGAAAGAAATATACTAATGAACAGCTTATATATGATTTGGGAAATGAACTATACACATACACACACATCTGAGATATTCATGTATCTCCTTGTGTATTATTATGAATCCTACGAAATTTATGGTTTTATAGATTCCAATGTGCTTATTCACATAAGCACAGGTGGCCAATGTGATTTTAATGAAAATCAGAATGCTGTGGTACTTTACTAACTTAGTTGTTCAATAACATAATATGTCAGCAGGATGATACCTATTAGCTTTTCTAAATGTTTTTCTATAAACACACTTAAAAGTGCTGCCCAAACTGAGGTTCCTCTACATAATGATGTCACCCACTGTGGTGTAAGCATGGCTGCAATGGATGTAATTTCTTAATTCATTCAAAATCCGTGCTTTTTCATGTGGATAATTCTTCACATCTTTTCTCTTTTGTTTATGACTGCAGTTGTAACTCTTTTGTGCTGTTAGAATAAAGTAGTGTATTTATTTGTTTCTATGGTCATCCTCTTAATGGTGAGTTGCTTATGTTCCCTGTCAATGCTATTATGGTCCAATGATAAAATTAGTGTTTTTTATCAGCAGGTAAATCTCTACTCTATCATTGGGTAGTTTCCCGTGTGATGACAGAGCAGTGTTTGAGGGAATTGCTTTTGGCATTTACGTGTTGTCATCCATTTCTCTGATAAAGTAAATCCATAATGAGTTTCAGCACTCTGGTGAGAAGGACCCTTCATTACTCATAGACTTGCTGTTAGTAGCATTGCTACCATGCTGCCATCACCCAAGCTTAGGATAAATGGGACATTAGCCAGAGTCGATCAGAGGCTGAATTGGTATGTGACCAAAACGCAAAGTGGAAGTCATAGAGCAGGGGAGATACTTCTGTAAGAGAAAAATGGAGGTATGTAAAATTCAGTGAAACCCATATTCCAATAGTGAGAGCAACATTTAAGGGTTAAGGTTTCTAGGTTTTGTACAGAGCAGCCTGCACATATCATCTTATTTCACCATCATAATCACCCTTTTGAGGTAATTCTTAGCATCTTCGTAAAGATGGAGAAATAGAGCTACAGAGAGAGTAAACCTTTGTCCGGTGTTGTATAGGTGTGCCATTTGGGATCTCACAATACCATATAGATGATTTTTACTTGAAAATGTATAGTTGGCTAATTTTTGCTTATGTGTCCATATAATTAGAACACTAAATATGAAATTAAATTGGCATATGATGAACAGTGATGTGGTGTGATTGTAAGTTATGTAACAGCTTTTACATAATTTATTCCACTTAACAGTCCTTTGCAGCCCCTCTTTCAAATGATGCTCAGAATGTTCAAGATGTTTGTCCAAGATAACATGTCTGTGTAAGTCTCAAGGGCAGGACTCAAATCCAGTTCTTCTGGTCCCAAATTACATGCTATTTGCTATGTATCTAACAGTGATCAAAAAGTTCACCTTATGCAGATTTAGCTGCTATAAAGACTTTATTAAATCACTAATATTATAAATATATTTTTAGTATTATTTCCAATAGTGAAGTTCCAAATATAGAACATAAAATTTTTGTCTAAGCTGGTTGGGAGCTTATTAACTGATGCATGTTAGAAAGAAAAAAAGAAAACTGCTACTAATGCTACTGAAACTAACTTTTTGATTGCTTAATGGTTGAACTTCTTTGAAGTAGAGTTTTCACTGTTTTTAGACAAGTTCATTTCTTCTTGATGGTTATTGTTTTTGTAGGTTTGCTTCTGTCTCTTTCTTCCCTCAGCAAAAGCATTTATCCTTATGTAGGTTCTTGAGAGTTTTTGGAAATCACAGGTAATCAAATTCCATCACCTCTTTGTTAAAAGATGCTGATTGGTGGAAATACTAGTATCTTTTCATAAGAATGGCCTTACTGAAACTTTTTTTAACTTTTTAAATTTTTCCTATGTCAAGTAGTTAGAGTTTCCCATAGAGAGAAAACCACTGCACTTTCCTTCTCTCCTTCCAAAAGTGTAAACAGGCTACTAGGAGAAACCTGAATAGGGAATACTGCTTAAGAGTGTACAGCTCATGCTAAGGTGATAGGGGAGTGAATCAAGCCAGAAGAGACAGGATAGGAACAAAGTTCCAGAGAAAGTTAATAATATGGGATCAGGTGATTGTAGTTGTGAATATAGTTAGAGTTTAGAAAAGATCAATAAAAAAAAGCTTTGGTTCATATTTCAAAAGAAAATGCAACTCTCATAGTTTATATGAAATCTTGAAAAATTTAGATTTCATTTATTCTGTCTTGAATTTAATACTGTCAATGATGATTTAAAGAATTATTTGATTTTAAGGAAAGTTTACTTTTCAAACATACGTATTTACTAATACGATAGTCATATTGTTTTGACTTTTTTGTCAAAATGTCAAAATGTTTTTGCATCCTGTTTCATATTTAATACTTTAAAAAGTGTTGGTGGAAGGAATGATTGGATGCTTATGTAAAAGTTTGTCATTCAGACATCTATTGCATCTACTAATATGACTGTTAGAGATGATCAAGTGTTTAAAAGGTGGTTCTGTCTCATGAAAAGCAAATTAAAAATTACATCCTAACCTTTTTATTGCAAAAACCCCATAGCTATAGAAAAATGTATAAAATATAGATATGCTCCCTAATGAAATATTGTTAAGCAAAACCACCACCCAGGAAAAGAAATGGGAAATTGCCAGCACTCCAGACGCCTCTGGCAGGCCTTCTCCTAATCATATCCCTTTCGTTTTTATGGTAATCAGCTTCCTTGCTTTGCTTTATACTTTTACCACAAAGTGTGCCGTTCTAAATAATATAGTTGAGTTTTTCCTGTTTTGAATTTTATATAAATGAAATTATGTAGTGTATAATATTTTGATCTGTTTCTTTTGGTCTAATTAAGTTTTTAAGATTTATTCATGTTTTGAGCATGGTTCTAGTTCTTTTATTTCATTGCTATATGGTATTCTGTTGTAAAAACATTATCACAATTTATTTTTCTATTCTGCTCAAGGCCAGTTGGCTTGGGTCCACATTTTAGCTGTTACAAATAATGATGCTCTAAACATCTTGTTTTGTAACCTAGCACACATGTGCAAGAGTTTCTCTGGGGTTGGTGATTGGAAGAGGATTGGTGCTCATAGGGATGCATATTTTTGCTTCATTAGATAAAATGTATCTTTTTATCAAAGAAATTATACCTATTTACAGTACCACCAATAGTGTATGAGAGTCTCCATTACCTCACATCTTTGCCATATCACACTATTTTGAGACATTGCCTGACATTTTAATTTATATTTTTCTGATTACTAAGAGTTGGGCACTGTTTCACATTTAAGGCCTGTTTGTTATTTCCTCTTTTATGAAGCCCCTATTCAGACATTTGCCTATTTTTCTATTATATTGTTTATCTTTTCTGTGTTGATTTTTGAAAATACTTTTATATTCTCTTAGCCTCCTTTCCTCTTATGGCAGAACATGGGGTAGAGAGTATATATGCTATTCCTGTACTAGAGAGTGTAGTCCCAAGGAGCAGGGGTGAATAGTAAGGGGAATAAAACAAAAGGAGGTAAAGCTGATAAAATGGTGCATTACTGATCAAGCTGCTAGTAGTTGTGATAGATTACTCAGTCTCAGAAGATTGTTCCACAAGGTCAGTAAACTACCTCAAGACCTTCCATTGTAGGAGAGAAAGGGGAAATATTTATCAGCCAGTTCCTAGCTCCTTTTGGTTAAAGTCCCATGCACAGAGTGCTAATTTTCTTACACTTCTGGGTTACATATGTATGGGTACTGGTGGTTTAGCCTAAATAGGAAGCTCATGGTGGGAGAGGAGATGTTGAAATACAGGCATGGGCTGGGTGTGGTGGCTCATGCCTGTAATCCCAGCACTTTGGGAGGCTGAGATGGGTGGATCATCTGAGGTCAGGAGTTCAAGATTACCCTGGCCAACATGGTGAAACCCCATCTCTACTAAAAACACAAAATTAGCTGGACATGGTGGCGCTCGCCTGTAATCCCAGCTATTCGGGAGGCTGAGACAACAGAATTGCTTGAACCGGGGAGGCAGAGGTTGCAGTGAGCAGAGATTGCGCCATTGCACTCCAGCCTGAGCAAGAAAGAGTGAGACTCCGTCTCAAAAAAGAAGAAAAAGAAAAAAGAAATACAATGAAGTCAAATATCCAGCTTACATAAGGGACCTTTATTTTTTGTGAATATAAGATATCCTCCTCACCACTTTGAATTATCAAAGTAACCCCTTCAGTGTAGTGGCCTGTCACAATCTCTAAAAGACTTAAGGCAAGAAGGGTAGTGAAACAGCTAATAGTCTTAATTGTTGCAAGTAATCTCAAGGCTGTATTTGATATTCACTATAAATTTGCCACACCATTTATTCTAGATTTTTTCTTGCTCTTGGACATAATTGGACACCAGTCTTTGTGGGTTGTGGGTTGACTGCTGGGTAGTTCCACATCTTTATCCCCAAGAGATCTAAACCTTTAGATGCCTTGCTTTTTTGTTGGCCTATAACTGCCAAAGTTGCTCATTCACCATTATCACAGTGCACCAAAAGATGCCCAATGAATCACCCCACATTCATACTTCTCCCCATCCCCATTGTGTAGCAGAAATGCTAGCTCTCAGGGTTGATTACTCCTCATAATACAGTAACTCATTTCTTTACCTGTTGGTCCACAAGTATGAGGAATCTAAAATTTAGTTGGAACTTGATTATGTCTGCTGGTGGAAGTAGTATCTCCCTGGGAACCCAATATTCTATGGCAGGGTGTAAAGCTGTGGGGACAGGAAATACAAATTACACACATGGAAGATGGTAAGTATTGGTGAGAAGAGCCCATCCCACCTTTATCCCTAGGTTTCCAGACCTGTGCATTCAAGGCCTGTCAAGTATCGTATATATGCCATTGGTTCAACACATAAACCCTGTTTTGGAGTATAGACGCCTGCTCCCCTACCCATAAAAATTTTCCTTGAGCTGGAAGCTAAGATGGTGTTATAACTGGCCATTTCATTGTGCTGTTAGGCCACCTGCTTCTAATCTTAGAAGCAAGACCAATAGGTCCCATGGCTATGCAAACATTTTTGCATCTTCTTGTCATACATTAATCCCTAGCCAGAGATTAGAGCCTGAGGCAAAATTATTATGAAGTATAGTTAGGGAATTATACTTCATTAGGGAATTAAATTCCAGGCAGTAGGAGTGAGCAATAAGAGAAATGAACCAGGAAATGAAGGAATGCCAATATACAGATGTGTGAGCCCAAAGTATAACTACTTAAATCCATGGGACTATCCCCTGAGAAGTCTTATAAACTGCTGCTCAGAACCATCCATCAGAGGCCAGGATGCGGGGCAGAGCCAAGGGGAACGTTTTGTTCAGTGACTCTTGAGCTGGGCACAGACAAGCACTAAAAGGCGCTAGTGTTTCCACTGGTGTTTCCACATTTGTGAGTTGCATATGTGCGGGTGCCATGGGGTCGAGTGATGGAATCAGCAGGGAGACTACATGGTGAGAAGTGGGAGAAGTGCTGGGCAGGCATGAGGTAAGGTGTCAAGGGTCCCCTACTAATACCTGGGGAGTAGAAAATCACACGTCTCTTGGAGGTTTATTTAAAAGTGAATATGTAAAACGTATGGAACCACATAAGCAGATTTGGATTCCATCAAGAAACTTGGGCTTATATAGTCCAAATCCCATTTAAATTAAGAAAATGCCACTTGGCTCTTTATGTTACCATGGGAAATTCTAAGGCAAGAATCTCAGAATCAATGTTCTTGTGGTTTGTGTATACATAAGATTGACAATTATAAGTGAAATAAGCCCAAAACTTTTAATGAATCCCTCATTTTTATGTCAAATTATCTAAAATAATTATGCATTGGATTTAATTATTGAATGTAGGAGATATATTTATTATGTGTTCGAAAAATAATAACAGTTTGAAAAATCTCAATGTTAACACTGGTCATATCCAGTGGTGACATTATCTTCTCCTTTATGATATCCTGTATTTTCTGAATATTCAATATGAAACATATATTACATTTGTGATAAAAAATACAATAAATATTATTTTAGAAATGAAAAAATAACAAAAAAGTTGATAAATGTCTGTTGATTTTCTTTCCTCTAATCATGGTTTCTCTCTTGATATCTATAGACACACTTCATTGCTTTTCTTTAAAGTTAACCGAAGCAAGTGGAAATTTTTACTCATCCTTATGTCGTCATACCTCCTTGGTGACTTATATTAAGTCTCTATTAAGACTTTAATTAATCTGTAGTTTTATTTTTGATATTTGTAGAGACAGGGTCTTACTCTGTTACTCAGGCTGGAGTGTAGTAGCATTATCAGTGCTTACTGCAGCCTTGACCTCCTGGGCCAAAGTGATCCTCTTGCCTCAGCCTCCTGGGACCACAGGCAAGGACCACCATACCCAGCTAATTTTTAATTTTTTTTGTGGAGATGGGGTCTTGCTATGTTGCACAGCTGGTCTCAAACTCCTGGCCTCAAGCAATCCTCCTGCCTTGGTCTCCTGAGGTTCTGTGACTAGAGGTGTGAGCCAGCGCACCTGGCCTATATTTTTAAACCTGTATGTAGGGCATTTGCTTTCTTAGTTTCTTTTCCTTATGTACCTTTGAAATTATACTTTTCACTTGTTTGATATCTTAGGTTTTTCTTGACAACATACTATTTTATAAGGACAGTGTCTAGACATTCCATAAAACATGTGTTTTAATAATTTGCAGGTGCTTAAGAAAATGCAAAAGCCACAATGGGTATATATTTATATTCCAACATCCTGCACCAAAATCAGTGGTCCTCAGAGGAATAAAGAAACATGCACATTTGCAGCAAATTTTCTGTCAAATCATAAATGCATAACCTAGGTGATGGTAACACTAGGTTGGCATATTCAGTCAGTCTGACAATAGCACCAGGACAACGTGTCCTCATAATTATCTCCATGATATCACCCTCATGGATAGTGATAGTGTATCTGAAACAGGTTGGCTTTCAGCAACATTCTATATTGTTATCATGTTTAAATGTATCTAAGTGCCTTTAAAACTTATTTTTCAAACTACTTATTAGCCACAGATTGTTAAATAAAATAATGTTATATAAAGTATGAATGTATGTGTACATATGTGTTTGTGTGTGTATATGTATGTGTATATGTATGTGCATATATATGTGTATATATATGTATATATAGTGTGTGTGTGAGTGTATATAAATGAGGACACATACAGTAAAAGCCCACCTTATTTTAATGGTGAAAGCAAGACTATAACCTCAGAAAAAGACATATTTTTCTCTGTTTAATAGCATAGTGAGAAAAATCTAAGTCCTCCCTTAGCCTTTTTTTAATCATGAATTTGGATTTTTAAAATATATTTGAGGGTCAAGCATGCTGGCTCACACCTGTAATCCCAGCACTCTGAGAGGTTGGGGTGGGAGGATCACTTGAGCCCAGGAGTTCGAGACCAGCCTGGGCAACATAGTTACACCCTGTCTGTAACAATAATAACAAAAAAGAAAATATTAGCTGGGTGTGGTGGTGCACACCTGTAGTTCTAGCTACTTGGGAGGCTGGGATAGGAGGATCATTTGAGCCCAGGAGGTCAAGGCTGCAGTGAGCTGTGATCACACCAGTGCACTTCAGCCTGGGTGACAGAGACATTGTCTCAAATATATATATTTGAAGTATCCTTTAAAATGAATTTTTGCAGAATTTAATGCTTGAATGAAGCAATGTGCCTGCCTTTAAAAGTGGGCAGGCTTCCTGTATTTGAGATAATTTTATATCGGAAGCATTGACAGAGAAAGGGCTTGATTTTTATTAAACTGAATATAATTGGTATTCAGAGTAATACAACCAGTGATTTCTCTTTATTTAAAAGGAAGTAAAGCAGCCATCATTGACACACACATTTATTATTCCCTGCTACAAACACGTATGGAGAAATGGCACGTGTCATACATTGTTCTGGATTCTGGGGTGCCCAGAGGACTAAGAAGCCAATCCTTATTATTTGGCAGAACACCTTCAGTTAAATGTTGAATAGGACTCTCTAGGAAAATATTAGTTTCAATATTTTTAAACCTATTAATTTAAGGTTATATATAAACTTTTGAAGGAAAACACTATGCTTATTGAAACTTTATATTCGATGCTTTTATGGCGGTGGTCTACTTTTTTTTTTTGAGATGGAGTCTCATCCTGTTGCCCAGGCTGGAGTGCAATGGCGTGATCTCAGCTCACTGCAACCTCCACCTCCCGGGTTCAAATGATTCCCCTGCCTCAGTCTCCGGAGTAGCTGGGATTACAAGCACCCGCCACCACGTCCAGCTAATTTTTGTATTTTTAGTTGAGACGGGGTTTTACCACGTTGGCCAGGCTGGTCTCGAACTACTGACCTTGTGATCCACCCGCCTCAGCCTCCCAAAGTGCTGTGATTATGTGATTACAGGCGTGAGCCATCACGCCTGGCTGCTGCTCTACTTTTTTTTTTTTTTTTTTTTTTGAGACGGAGTCTCCCTCTGTCACCCAGGCTGGAGTGCATTGGCACGATCTCGGCTCACTGCAAGCTCCGCCTCCCGGGTTCATGCCATTCTCCTGCCTCAGCCTCCCGAGTAGCTGGGACTACAGGTGCCCGCCACCATGCCCGGCTAATTTTTTTGTATTTTTAGTAGAGACAGGGTTTCACTGTGTTAGCCAGGATGGTCTCGATCTCCTGACCTCGTGACCCGCCTGCCTCGGCCTCCCAAAGTGCTGGGATTACAGGTGTGAGCCACCGCGCCCGGCCCTACTTTTTAAAAATGACTTGCTTTCATGAAAATTGTGAAAGTTTGTCATTGGTTTGTATATATCCATTTATTCACTCACCCATTCATTTGCTAATATATTCAAATGAATACATATAGAAAGCTCACAGTTGTTTTGATGCCATCAATGAAATAAAAATAATAGCCCCATACATTAATAGGAAAGTTAAGAACTGCACAGATGATTGAGTCATGGGCTTATAAAACTACACATATTCACAATGCTAAAAATGCTATTTAGGTAAATTTGAGGAAAAATCACCCCCAATTACATCACATTTCATTTTGCGTAGTACCCTCTAATTACTTTGCACATACACATGTGCATACTTTAAAAATAGCTGCATTAGGAATGTGCATATTTTTGTAATTTTCTTTTTTTACTAAATATTATTTTGAGATATTAGAAGAAACAGCTTAAAAGGTGGAGGATGCCACAAATATTCTCTTAAATTTTTACCCTAGGGTTTTCAGAGTCCTGGTTGAGATATATATTATTCAGTTCAAAAGCAAGATGGTGATATCTTATAAATGCTAGCACTGTCTAAACTATGAAGACACAACTGATGCACATGTTCTGTATTCTGTTTCAAATGTTGCTTATTTCTATTTTTTTTTTTTTTGAGAAAATCCAGTGGGAACTCAGAAGCACATGCATCTGAGTGATACTGTACCAGAAGTCCCTTGGTGCTTGAGTTCATGTCCTCAAATTAGGCAATGTTTCCTCCTTTCTTGAAAAGCAGGTTGCATTTTTCTTAAATTATGGAGTCAAGCTATTATTATCATGAATGATTATTAAATTGCTGCAGATGCTACTAAGCTATGTGCAGTGCATGAAACTGTTATGTTTTTCACTTTTTAATCCAAAGTGATAAAAAGCTGATTGCCTTAAAGCTCTGATATCTATACAGGGAAGTAATTCTTTACATAAAACATCGAGAGGCAAATTTTATTTTAGAAATATGTGACTTTAAAAGTCTTACAGATTTAAATTTCAAATTAAAAACATATTGCCAGCTGCTGTGGTTTGAAAGGGTTTATTTGCAGTTGTTCTGGCTTCAAATTTAACTCTTCATGATAATTCGCCCAAATTGGTTTCCCCTTTATCTCCTATTTAAGAGTTTAAAATAGAAAAAGAAGCCAGCATATCTGCAGAGGAATAAACAGTGTAAGAAGGAGATGGTTACAGTAGGGAGTCCAACAATAAATATCTTTAAAAGCATGACTATTGTCCATGTCCCTCCATATCCTACAAATTTCTCATTTAGATGCAGCACCATGCTCACTTCCCAGTCTAAAAATCATAGTCAATATTCTGCTGCTGCAAACTTGAAAGTGAACCGTGGGAATTTTGGTTCAAGTTAGGTTCAAGAACTCCAGCCCTAAAATGATTCCTAAGAATTATCAGTTTATCCTTTAGCTTCCAGTTTGGTGTCAGTGAAGACCACAGTTAGTGGTAGTGAGCAAGATGAGCTCAACCCAGATCTGTGTCTGTAAAAGCTCTCTCTAATAAGACAAATGTGTTTTAGGGAAAAGCTATAATGGAATTATGGCTCATGGAACACATAAGAAAGGATGTTGTCTTCATTTACTCTTTAATTCCAAAATATATTCTGGAATTTACTTGCTAGAGGAAATCTGCAATATTCTAAAACTTTCATATGCTGGGCTCTTCCTTCTTATCCCCACTGTTGTCTAGTGGTTAGGAGAATGGAAAGAGCAGAAAATGAGAGGGGAACAAGGACAATTTGAACAAATATGCTTTTCGGTTTTGGTCACGTGGTTTCAAAAAGTGAGGTTGAAGCATATAACAAAAATTGGAGTTTGGGATAATGAGTTTTGATTCTGTTATCAGTCTTCATTTGCTACGTAGTTGAACATAGTGAACTTCTTTCAAAGTGGAAATTTTACTGTATTAATGGTATAATATGATGACCATATATTCTCCTAGCTTTTTCATTTAGAAAGAAATAACTTATGTATTCTTTCAGGAAATTTGCCTGCTGAAAACAAAAACAAGTAATAGCCCACATACTTTCTTCTAGAATATTGGCAGCTTTTTTATCACCCTCTCAGTATCCCACCTCCACCCCTGTGGGTATGGCAAATATCAGTGTATGCTTATTGGCTGTGTTGGAGAAAGAAGCATCTGGACACTCAGCATAAGCTTCCTATAAGAAGTTAAGCTTCCGTTTAGGAAATATATGGAAATATTTAAGCCTAAGGAAAACAAGTCTGTTAATAACACCCCTATATTCCATTACTCAGGAAAAGTCTGGAAAGTTTTCTTAGTTGGCATTTATATTATAGAAGTCATAATCAAGAATGCTTGGTTCATTAGGGATGAATGTTTGGGTTACAAAAAATAAAATTAACTCCTGGTTTGGCAAATCTTTTTAAAAGGGGCAGATAGCAAACTTTAATCTTTGCTGTCAGTTGATTTTTTACATTTATTTAAATTTGCATTTGCATTCTATGATTGTTTTATCAAATAAGTATGTTCTACCAAAAATAATTTGCCAAATATTCATATAAATAGGACAACTCTATAAATGAGTATAGATAGACAAATAACCCGTGGCTTGAAAGAAATTGGGCTTAGGGTGAAAAGGAATCAGTAACTGAAAGTGGAGTTTAAACAAAAACAGAACACAACCCTCAGGTTATCAGCTTCATGAGGATACTATCACAAACTCTTGGGAAATTCCGCTGGGTGATGAGCCAAATGCCTGCAGAGCCAGACACTTCTGATTCAGTAGCAGCAGTTCTGGATCTGTGCATAATACCCAATTGATTATGGGTCATTCTGTTCTAAATCAATACATTTTAGACACAAATATGGCATGAATCAAGAAAATGGTTTTATGCACCGAAATTGATGTTGATCAGAACCTTTATGAGGTTTTAAAGGTGAAAACTTTAATGGGCCTTCCTGCTTATAATTATTTAGAATTGGCCCCAAATCCTTACATTCAGTTGCTTTGAATGGTGGAGGATCCACCTTGCTCTTAAGCTCCTTTAATGAGCAAAAGCTTCAGACACTTTTTAAAACTAAAATGCGAACTAGAATTCCAATTTTTTGAAAATTTGCTTGGTTAGAATCACATTGCAAAAATGAGTTATTTCTAGCAGCACTTAAAAATTAAATAATAAAAAATACTTTGAAATCCAATGGAAAACAATGAGGCATTCTCTTCTTTTTTTCCAAAAATAGCACAATGCAGTTGACTTTCAGTATGACTTAATAACTCATTTATAAGTTCTCAAGTCTTTCCTGGGGCAGTGTGGTATTACAAAGTTAGGCTAGGATGTGGAAAATTAGCTCACTGCACTTCGTCAAACCTATTTAAGAGAGATTTTAATTCACCTCCAATTGACATGAGTGGCTCTCAGTGTCCTGCTGAGCCATATTAGAGCTTGAGGCAAAAGAGAAATTCAACTATACTGATTCTGTTTTTATTTAAAATTCTGACATTCTGGCTTTTTTTGCATTGACTATGATTTGTTTAAATATTTCATCAAAATATTACAAATCTTGATTATTAATATTTTGTTGCCCCTTTAAATTTTCCACTGGAGGCTAATGCCTCACTCTCATTGGCTGGGCCTTGTCTATGGTGATTCTGATAAAGAGATCTGAGAGATTTATCTCATTTTTCCCGTTGTACCAATACAAATATCTGAATGTTGTAGTTGTTACACATCATTCTACTGGTACTAATTCCTCTAGGTTTGGAGCTGTTGGTCTCAATACCATGAATACAGTGTTAATTTCATGATTCTGGTGCCTTTTACCTGTAGTTGTGTTAGCTCATTTAAAAAATACTGTATTTCATCAATAATTAGACACACAGGATTTGCGTATTTTAACATTTCTCTGAAATTGGGATATATTTTATAGTAAATGGCATCTGCTAATTGGCAGCTCTTTTTTCTTTTTGGTATGTTTTTCAACTGGTGGTATCTCTAAGTTGATGAAGTGCTGTCCTCACCATAGCACCTAATGTAGGAATATTGCTCAATTTTATTCTAAGCATCTGTACACTGAGAACATTTTATGATTGAGCAATGGTATTTATTTCAGTAGCCTTTTATTTTTAAAATTTCTTATTGGCCACTTAAAAATTATGTATATAAGTTCTAAGTAATATGAATTATAAACATGCATTATAAAATTGGAGCCCATATAAAACCAAAAATAGTAAAGGAAAATAGTTTGCAATAAAAACAATATGCTTTTCATTGAAATATAATTAATGCACAATACACTTAATTTAGATTATTTTGAATACTGTCTTTTGCAAAGCTCTAAGAATAGCTAGGGAACTCAGCTATGATCACAGTCTACCCAATGAGAGAATTCAACTGCTTCTCTTTCTTCTTCCATTCTGTCTTGTTCCCACTCACAGGTCCTGATTGAGAAGGTAAAGCATTGTCAGTGGACGTAGAGTGGAGATAGGAGTTTTGAGGCCACTGTTCTCCCCACGTTGCCCAGACACCTGCATAACGGGGAGCCACTATGCTCTTGGTTTGTGCAGGTGCGACTAGCCCCTGGTGGTTCTACCCCTTGGCAGTGACTATCCCTGGAGCAGGTGTCATAACTGAAGAAGCACAAGTTACTGCTCTTGCAGAGCACACCGCTCGGGCTCTGAATTACACCTGCATGGCGCTCCTCCTGTTAACAGATGAGGTTGATCAGATGAGAAAGGCTGTGAAACCAAATGGCCTTAGACATAGTAACTACTGCCCAAGGAGGCACCCGTGCCCCGTTAGGAACACAATGTTGTACCTTTATCCCTGACAATTGGCAGAACATAACAGCCCTGCAGGGGATCTAATGAGAGATTAAGGCAGTCCAGAGCCTTATTGACGACCACCTGCAGAGATGGTGGGCATCTCTAGGCTCTGGCCTATGCTGGGCCCTCAGTCATAAGTAGCTTAGCTGGGATCCTAGTAGTGAGCTGTTGCTCTTTGTATTGTTGTCGTGGGTTATAAATTCAGGGCTCTGCCCTATAGGCACATGTCCCTACCTGGAAGATGCCCTCGGCCTAGGAGGTGGAGTGTAAGGGAAATGGCTGCGCTTTAGTCAGGAGTAGGCCAAGGCGACCTTCCAGCACAGCATGACTTAGCAGGTTTGTAGTGCAGGCTCACAACTCCACACATTATGTAACCATGTCACATGAAGTACATTAGGTAACCACTCATGTGAGCTTGTGCTTGGCTGGGAGCCACTATTGTCTATATAAGGTATAATTACCCTGCTAATGCTGTACATAACGGCTTGTGTCCAGAGAGAGAATAAAGGCATGTCGAAACTCTCTGTGATTCCTCGAGTGTTTTCCCAGCTACCTGTCACTCACCACCCCCGCTTGGACCTCAGCTTGGGCTGGAACCTGGCACTTGGTGTGACACACATTCTAGATCTTAAAGAGTTAGTACAAAGACAGAAAAGAAGGCAAAGCATCTCATTAATAATTTTATATTGTTTAAATGTTTAAATGAAAATATTTTGGATATATTCCACTTATATTGAATATATTTTGAATATATTGATTATATTTAGTATGTTTTAGAAATTAATTTCCCTTGTTCCTTTTTACTTTCTAAACTGTGACTGCTAGGAGTTTGTAATTCCCTATGTGACCAGCATTCGTAGCTAGTGCTTTGCTTCTGTTGAAAAGTGCTGTTCTAAATTTGATAAAACAGGAAAATCTGGAGACAAGTGACATCTGCAAGTTGATTTCCTCCCATTTCTGTGTTTTTTTTAAAGGTTTCTATAACTCCTAATCATTTGCCCATATATGACATAGTATCGGTGTTTCTTTGTGGTTGCCAAGTTTATTAGTTGCACAATATTTTTAAATGTCACCTGTGGTGAGCTTTTCATGGGGTCCCCTCCCTAAGCAAGCCAGCAAGCAGCCCCTTCTGTTCACCAAGAGTCAGCTATATCTGGGTTCTAACTCAGTCTCTTTTTCTCTTTGCACCTCTTGCCTTCTTTGTCACTTTCATCCATGATTTCATGTTGAGGCTAGAGAAAATGACCAGAGAATGGAAAATGAAACAAAGCATGGAGTGATGAAGTTAATTGAAATCACAGAAATGATAAAACAATTGTATACTAATGTCAGAATCATGGGGCTTCTTTGCTCATAAGAGCTGTGAAACGAGACAGAATTATTACCATTAATGAAACTGAAAAATATGAGAGACATAGACCACATTTCGAATTGCTGCATGTTAAGATGCTTACATTTTTCCTTTTCTGAAATCTGAAACTTTGCCTTGTGGGGGAGTAGGACTTGCCTCTTCCTCTAGTTGTTCAAGTTATTTTAAAATTCTAGAATCTTTTTGAAGAAAGTGTGTAGTTTTAGTAAAAATGAAGTCACTGATGAAAAGTATAATCTTTGCATTGATTTTTTTGTGTCTAAGCTTTCTTCTCAAAGAAAAAAATTTAAATTAATGTTTTATTTTCTCCTTTTTTGTTAAAATGTTTACTTCAGACATTACAGTGATAGATGTCATGGATAAGTAGCTGAAGAAAATAATATAATTGACTTTTTAAATGAATAAATGAGTTTTTTCCTTCATTGAAACTGCCAAACTTCACACCGCTTTAAAGAATTGACCCATTTAAACTTTTGCAACCTATTTTAAATTGGCTGGAGAGAGATGTTATAAAAAAGTATGGAATTGTAATTGTTGGAATTAAAAGCAAATGAAGTTATTTTAACATCATTTTTAACATAAGAATTCTCCTAAGAATTGAAACTGCATATTTAAATTAGATTTAGTCAAATGGATATGCAGAAAAATTAATTTTGGGAAAAAACTTGAAAATCAAATTGTTTGAAAACATCTCTCTGTTGTGTTTATAAACTCAGTGACCATTATTTTACATATGGGATTTTATTTATTATTAAGAAAATTTGCAGTTTACAAATTTGCAATTTGAACTGACCCGTAAGTGAAGTCCACATGCTGGAGAAGGATTTAATAGCTTCATGGCTTACTGGTTTTTTTTTTTCATCAGCCCTGTTCAGGTGCCTTTTGTAAGACATATGACCCCCCTCCTTAACGTACTAGGTCTGGGCATCTTGACTATAAATGTGATTTGCTTCTATATATTTCAGGCAACATCTCTTCCTAGCATAATTGAAAAGATTATTTACTGGAGAATGTCAACAAATGGCTTTTTCAAAAAAGACTTAACATATCCTACAGAATGATTTATATACAGCAAACTAAACAGTTAAAATGAATATAAATATGTATGTTTAATTAACTTGAAATTACAGGAATTGACAAATAAAGAATAATTCTGGTGATAACTGCTGACTTGCTCCTACATGGATGGTGATGAAACACTTAGAATGGAGTGATTAAAGGAACTAAGTCCTGATCTTACTGGAAACTATGTCTAGTAGGATTAGAATGTCTCTAATGAATCCTTCATTGCATCAGAAGTCATTATTTTCCTTTGAAGGGGGAATGGGAGAAAATATAGATAGGAAGGTGAATTTTTCTTAATAAACATAACTCTCATAGGGGTACCAGCGTCTGGATAACATAAAATAATAAAATGAATTCTATTTTCCCAATTCAGAGACAATTCTTCCATTCTAGCCAAATAACTTCCTTATACCCTCCCCCACTATCATTTTGGGAATCCTGTTTTTTGACTGGACTCCACAACTTTCCTATACATAAACTTGCTTCCATTTATAGATTAAGTTTTATTTTTAGGATTCAACTAAAGTATAAGCCATTGTAGTTTTTTTGCATACTTACTCTTCGGTCATTTATTCTCTCTACAGTTCACTTGCAAGATGATTAAATTTAGTTGGTTTTCATATGAGAAAGAGAGACATCTCTTTGCTCAGTTAAGAAGTATTTATTCTGAAGAGCTTTTGATGTAATGATTTAACTGGCATTAGAATTCGGTGAGGATGTTTGCTGAAGGGTAAATATTCTTAAATTATAAAGCCCTGGATTCTTTAAGCCTTTCAGCTACCATTGGCTTTGGACTGAAAAGAAATCTTAAAACATTTTATATTAATAAGCCATATTCTCTCAGTGTCCAGCTACTAGTTAGCTGTAAATTAAACATTTTTGGAAACTGCCTAAAATTCTCGGGGTCCCAATTACCTTATAAATGTATCAAAACTGGGGTCTTGAGCCAAGATGGCCGAATAGGAACAGCTCCGGTCTACAGCTCCCAGCGTGAGCGACGCAGAAGACGGGTGATTTCTGCATTTCCATCTGAGGTACCGGGTTCATCTCACTAGGGAGTGCCAGACAGTGGGCGCAGGCCAGTGTGTGTGCGCACCGTGCGGGAGCCGAAGCAGGGCGAGGCATTGCCTCACCTGGGAAGCGCAAGGGGTCAGGGAGTTCCCTTTCCAAGTCAAAGAAAGGGGTGACGGACGCACCTGGAAAATCGGGTCACTCCCACCCGAATATTGCGCTTTTCAGACCGGCTTAAGAAACGGCGCACCACGAGACTATATCCCACACCTGGCTCAGAGGGTCCTACGCCCACGGAATCTCGCTGATTGCTAGCACAGCAGTCTGAGATCAAACTGCAAGGCGGCAACGAGGCTGGGGGAGGGGCGCCCGCCATTGCCCAGGCTTGCTTAGGTAAACAAAGCAGCCGGGAAGCTCGAACTGGGTGGAGCCCACCACAACTCAAGGAGGCCTGCCTGCCTCTGTAGGCTCCACCTCTGGGGGCAGGGCACAGACAAACAAAAAGGCAGCAGTAACCTCTGCAGACTTAAGTGTCCCTGTCTGACAGCTTTGAAGAGAGCAGTGGTTCTCCCAGCACGCAGCTGGAGATCTGAGAACGGGCAGACTGCCTCCTCAAGTGGGTCCCTGACCCCTGACCCCCGAGCAGCCTAACTGGGAGGCACCCCCCAGCAGGGGCACACTGACACCTCACACGGCAGGGTATTCCAACAGACCTGCAGCTGAGGGTCCTGTCTGTTAGAAGGAAAACTAACAACCAGAAAGGACATCTACACCGAAAACCCATCTGTACATCACCATCATCAAAGACCAAAAGTAGATAAAACCACAAAGATGGGGAAAAAACAGAACAGAAAAACTGGAAACTCTAAAACGCAGAGCGCCTCTCCTCCTCCAAAGGAACGCAGTTCCTCACCAGCAACGGAACAAAGCTGGATGGAGAATGATTTTGACGAGCTGAGAGAAGAAGGCTTCAGACGATCAGATTACTCTGAGCTATGGGAGGACATTCAAACCAAAGGCAAAGAAGTTGAAAACTTTGAAAAAAATTTAGAAGAATGTATAACTAGAATAACCAATACAGAGAAGTGCTTAAAGGAGCTGATGGAGCTGAAAACCAAGGCTCGAGAACTACGTGAAGAATGCAGAAGCCTCAGGAGCCGATGCGATCAACTGGAAGAAAGGGTATCAGCAATGGAAGATGAAATGAATGAAATGAAGCGAGAAGGGAAGTTTAGAGAAAAAAGAATAAAAAGAAATGAGCAAAGCCTCCAAGAAATATGGGACTATGTGAAAAGACCAAATCTACGTCTGATTGGTGTACCTGAAAGTGATGTGGAGAATGGAACCAAGTTGGAAAACACTCGGCAGGATATTATCCAGGAGAACTTCCCCAATCTAGCAAGGCAGGCCAACGTTCAGATTCAGGAAATACAGAGAACGCCACAGAGATACTCCTCGAGAAGAGCAACTCGAAGACACATAATTGTCAGATTCACCAAAGTTGAAATGAAGGAAAAAATGTTAAGGGCAGCCAGAGAGAAAGGTCGGGTTACCCTCAAAGGAAAGCCCATCAGACTAACAGCGGATCTCTCGGCAGAAACCCTACAAGCCGGAAGAGAGTGGGGGCCAATATTCAACATTCTTAAAGAAAAGAATTTTCAACCCAGAATTTCATATCCAGCCAAACTAAGCTTCATAAGTGAAGGAGAAATAAAATACTTTATAGACAAGCAAATGCTGAGAGATTTTGTCACCACCAGGCCTGCCCTAAAAGAGCTCCTGAAGGAAGCACTAAACATGGAAAGGAACAACCGGTACCAGCCGCTGCAAAATCATGCCAAAATGTAAAGACCATCGAGACTAGGAAGAAACTGCATCAACTAATGAGCAAAATCACCAGCTAACATCATAATGACAGGATCAAATTCACACATAACAATATTAACTTTAAATATAAATGGACTAAATTCTGCAATTAAAAGACACAGACTGGCAAGTTGGATAAAGAGTCAAGACCCATCAGTGTGCTGTATTCAGGAAACCCATCTCACGTGCAGAGACACACATAGGCTCAAAATAAAAGGATGGAGGAAGATCTACCAAGCAAATGGAAAACAAAAAAAGGCAGGGGTTGCAATCCTAGTCTCTGATAAAACAGACTTTAAACCAACAAAGATCAAAAGAGACAAAGAAGGCCATTACATAATGGTAAAGGGATCAATTCAACAAGAGGATCTAACTATCCTAAATATTTATGCACCCAATACAGGAGCACCCAGATTCATAAAGCAAGTCCTGAGTGACCTACAAAGAGACTTAGACTCCCACACATTAATAATGGGAGACTTTAACACCCCACTGTCAACATTAGACAGATCAACGAGACAGAAAGTCAACAAGGATACCCAGGAATTGAACTCAGCTCTGCACCAAGCAGACCTAATAGACATCTACAGAACTCTCCACCCCAAATCAACAGAATATACATTTTTTTCAGCACCACACCACACCTATTCCAAAATTGACCACATACTTGGAAGTAAAGCTCTCCTCAGCAAATGTAAAAGAACAGAAATTATAACAAACTATCTCTCAGACCACAGTGCAATCAAACTAGAACTCAGGATTAAGAATCTCACTCAAAGCCGCTCAACTACATGGAAACTGAACAACCTGCTCCTGAATGACTACTGGGTACATAACGAAATGAAGGCAGAAATAAAGATGTTCTTTGAAACCAACGAGAACAAAGACACCACATACCAGAATCTCTGGGAGGCATTCAAAGCAGTGTGTAGAGGGAAATTTATAGCACTAAACGCCTACAAGAGAAAGCAGGAAAGATCCAAAATTGACACCCTAACATCACAATTAAAAGAACTAGAAAAGCAAGAGCAAACACATTCAAAAGCTGGCAGAAGGCAAGAAATAACTAAAATCAGAGCAGAACTGAAGGAAATAGAGACACAAAAAACCCTTCAAAAAATCAATGAATCCAGGAGCTGGTTTTTTGAAAGGATCAACAAAATTGATAGACCACTAGCAAGACTAATAAAGAAAAAAAGAGAGAAGAATCAAATAGACACAATAAAAAATGATAAAGGGGATATCACCACCGATCCCACAGAAATACAAACTACCATCAGAGAATACTACAAACACCTCTACGCAAATAAACTAGAAAATCTAGAAGAAATGGATACATTCCTCGACACATACACTCTCCCAAGACTAAACCAGGAAGAAGTTGAATCTCTGAATAGACCAATAACAGGCTCTGAAATTGTGGCAATAATCAATAGTTTACCAACCAAAAAGAGTCCAGGACCAGATGGATTCACAGCCGAATTCTACCAGAGGTACAAGGAGGAACTGGTACCATTCCTTCTGAAACTATTCCAATCAATAGAAAAAGAGGGAATCCTCCCTAACTCATTTTATGAAGCCAGCATCATCCTGATACCAAAGCCGGGCAGAGACACAACCAAAAAAGAGAATTTTAGACCAATATCCTTGATGAACATTGATGCAAAAATCCTCAATAAAATACTGGCAAACCGAATCCAGCAGCACATCAAAAAGCTTATCCACCATGATCAAGTGGGCTTCATCCCTGGGATGCAAGGCTGGTTCAATATATGCAAATCAATAAATGTAATCCAGCATATAAACAGAGCCAAAGACAAAAACCACATGATTATCTCAATAGATGCAGAAAAAGCCTTTGACAAAATTCAACAACCCTTCATGCTAAAAACTCTCAATAAATTAGGTATTGATGGGACGTATTTCAGAATAATAAGAGCTATCTATGACAAACCCACAGCCAATATCATACTGAATGGGCAAAAACTGGAAGCATTCCCTTTGAAAACTGGCACAAGACAGGGATGCCCTCTCTCACCGCTCCTATTCAACATAGTGTTGGAAGTTCTGGCCAGGGCAATCAGGCAGGAGAAGGAAATAAAGGGTATTCAATTAGGAAAAGAGGAAGTCAAATTGTCCCTGTTTGCAGACGACATGATTGTTTATCTAGAAAACCCCATCGTCTCAGCCCAAAATCTCCTTAAGCTGATAAGCAACTTCAGCAAAGTCTCAGGATACAAAATCAATGTACAAAAATCACAAGCATTCTTATACACCAACAACAGACAAACAGAGAGCCAAATCATGAGTGAACTCCCATTCACAATTGCTTCAAAGAGAATAAAATACCTAGGAATCCAACTTACAAGGGATGTGAAGGACCTCTTCAAGGAGAACTACAAACCACTGCTCAAGGAAATAAAAGAGGACACAAACAAATGGAAGAACATTCCATGCTCATGGGTAGGAAGAATCAATATTGTGAAAATGGCCATACTGCCCAAGGTAATTTACAGATTCAATGCCATCCCCATCAAGCTACCAATGACTTTCTTCACAGAATTGGAAAAAACTACTTTAAAGTTCATATGGAACCAAAAAAGAGCCCGCATTGCCAAGTCAATCCTAAGCCAAAAGAACAAAGCTGGAGACATCACACTACCTGACTTCAAACTATACTACAAGGCTACAGTAACCAAAACAGCATGGTACTGGTACCAAAACAGAGATATAGATCAATGGAACAGAACAGAGCCCTCAGAAATAATGCCACATATCTACAACTATCTGATCTTTGACAAACCTGAGAAAAACAAGCAATGGGGAAAGGATTCCCTATTTAATAAATGGTGCTGGGAAAACTGGCTAGCCATGTGTAGAAAGCTGAAACTGGATCCCTTCCTTACACCTTATACAAAAATCAATTCAAGATGGATTAAAGATTTAAACGTTAGACCTAAAACCATAAAAACCCTAGAAGAAAACCTAGGCATTACCATTCAGGACATAGGCGTGGGCAAGGACTTCATGTCCGAAACACCAAAAGCAATGGCAACAAAAGCCAAAATTGACAAATGGGATCTAATTAAACTAAAGAGCTTCTGCACAGCAAAAGAAACTACCATCAGAGTGAACAGGCAACCTACAACATGGGAGAAAATTTTCGCAACCTACTCATCTGACAAAGGGCTAATATCCAGAATCTACAATGAACTCAAACAAATTTACAAGAAAAAAACAAACAACCCCATCAAAAAGTGGGCGAAGGACATGAACAGACACTTCTCAAAAGAAGACATTTATGCAGCCAAAAAACACATGAAGAAATGCTCATCATCACTGGCCATCAGAGAAATGCAAATCAAAACCACTATGAGATATCATCTCACACCAGTTAGAATGGCAATCATTAAAAAGTCAGGAAACAACAGGTGCTGGAGAGGATGTGGAGAAATAGGAACACTTTTACACTGTTGGTGGGACTGTAAACTAGTTCAACCATTGTGGAAGTCAGTGTGGCGATTCCTCAGGGATCTAGAACTAGAAATACCATTTGACCCAGCCATCCCATTACTGGTTATATACCCAAAGGACTATAAATCATGCTGCTATAAAGACACATGCACACGTATGTTTATTGCGGCACTATTCACAATAGCAAAGACTTGGAACCAACCCAAATGTCCAACAATGATAGACTGGATTAAGAAAATGTGGCACATATACACCATGGAATACTATGCAGCCATAAAAAATGATGAGTTCATGTCCTTTTTAGGGACATGGATGAAATTGGAAACCATCATTCTCAGTAAACTATCGCAAGAACAAAAAACCAAACACCGCATATTCTCACTCATAGGTGGGAATTGAACAATGAGATCACATGGACACAGGAAGGGGAATATCACACTCTGGGGACTGTGGTGGGGTCGGGGGAGGGGGGAGGGATAGCATTGGGAGATATACCTAATGCTAGATGACACGTTAGTGGGTGCAGCGCACCAGCATGGCACATGTATACATATGTAACTAACCTGCACAATGTGCACATGTACCCTAAAACTTAGAGTATAATAAAAAAATAAAATAAAATAAATGTATCAAAACTAGTTCTTATTTTAAAATGCACTTTATTAACTAATAAAATATGAGCAAGCTTTAATTTTCAAAAGCCTGGGGCTCAGAAATCCAAATATATAAAACATATAAAATAGGTGGTGGTAATAAGGATTACTAAAGAATATTTTTGTTTTATGAAATAATTGATCAGTGTTTCCTTTAAAAACATTAATTCCCTTTACTGTAGTTATTACTTTTCATTCAAAGATATTTATCTACAAGCTACAAAATTTGCAGATGAAACTTAAAAATTAATTTTGGGAGCAATCCTTTTTGGAGATCAATCCAAAATGACAGCTAAGCATCTCTGGAATTGAAATTTAGTCCAGTGGGAAACAGAATGTTATTTAGAGAGGTTCAGTTTGACTCAGATTTCAGGAAAAGTCAGTTATGTAAAATTCTCCTAGAATCATTTATGTTATGGAAAACAATAGCTTATTACCGGAGCTTTAGCCCTAAATACTGAATTCGTTAAAAGTGCCTTCTGTAATCTTAAAATGAAACCCATTATTTATTTTGAAGTAAAGGGAAAATTAAATATTCAGTAATCTTAAAATTACATGTATTTAATTATAGATGAAAAATAATTGAGATATAATTAACCTTCTATTTGCCATATGGGGATTACCTGTGTTGTGGTTATATTTGTTTAACTTCATTGACTGATGTTTCCTTTGTACCATAAACATGTAGTAAATTCTTTCTAGTGTCCAGGAACTACAATCCGTGGTCGAGATGTGAGTGAATAAGACATGGTTCTTGGACCTGAGTATCTTAGAGTCTTTGAGTTCAAACAAACAAAGCACACACAAAAGAGCAATGCAGTGTCACAAGGCTCTGCTAGCTGACGGTCCAGGGCACCCTGAGGGCACATCGCTTAACAATTGTTGTGCTTTGCAACTTGAGACTATTCATTGTCAGTAAGCATGTACACCAAACCAAATGCCTCCTGAAGGGACTTATCAATTCTGCCTGGGCTGAGAGATGTAGGAGAGGAAAACCTTTGACCTGGGTCTTAGGTGGGCAGGACAGGGTGAATGGCAGAAAAGGCAGCATGATCAAAGATGTGCATTTGTGGTGGGAACCTTTCAGGTGTCTGGGATCAACACCCCACTCCCTCTCAAGGAGCCCTGGCCACTCTTGGGCAAAATATGTGCCCATTTTTGTTGTTGTTGTTGTTGCATTTAACCATCCCCATAAGGTCTCACTAAAGCTGAACCTCCTTAAGCTAAAGTCAAATCTAGGAGTGAGAACTGACTCTGGTTCTGAGCCATTAACAATCCATTTTACTGCCTGCTTAGTCATCCTCCTGGCTTTTTCTCTGGGTGAGCTGTGGCACAGGTTATTTCTTCTATTCCGACTTGTTCACCTGGAGTTTTCCAGGTCCGGATCATGGTAAAGTGTCCCTCCATGACCACCCTTTAACTTCTATTATCTCACTAAAATGTCTGTTCTCTAAAACTTTGCTTATTTTTAAAAAGTGAGTTGAAATAAATGTGGGTTGGATATGGGACTTTAGACTTGGAATTCATTCCATCTTTAGGACCACTGGTGGTCTCAGTGTCATGTGGAGGTGGGGGCAGATATTGATAAGGGACATAGGCTAGGCTGATACCTTAATTTGCAGGAAAATAAATGTGCTATCTCACACATGCTTCAGAATAGATAAATAGTCTGTTAGATTAAGGAAATGAGTAGACAGCAGGGTTCAGGCTTCTATGTCCTCTTTTCTACAACCTGAGGAGAGTTTACTGACACCGTTTCATGAGTGCATACATTTACCTGGTGCATATATTTACCTAGGCTAACAAGGCATATTCAACCTCGTTTTGGGGGTAGAGTTGACTTAACTGTGCTCCTCCGTCATGGCCACCTGTATCCCCACCTGTGCAAAGTTTCTCTAGTTTTATTGCTTTGTTATCTCTTTATCACTGTTTCTACCTCCTCACCTCCATTCTCTAGTAAACATCCAATGTGTTTAGTAGCTTCTTTGGAAATAAATGTATCCTTCTAAAATAAAGTGTTATCTGTGTACTTATGCTTTCAATAAAGATAAATGATATTGTGCTACATCGTGAGTAAGACGTCAGGGAGTTGGTTGACAGAAGTTCCGGCACTAATGACAAAAGAGGCATGAGCCAATTGATAGAAGGCCTTGTAAGTCATGCTAAGAAATCTGAATTTTACCCATTGGCAATAGGGGGTAATTGAAAGGTTTTAAAAAGAAGATGTCGCTTTAGGACTCAAGCTTACTTTGACAGCAGTGTGGAAGATGGCTCAGAGGGGTATATATGTAAATACTAAGCCTGGCACTTAGTACATAGGAACTCCTCAACAAAGACAGCTAGTATTACTTTTCATGCTTTGGTAATCCCTGTCCTAGTGAACACAGTATAGCTTTAAGACTAAGGGTATGTTCTGAGCGATTCCCTTAAGGAAACTTCTACTGAATTATAAAAAGTATATTGGCCTTTTAAAATAGTAGCAGAACTATAATAAGAATTGTGAATATGTTTCTTTTTGAGTATATGAAACATTTATTTATGTGCATTTGGGATGCTTTCTCTAGTTTTCTGGGCTGTAGGGATGATGAGTCGCTTTAGCTGTGTTCATCTGACAGCAGTGGTGAGGATCATTTTCACAGACACATAACAGATCTCACACATATCCGTTCTAAGAACACCAGTATAATACAGTTGAATTTAGATAAAAATTCAAAATAAAATAAGCTTCTTAACTAGTGGAGCTTATTTTCAGAGAGAATGGTATTAAAGAATCTGGTTGTCATCAACCTTTTTATAGTGAGAGCATTACCTGGGTGAAGGTAAAATCTTAAACCCAAACCCTCTCCCACCACCCTTTTTTTATTGCAAGGGAACGTGACATCGGTTTATCTGGCATAAGGTTGTAATTAGGTCCAAAGCAAAAAGAAAAAAAATTATAGTTCCTCTTCCTTAGATTTTCTAAAACTGGCAGATGGAGGGGCTGCCTGCTGCCATGTGGCAGTCACCACCTGCACACTTGCTGTCCTTAGAGAAGACTTGCTGAGAGAGAGTTCTTGTATTAGCATACTATAGTGTTTATACTTGTACCTCTGGGATTTCTGTTTGAAGAATAATTGGTCTTTGTATGAAAAACTCTAAATAGATGATACGTTGATGGGCCCCATTCTCTCTTTAGAAGGAAGGTGGGTGCAGAAGAGAGTAAAAAGCCTATGTAATGGATTGAGGCCAGGTTGTTCTGGACAGTTTGTGACCTCCACAGCCATGTAGGGGACATCTAGGCTGTCCAGAGCTGGCCTCACACCCTCTGTTCATTTGGCAGAGCTGTCATTTTCATCCAAAGGAAAGTTGAAGGATTCTTTGCTCTTCTTGGGAATTTTTGCAAAGCCTTCATAAATTTCTAAAAGACATTTTTTCCTCAAAGACATCAAATTGTTCTCAAATTTCTTGTTTCTCAAGGACAATCATAAATATTATATAAACCAGCTGTGTTTGCTGTCATCTTTGGTCTCATTCCAGTAGAGAATCAATATGGGTAATTTGTCAGTCTTCCTAATCTTCGGTAGCAGTGAGGTGATGTTGTGTTGTTGCTATTTGGCTTTTGTTTTTGTTTCCTTGGTATTTTTTAGCTGCCAGATCTCTTGGTATGTGTAGAAAACCAGATTAAAAGTTACATCATATTTTAGAAAAGTCAAAGATCTAAAAATATGAGATAGAGTTTCATCCTAGAAAATGTTAGTCCTTTTTTCTTTGAAGGAAAGCAAATTCTTGATTTTCTAGTTATGAATTTTCATACAAAGAACTTATTCATTCTAAGAAATAACTCTATTTCATTGTGAGGTGATGCACCCTGCAACCTGGCCAAATGCTTTCTTGCAGCTGGATGCCAAGACCTTAAGACCAAAGTGGAGGACTCCTAATAGATGCCCAGAGAATATGGGTTTGAGGGATCACCAAACAAGCCAGATATCATGGTGGTTATAGGCGTAGACTTTAATACTAGAGAGAACCAGCTTCAAGTTCCAAATTTACCTCTTATTAATTGTATGACCTTGAGCAAGTGCTTCACTCTTTTCATCTGTAAAATAGACATTAAAATAGCTAGCTTATAATGTTGTTCTGAGAGTGAAATGAGATAATGCCTGTGAGGAGTATAACACAATGCCTGGCTGTGAGTAACTGGGTAGTAGGTGTCAGTTATTATTGTATTCCAAGAGACCTGAATTTGTTCATGTTTTTTAGGATTCCAGCAGACTCAGTCAGTGTATCTAGAGTCTTCCTTGACTTCTTTCTTATGGAATATTCTGAAGTTTCTAGTGGCAGCCAGAAATTTCAAGATACAAATGAATGATACTTCAACCACAAATTAAATAAGATTCTTTAGGTTGTGCCTTCTAAGTCTTGTGGAACCATCCAAGAAACTCAGAAATGTCTCTGAGTTTAAAATACAGAGTAGGAATGAACTGGAGGCCAACTCCCCGTTGACGAATGTGATTTGTTAGCGGAGAGCCCTATGCTCATATGGTATCTTCTCTGGGACAATCTTTGGAGCATTGGCTCCAGTATACATTTTGCAGACTTCACGTTTTAATGCGGCCCTCCTTTTTTGTCTTTGGGCAAATATTAAAACTAACTTCCTTGCAGACTTAAAACTTTTTAACTTAAAACAACTTTAACTTAAGCTAAGTGTGAAGGATTTGAGACCTTTCACTACACCAAAGGGATGCCCCTTCTATTCTGGGTACCCTGTGTTCCTCAACAGTTTATGATTTTTAAATTGGGTAGGTCTCAACTTAAGCCAGGGTTTCTCAAACTCAGCACTGCTCGCATTTTGGAGCAATAATTCTTTGCTCTGCAGGAGAGGGGGTCATCCTGTGCATGGCAGGATGTTTTGAAATATCCCTCTCCTCTGCCTATGAGATGTCAGTAGCAGCTCTGTCTCACCCCCAGTTATGATAACAGAAATGCTTCTACCCCATGGAGCAGCTAAGCTGAATGTTCTCACTGTTCTTTGTGTGGGAGTCTCTTCAGTTAACAGAATTAAAACTTGAGATGTTTTTTCCCTCTATTGAACGGTCTGTTAGAAACTCTTTGTTACCTTTTAATATGTCCTTATACTTAAGAAATATGAATATCCACACAACTTTTCTCAAAAATATCAACAGTGAAAATCAGGGTCTAGGTGGCAATGAGTAAAGCAGGGTGACTAAGAACATAAGTGATGAAGTCAGACTGGATCTGAATTCAACCTTCCCTCCCTGCTACATGTAAGCTTTGTGATCTTGGTCATGTTCCTTTAGGTCTCTTAACCTCAATCTTCTTATCTCCTGTTATGATAGATTACCATTAAGAAATAATGTGTTCAAAGTGATCAATACAGTGCTTAGAGTGTAGAACTCAATATAAATTGGTTATTTGTATTTTTTCATTTTAATTGTCAAAGAAAAACCCCTCTCTTTAAGTGAATTTCATCTGGAAGGATTTCAACAGAATACCCAGAATACAGACATAGCTACTTGCTGCTTACATATCTTACTGTGGTGGAGTCAGAAAGGAAGCCAATGAAATTGGACTTAACTTTAATATATGCTCTTTTAAATGATGTGCGATATGTGTATTGATTGTCCTTTCAGTAACTTTTTGCAATAATTTGTATGGGTATATCGAATTATAGGAGTAGAATCTTCTTTGTAGTGAATGTTAGTATTCTTAAGTGTGTGTCTTTTTCTCTGTTAGGACAATTTTGTTTTTCTGTAGAAGCCACTCCCCAAAAGTGTAATAGGAAGTAATGGAAAAACTAATACATTATTAAACAGCTGTGAAATTTTGGGGAATGCATTTATTTAATATATAAGGTATGGCTGGTACCTAGAGTGGAGTTTAAGTATAGGATTTTGTTAGTCTTAGGCTGTGTAATTTGGTGAAGAGTTAATGATACTTTTTGGTGGTCTTGGAACTACTTATGAAGACTCACTTTTTCCATCATTGTTCAAATCCAGATAAGGCTTGACCAACAGCATATCCATATAATGGAAAGTCATGTTTTAATACAGTTCCAACATTTTTGCAATCATGGATCTGCAAATCTGTTTATTAGTAAAGCACATATTACAACAGAGCTTTATAACAGTGCATATATTGTTCTTTATTTGCCCTGTAACCCACATTTTACATTTCAAAAGTTTGCTTAATTAACTAATAAATTTAACAGTGCCTTTAATTCAGAAAAGGAACAAAAATACTTTATAATCTTTTCAGAATAATTTTCTAGTATTTTTAGAACTTTAAAAAGCTGATAGTTAAAAATGTGCAGAAGCTAATGAACCAATTAATTAGTTCCCACCAATATAATGATATACCCTGATGTAATTGTGTGTTTCATTTCTGTTCTTGAATATGATTGAAAACCATTAAGACCATCAAATAAGTGTCTTGTTAATACGTTGAAAATACCATTTCTGTCTTTATAATGACAATCAATTACAAATGAAGAAAGCTGACATTTACCAATATGGGAGTTTTTATTGTTGTTTAAAATAATCCAGAAACAACTACAAAGGCTTTCTTAATGTTGACATTTTGAAGAGTGGATCATATCAATTTAGATGATGAAATGTAATTTCTGAGATAATGGATTTGATATCAAAAAAAGTATCTTATCAAAGATAAGATACTGCAGTAGCAAAATGACATGATTAAATAGATACCATGTTATGGTTCTACATGGCTATTTCTGTTCAAGACACTTGGTTTCCTGGTAAACAAATTGTTACCTTGCTTATTGCCGAATTAGCTGGAAAAATTTTCCATACTTTATTTGAAGTGTGTGTGCATTTGGATGTGCTTTTGGCAGAGTTTTTAAAGAAGAAAAGTATTAATGAAAAGGTTTTATTTTCTCCTCAAAATTTATCAGCGGGAAAAGTCATTGCTTGCACAGATACTTAGAAACTTTTGGTAGCATTAGCTTTTCAATTGATTAGGGAGAGGAATAGTGAGCTATTTTAATTTTCTGCACCATTTGCCTGGTGCAGTTTAATGAATATTGATTCATACAGATTAATTTGAAATACTAACATTGTAGGTGGTGCACAGAACATAGAAAAGCTCATTTATTAATGATTTCTTGTCTCCCTGATTAGGTTAGTTTTCACCTGGTATTCTGAAATCAGATAAAGAAGAAAGAAGAAAATTAAAATTCATTTAGTTTCATTTACGTGCCTGGCACTGGGCTAGGACCTTTCACATAAAATATCTAATTTAATCATCACGACAATCTTAGTTGTGGAAGATTATGATCTTCATTTTTTTTGTATATAAAGGAACTCTAAACCTCATTCTTAATCTCTTTTCCTCTTAAGACTTAAACTTTCTAATTCTTTTACCCCAATGTGCGTAGGAGGAGCTAAATAAATGTTAGCTTGGAAAAAGCGATTTTCTGTTTGGCAATATTTAGACAAATTCTGCCATGTTTTTTTGAAAAGGCTCATTCTCAGTTTTTTAAAGTCTGCAGCCAGTGACAGCTTCTTCTGCTAGATAACTGTCACCTGAGATATTGCGAAGGGCTGCAATGCCATAGCCACAATACTTTGTTTTCTTCAGAGGCAGGTTGGAAATCTAGGATTGAAGTTACAGAGGGCACAAAAGAGTTTATCATTTTGTTTGGCTCTCTAGGCAATAATTTGATGCTATTTTTAATTAATGCAGGAAGCAAAACAGACCACCACATTTTATTCATTAAAGATTGCATATTCAGGGAACTCAAATTATTTCATGACCCTAAGCAAACATTACCAATAATAAAGAGGAAATTGACATTCCCTCAAGGGCTTTCCAATAATTTCTAATCACATCAAAGCTTTGACATGTGGCCTAATACTCTAATCCTTTTTCTCCAGCCTCCCTTGGCCATTCCTGCTCCACAGTAACGGGGCAGGAGATGTCGCCAGTCCCCTAGGGAGGATAAAGGATCAGCTCAGTTCTTTTTCTATGACCATCCTTTGCTGTTTCAATTTGAGGTACTTTGTGATCACCACTGTCCCACTTAACTGTTCTCAACATTTAGTCTCACTCCACAGACATTTGCCCAGGAGGCTTAGACTGACATTTGCAAACATACTTTGAGTTGTAACCTTCTTTTCCTTCTTTTCTTCTTCTAAGATGAGAACACCTGAGGTGACTTTTTCTTTTAACTCTGAGCTTCTGATAGATGTTGAGTGATTGATCTTCCTCTAGCTCTGAGGACTGGCCCCTTAGCTTTAACTGGATGTTTGAAGAATGTGAAGATGCACGGTGAAGGCTCCTCTACAGGCGTAGAGATAGTGTCATGTTTGACCTGCAACTGCGTTATTTGTTTAAATCATTTGTTTTAAAAAAGAGTTTTCTTAGGTGACATTGTGGTTATATTAGAAGAAAAAAGGGATAGGAGCCCATAGTACCTCAGTGCTTTTCTGGCATTGATAAATCACCAGGAGCAAGCAATCTATAATTTCAATTAATATTGCATTTTCAAGAATAGGAATAGCAACATTCTAACCTGTTTCCTAGCTATTTAAATGTTCTCTGAAAGACTGGTTGAGAACAAAACCAGAACACGAAGTGAAGACATTTGACCTCTACACTAAAAATTGAGTTGTTTTTGTAATTGTATCCTAATATATTTTGAGGATTAAGAGCACATAGGAATTCGTCTTGAAATTTCTAGCTGGTTCAAGCTTCTCTCCTTTGTTTTTGACCCAAAAACAGAATGCACGAAAACTACTGAAGAGGCATTAAAAATAATAATAATAAAGGACATGGGCTTGGAACCGAAGACACCATGGGCTTCTGATACCTGTAAGAGGGACTAAATATTAATGCATCTGATAAGAAACAAGTGCTAGGAGACTTTCTTCCCAGAAATTATAGGTCAGGCTAATGTAGGGACTGAAATGTGCTAAAAAATGAATGTCAAATTTCACAGTTACATTACATAGTGATTTAAATTAGTTCAGGTTAGTTTAAGGCAACCATTTGTTCCTAGTTAGATCTATATAGTGAACTCTTATTTCAAGGAGTATATTGTTAACTTCCCTAAGTACACAACTGATATAAAATCACGGTAAAGCCTATGTTTTAAGAAAGAATTTGAGTTTTCTTAGGGCAATAAGCAATACTCATTCGTTCAAGCTTAGCCTGTAGAAAGTGTTTTATAATACAGCATTTATTAAATAAATAAAGTGCCTCAGCCAATAATTGTAACACAAACTTCTATTTTTAACATGTTTCAGACCCTACAAAGAGTTTGAACTTACATGATCCTTATAATGAGTCCATGAGGTAGATAAAGCATATGTGATTATGCCCCTCATTTGTAGATGAGTAATCTGATGGTCAAGTAGGCCAAATGATTTGTCTGTGGTCAGGACCAGCTTCATGGGCATGTGTCCTGTACAGCCCCACAGATTCCTCTGCTCAAAAGGGCTCTGCACTTGGTTTAATGCTCTGCCATGGCCATGTTGAAATTTTAATAATTTTTGAACAACGGGCCCTGTATTGTCTGAATGCAAATATTACATTTTGTTTTCAAATAAATTCAGAATCCTAAAGCCGGTGGAGTAATATGTAAAAAAAAAAAAAAAAAAAAAAAAAAAAAAGGAAAACAGGATTAAAAGGCTATTTTTTATCGGACTGTATAAAGTTAGGTTGCTAAAAAAGAAAAGCAGATTTGTACTACATGCGAAGAGAATGGAAACACTTGATTTAATTGACACAAGTTGCTTAATCCCTTTATACCTCAGCTTTTCATTTATGGCAAGAAGGTAGTTATGACTAGTAATGGTTGGTTTGTGGAAGTGTATTACATAATTTAGTAAATGCATTAGGAGGAAGTGTGTTATCTATCTATGACACAAAATGGCTTACTAAGTAATAGCCTGAAAAAGGTGATCAGAATTTCCATATTTGGATTTAAAGTTGGCAAAGTGTATGGCTAGGTGGATCACAATTCTTTATGATCCACATGGCTGTGTAGTACCCCTGTGCCTGTCCCATAATTTGTCAGGTAATAAAATCCCAGATGTGGTTTCTGTTTTCTGAGATGAGTAAAGTGAGGCTCATTCAATACTGTTTATAAAGTATAAGACTCTCTTAAGACTGATTGCCATAGCATAGCCATGTGGAACAGTTGTTTTATTCCCTAATGACTTTATTATCTAAGCGGGAGTGAAAGAAAATATTATTTTGGGGTGGAAGGTGGGGTTGGAGGTGGAGGAACTAACAGAGTGGAAATACCAAGCTCTGATACCAGTCCTAGGCAATTCAACTTAGACAACACTGTCCAGAAAAGCAGTGCCACTTCTAATTCTAGGAATGTCTCTTAAATTGTAATGAAATGTCGCTAATGTCACTTCTGGCCTTAATGAAAGAATCAGATAATTGTGTTAATAAAGACAGAATTGGCTATGACTCCTGGAAACAAATACAAATATTTGACAGAGCTGACAGAGTAAGTATGAGGATAATGAAGATAACACCTTAAAATCTAAATAGATTAGAAACCGTATAATTTTATCAGTCTTATGATGCAAATACTGTTGACAAAGATGGAAAACAGTAAGTAGATGTAAGTGGATTCTTTGTTGTATTTTTATTTTTCTTTTATAACAATATTCTTCTCTCCTCTCTTCCTCCCTTTTCTTCCTTCCCTTCTTAGAGGATTTAAGACATTGTTATGATAGAGCTGGTAAGGAGTTATTCATTCAATTTATTTTAAATCTCCAAGCCAGTATTGCAGGTCTACTATATGAAAGACACTAGCTTGTCACAGGCCTTCACCCTCAAGTCACACTGGAGAGACACATGCACACAATTAACTACAATTCAAGGCAGTGTGCAATATGCTCTGTAATGGTGGGGTCAGCTTTCTATTCTAGAAAGATTTGTTCCAATAGTAGTAGTGATTAATTTATCAATTGAAAAAGTGTTAAGTTTTTGGGACCTTTCTAGATAGACTTCCACAAGAGACTGTGTGTCTTAGTGAGAAGGCCTGAGACACAGCAGTCTTGGATTCAGTATCAGCTTTTCCCTTTGTTAACTATGTCTTTTTGAACAAGACATTAACTTCCCAAACTGTGCTTTCTTTATCAGCTGTATATCATAATATCCCTTGCCTTTTTTGTTGGGTTGTTGTGATTATTATATCAGATTTCTCCAATCTGTAAAACATTTCTTGAGCTCCAGTTATATATTCCAGGCTGTGTGCTAGGCACCTGGGACATAGATCAGTAAGATGCTCTGTGAACGTGATGAGTTCCCAGTGTATAATGAAAATTGCTAATTCTGATGCTTATAAAGGGCAGGCCTGTGTTGTAAATGAGTGAGAAGATACATTAAAAATCATGGGGACTGTTGGGATCCCTGATACAATGTAGAAAGCATATCCAGTTTTGATGAGACAGCTACTGCTACCTTTAACTGATTGTGGTTATCCAGGAATGCTAGTACTACATTTCTAGGCTTTGTTTTCTTAAAATGTAAAATGTGCCTATTGTTAATGTTGACATCCAATTAAAAAAAACTGTCTAAACATTTTGTATGCAAGATATAACTGAAAGGTGGAATCAACTTATGAGATGGCTGTTTGCAAACTCTAGTCTAGATAGGCATGTATGTGAATCAACCACAGAGGAGATATTAGGTATAGGAGTGGAAAAAGCTTAACTTCCAATGAGTCTAGGATGGAATAAAAAAGAATGTGATTTATGTGCCATACGAGACGGTGGTTATATTGGATTCATTAATGCCTAAAACCTTGTTCATCACAAAATTGGAGGAGGTGATGTAAACAAAAAGAGAAGCATGCTCAACTCAGTGAATCTGATACTGCTAGGGAGAAAAGGGAAGACAGAAGTAGATAAGACCAGAAGAAAGAATGAGCAAGATGGCACATGGTCTCACATGACATGCTGAGGAAACTGGATTTTTCTTATCATCGTGGGGATAGTGAGCATAGGGGAGGGTCATGGTCAGATTTCCATTCTAGAAAGATTGTTCCAGTAGTACAATGGAGGAGGACTGAAGGGGCATAAGGCTAGAGACCTGGAGCCTATTTAAGAAAGCTATGGAGTAGAAACGGAAATGATAGAAACAGAAATTAATTTGTAACTTAGAAAGCGTTAATGTGTATGTAGTACTATTCATATATGATATTGCCCTTTTTTGTTGTTGTTTGTTTGTTCGTTTGTTTGCTTTTGAGATGGAGTTTCGCTCGTTGCCCAGGGTGGAGTGCAATGGCACAATCTCTGCTCACCACAACCTCCGCCTCCCTGGTTCAAGTGATTCTCCTGCCTCAGCTTCCCAAGTAGCTGGGATTACAGGCATGCACCACCATGCCCAACTAATTTTGTATTTTTAGTAGAGGCGGGGTTTCACCATGTTGGTCAGGCTGGTCTCGAACTCCTGACCTCAGGTGATCCACCCGCCTCGGCCTCCCAAAGTGCTGGGATTACAGGCATGAGCCACTGTACCCAGCTAATATTGCCATTTTTAATTGATATTCAAGTGCATTGTCTTTCACATTTTAACATCTCTGCAGTCAAGATGCATCCTGCAGCCATAACTATGGGCTGTCACAGTTAAATTGGTTTTAGCTTTTCTCTTTTATAGTGATCATAGCATAATGACATTTCCTAATATCAACATTGTCTGATTTGTGAAATGGAATAATTATGGACTCCTAACCACTAGACTGAATTATAAAGAGGTGACATGAAATAAGCTCTAATAATTGATAATCCTACCTACACCCCTGGAAGTGAGCCTTTCAACGTTTCTCTGCTTTGGTTACCAGGAACTCCCACTTCCTGGGTGTTCATGAGATTAGAGGAGGCAAATGTATATGTCAACAGGAGCTGGGAGGTGGTATAAATGTGTGAAGCTGCTGGCTGTCAAAAACAGTTGCTGCTCAGGTCTCACCAATGCTGCTGGACACAAGAAGGAGTTAGTGTTGCTGTATTCAAGAGAAGCTGGAAATCTGAATTTTGGTGAAATCTCCCAATTTTTATATGTTGGCAAAACATTCAGCATTTTTTAAAAACCCTGTTCAGACCAAACAAAACACATCTGTTTGCTAAATAAGCCACCAACCTTGCCTCTGCTAAGCCTCTTGTTGAAGGAGTAATTTTCTGAACTTTTAATTTATACAGTTTCTTAATATTAAATGCTAGATATTACTGAATGTCACTGACAAGCCTAAGTCACAGCTGGGAGATATGAACTCTCTTCCATGTCTGTATCAGCCATCTGGTATAGCTCTCAGCCACATGAATCCTTTAGAAACAGCAGTGGGTGTAGTCTCAAGGCCTGTGATCTAAAATGGGTAGTTATTTTGTCCTAAAATATGTCTGTTTGATCATCTATTCAACAGGAAAAATTCTTGAGTGCAGTGTTTTGACATAGTATAATTATATCTCATGCCTCAAAATCCTTTTCTTCTCCAGAAACAATAACAGATGCTGTTGATGTTTAAAAAGCTGCCTGGAACACCAAAGGGAAATTTCTTAATTCTGCCCTTAAATAGATTTATCATTTGTTAATCTCCTTCAATCACAAGTTTTGTCAACATTTTCAATTTACTCTTAATAAATGCATAAAGAA